>NC_000018.10:49725910-50026576 GCF_000001405.40 Homo sapiens | reverse complement strand
AGTATAAGGATAGCCAGTTCTATGTGCTCAGTGAAATTCTTTTGGACTTTTTAATAGGTTTGTGCTTGGCAACCAATTATAACTTCTATGATTCTATTTTCAATTTGTCTAGAGGAAATACAGCATAAACTACACTATGCTTATGCATTTATTATATATGGAAAACAAGCCACTTTCAGTTCTACAGTTAGAGTGAAATTGCACTGTTAGTGGCTGAGCAGCCCCAGAATAGCGTTTAAATGTGGACTTTACTGCCCTTTTACAGTTTACAGACACTGTAAACGTAAACAGAAAATAATATATTCCATTGCAGGAACCAAATAATTATTTGATTGTATATAGCCAGTTTTTTGAAAGATGGCTAGCCAGACACCACTGATCATGTGGTGGATGCCAGAAAGCAGCTTTTCTTAAGTGGCTGGAAGTGATAGTCCCTTCTGGTGCTTGCAGTAGTGAATCAGTTGGTTAGAGCAGCAATCTTCAAACTGCTGGGGTGTACTAGTTTTTGGAAGATGATTCACTAGAGTATGTGAAGAAAATATTAAAACTTTATTTTTTTACATCTTTTTAAAACTTAAAATATCATTTGTATATGTTTTATACTATGCATAATATAGTACAGTGTCACAGAAAACAATTTATAAACTGTAAGCATGTTCACAGTTTTCTTTATTGATAGGGATGCATGTCAAAAGTAAGATAATGAGTTTAATGTCTAGGGAAGTGTCTAAAGCCACATATGCAGTGATCTTTGTGGACTGGTTCATATTTCAGAGGAAAAAGCTGTCCCACGGGCCCCTGCTGGGGTCCTTGTCATTGTACCTTTACAGTGGGGTGAAGATGAGAGAAGGTGGCCATTCCATCTTAGGGAATATAACTGAGAGTGCAGGCCATTGTCCCTCTATTAGTGTCATCTGTCTAGGCTGGGTTAAAGAGCACTGCACTGTCTAGTAGCTCTTTGATTCTATTAGGATATAATAAACATATACTGTTACAGGACCAACAGGTTCATATGCCCACTGCACAGTAACAGACCAGTTACACTGAGACAGCAGGGTTTTCAGCAGAGAAAGAGTTTAATGATCACAGGGCACCAAGAGAGGAGATGGGAGGAGATCCTTAAATCCACCTCCTTGAGGAGTTCCGGGCTGGAGTTTTTAAGGGGATCACAGAGGGCAAGGGGCTAGACAACTGGGGTTGTGAACTGGTTGGAGGAAGGGTGATGAAATCATCGGGATGTGGAAACTGCGTTCTTTGAGTTAGTTTCTCCTGAGGTCCTTCAGACCAGCTATGTTAGTATCACTGATATGCAGGTCTTGACCTGTAGATGGTACTTAAAGCCTTGGGAATGGATGATGTCAATCAAGGAGAGATTGTTAGGGAAGTGAGAACTTCCCAGATCTCTGAAAGAAAATCTTAAATGGAAAATGTTTTTTAATATTCAAGTTGTTATCTATAGAGCAGTGAACGGGAGCTATAGTCTTGTAACAGGGTCTCTGTAATTCTAGGACAGTAGGCACCACATAACTATGAGGAAGAGAGTCAGAAAGCAAGCCGACCTCATGAACACTGAATGTGCTGCAAGCTTGGTTTATTTTCATTTTCCCACTCCCTTCTTCCCTGATTAATTTTATACAGTTCGTAAGGACAGTTTTAGTATGATAATGAACAGTGTTTTGACTTAAAGGAACTCCCCAAAGCTCTTAATTTTAACTATCTCCATGATTTTAAGTCCCAGTGTATGGCTAGTCTACCTGGTCTTTGTCCACAGCAGATACTCGGGAAGTCAGGGAACCTCTCTGGTTGAGGAATACTGCAGAAAGGTCTGCAGGCAGTGCAGCATGGCCAGGAGAAAGCCCCATGTCTATGTCCTTTAGAACCACAGTGGACAGGCTTAAAAGCAAATGCCTTTGAACCTTCCTGGCTCCTGCCCCTATTACAGATCGATAATGTTGGAAGCCAGAGGGAGGAGTGTACTTACAGCCAAAAGATGACGGAAATTAATTTGGTCCTCTGTATTCCCAGAACTAGAGAATAAAATGATTCATGATTGATGACTTGCTTTTAAAAAGATGTCCTTTTTGGTTAAAAAGGGCATTAAACCTTCTCTACAAGAGCAAGTACCAAGAATACTTAGAATTATGGGATGTCTTTTGAGAAAATGTCTTGCACCTGGTAGCAGAGAGAAGGAGAGAGGTGGAATCCCAGCACCCAGGACTTCTCTGCTTAGTCACCCTTCCTAGCTAAGAATGACTGCACCCCTGACCTTGTGTTCCTGAGAATGTTAATATAAGTGTTTGAACTATTTAGAGTCTCTCTAGCCACATTTAGTTTAAATGTATGGTATTGATCTTCAGTTATGATACTGGGGATTAATATATGCTCACTCGGGTTTTTTCTGCTTCCGCACTGGGTCATTGGGCTCCTAGAGTTTTATTCCATTTGTCATTGCACATATTAATCCATCATAATTACCTGATGTGTACGAACTCCAGCTCAGCAATCTAAAGCAGAGATTTTTCTTCCTGCCTGTATGGGGTTGTCACTTCTACAATTTTGTCCATTTTACTTCCTTATATTTATAGAGCCCCTTATATTTTATTTTATGGAGTATGTGTTGAGGTAGTGCATAGAGTGAAGATTTTTTTTCTTTCTGAAGTTGGAAGGCTCTTCAGGTCAAACAGCATAGGACAGGGTTTCATCTTTCAGCATCTTCAACGCATGATACCCGGTCTAGGCTGGAAACTTCTAGTGTCTCCGGGAGGCAGCCATTCCACTTTTGAAAGCTCTTAGAGGTGAAGAGATACCAGCCGCCCTGCTACCTACCACAGCCCCAGGGCCTGCCTCTTTTCTGGAGCAGCTGCTAGAACAGACTATTCTGGGAATGGTCTTTTAGTCTTTTTTCTCTAAGCTAAACTCTTCCTCATCTCATTAGCATTCTTCATGTGATAGTTTACTATTCTGATTGACTTTCTCAGAATATATTTCAATTTTTCTAAGTATCTCACAAAATGTGGCTTCCGTAATTGAGCCAGGATTCTAACTCAACTGGCCAGAGAAGAGGATCATGGCCCTCTCCCATTCTCCTGGTATCTAGATACTCTGGAGCCGCATTAATAGAAGCTTACTAATAGCTTCATACTATGATGGTTGATAATAACCAAAATAGTCCAGTGCTTTCCGTCTGAACTGTGGTCACGCCGCAGCTTGGTTTGGCATAATACCCTTGTGAGGTGTGTTGTGGGCCCACTGCAGTTCAAAAACTTGTCTAGGTCATGTAGGCTAAGTGGCAGTGTCCATTTAGAATCCAGGTGCTCCCATTCTCTAGAGCTCTTTCCTCTAGAACTGAGGTGGGCTGATGACGCAATGTTCTTAGAACTAATGAAAGATGTCTTTACTGTCATGGTAGTAAATCACTAAAGTGACTTTTTTTTTTTTTTGTAAGACATTGTAGGATTTCTCACATAGGAAATCTGTAAGAAGAATAGATGGTTTATTCTTAAAGAAGATGCCTAGAAGACCCTTTGTAACTTTGACAAAGCAGCAAATTCCACCTCCCATCCTGCCCCTAGTCCCATCTATGGGTTTGTCAGTTGCCTCCTCCAACAATGCTGGTCTGCTGTTATCTTAAACAGCAGCACACCAAAGCTGAACTTAGCTTCCCACTTTAGGCTGGGCTTCTTCCTTAGTCTGGTCCGGGGATTCCCTTAAACCTGTCCTAGAACCTAGGAGGTGGGGGTAAAGGGCCTGCGTGGGGAGTGAGGACACTGGATGCTTCCCTTGGTTCCTCTGTGACCCTTCCTTCAGACTTCCCTCCCAGTCCCCTGTGGCAAGTGGGACTTCTGTCACTTTACATCCTGAATTCTCTCTGACCGTGGTGCAAAATTCATATTGCTTAAACCTCACTCTTGATATCTGAGTAGGAATCTAACAAACTTTTGAATGTTCCTTTCTCCACGGCAGCAGGCAGGATTTCAAGACAATTATCATGATGAGAACCAAAAATCCTGTTTTGATCGTCAGAAGTTGAACTCTGTGGCATTTGTCCCTTGTCTTTGCCTTCTTACTATAATAATCCTAATCCACTTGAGACAAATTAATGCCTTGAGTTGAGGAAGGAGAATGTCATAATAAAAGAAATGTGGAAGAGAAAAGTGTATTAATGTATTTCAAAAATATTTCCCTGCTTTGATATGTGTAATAAGAGGGAATGTTTCTTAGTATCATAAGTGATATATGAATGTTATTTAATTGCCATTAGAACAGTATCTCAATTTTATAGATTTGGCAGTGGAATCACAGCGGAGTTATACATCTTCCCTAAGGCACATTGCTGGCAGTTGGCAAACATGATGTGAACTTGGGCACCCTAACTCTAGACTGTATGCTGTTAACTGGCTTGGGGCACTTCTGGGTTTTTGGCTTGGGAAACTAGGTAGATGGAAGTTCTATTTGCTGACTCTGAGAAAAAAATGGTGGGGAGGGAGGGAGGGAAGAGACACTCCTGGGGTGAAAATCAAAGAGTTAATCTGGAACCTGTTATGTCTAAGAATTTCCTACCCTGCTTCTGACATCCAAGTACAGCTGTCTAGTCACTGTACAATGCAGGTAAAACAGGTGTTGACCTGTAGATGGTACTTAAAGCCTTGGGAATGGATGATGTCAATCAAGGAGAGATTGTTAGGGAGGAGAGAACTTCCCAGATCTAACCCCAAAAGGAATGTTAACATAGATCTGGTACAGAAGGAGGAATGTACAAGTAAGAAATCTGGTCTAGAGAGTGAATCTCAGCTGGGAGTGGTGCTTCCTCCTTAGGGCAATTTGAAATGCTTGTAAGATTTTTTTTTTTTTTTTTTTTACGCAGATGGGATGGGGTGTTGTGGAGAAGGACCACATAGATTGGGCATTGGTTAGGATGCAGAAGAACCTGCAACGTGAGGGACAGTCCTGGGCATCTAAGAATGGCCTCCCATCAGACAGAGCGTGACACCCAAACTGATCTTTAATACTTCTTGTAACTCACATTATACTGCCTTTTAATTTTCAGACCTCTTTTCTCTCTCTTGCCTCATGGCTCTTGCCGTAACTCCAGGATTGTGGAAGGGCAGCCTTTATTATATCCCCTCTTGAGAGCTGAGGCCCTGAGAGGTAGAGTGATGGCCAAAGGCACCGAGTTCGTGAGTGGCAGAACTAGTGCTGGAACCTGGTTCTCCCGCCTCTTACTCCAGGGTTCTTGCTGTTCAATTCTTGTGTCTCTCTCCATGGATTGAATCTGGAGAACCTGTGCTTCTAGCTGTCCTCCAAAGTGTTGCCAGGCTTGCACTAAATAATTTGCTCCATCCAGTGGGAGGTTTTCACAGCTGTGGCATGGCAGGATCTCCTCGGAGGCCCTGTGTGAGCCGACCTGTTTGACACTCAATGGCTCCTCAGAGGAGGATGGCAGTGCAGGTAATTATGCTTGTGTGTGCATATATGTTCCTCTGTGTGCACTGGGAGTGCAGAACCAGTGTGGATTTCATAGGTTTGCTACACCATGTTCTTAGTGTACCTCTGCACACTCTGTGTGCTCCATGTGGGCAGCTGCTGGGTAGACATACAGTTTGAGCTACAGGAATGCCCTGTGTATCAATTTCTGCCCTAGAAACAGAGCAGCTTTTAAAATTCTGAGTAGGTATGTAATTAGATAATACCAGTTAGATGACTGTCCACAGATTCTCCTACCTAAAAACATCCATCTCCCTGGCCTAGCACTTTGTTTAGCTGAGTCAGAAACTATTAAAACATATATTTTCTGGTAGAGAAAGTCATCTATGCCACACCTCTCAAATGTGACTTGGGTCTGTTGCCTTCGATTTCTACCCCTGCTGCCTGAGTTCAGGGCCGTCTCCTCCACCTGGTTGCTGCTGCCACCTTGGCATGAGCCACATCCTTGCTGCGTGTCTTCTGACTCCTGGGTCCATCCCCCTCACTGTTGTGGTCATTGTAGGTAAATGATTTCAGCATTGAACATGCTGTTGAGAAGGAACCTGTAGGCAGGGAGGTTGAAGCTGGGAGAATGGGAGGCAGAGAAAGGGGGTCACTATTAGATTGGAGTCCCGACATTCAGGTAGGATCCAGAGCTCAGATGGTGGAATTTTGATCCATAAGAAGGCAGAGTTCTTCCCATCTTAAGGGGAGGAGGAAAGCTAGGAGCTGCTGCAGGAAGGTTGGTGCATGTGGTGGTGGGAAGTTGAGGGACTGTTCCAGGCCTTTTCTTGTCATCTTAATGCATAGTAGATACTGAAATGTTGGATGCATAATGAGTGTTTTATGTTTCTGATGATGTTGATGTCCCTGGCAAATCCCTGGGGAGTGGAGATAGGATCAAGTCACTTGGAGAAGAAAGTATGAACCTGAGCCTGCAATGTATGCTGTGAGCTGATGCATAGTCAATGCAAAGGTGGGTGGGTGGCTGGATGAAATGATTGTGTCTCTCATGAGACAGGTGACTGAGGGTAGGGTGTGGAGCTGCAGGCTTTGCTAAGTAGCCTAGGGTAGATGAGCTTGGTGAGCTGGAGTGTGATGTTGAAGACACAGCCATCAGTGTGTAATGCTTGTGGACTCATCAACCATGCCCTGGTCTGTGACCACAGACCCTCTCACCCAGGTTAGCTTGAACTTGTCATAGGTAGAGTAGACAGATCATGCAAGAGAAAGAGGGACACAGCCAGAGACCTTGACAGCTGGAAGGATCCTTAGATATTTTTTGGTCCAATTCTTTTATTTTAAAGCAGACGAAATTTGAGTACCAGGGAGGAAAAGGGACTTCCTCCTGGGCCCTGCCTTGAATTTGTGTTGAGGCCACCAGGTACGAGACTCCCAGTCTTGCGCTCATTCTAATCTTTAGTAAAATGGCAAAATCCCTGGGCCAGTATTAGACCCCAGTTCTGCTCACTGTTGTCTTGACATGAACTGAGAAAGACCTTGAATCCTAACCTCCTCATGGCCTTGGCCAAGATGGACATCACATCAAGCCATTATGGCAATTTAGTTTTGTGTGAGTGACTGTTTTTCAAAGAAATAGCTAGCAGAATGCTGGGCTCTGGAGGCTGGACCACTGAATTAAAGAGTTTGCTGGGTGAGATAGATCCGAAATAGAGGATTGTGTTTGTAGAATAGCATAGAGTAGCCAGCATGAGCAGCACAGGTGTGATTGGATCCCAAGATGATCTGGGAGGGAAGTGGGGAGGGTAGCAGGGGCCGACTCACCCACTGAGCAGGTTGTGCCTTCTCACTGTGGCTTAGTCGTTACCCATCTCATAAAAACTGCAAGGAAAATAATAAGGATGGAACTGTGACTTCTATGCGTTTATATTACATAATAGCTTATGGTTTCTCTACTAGCTACGTGATTATGGTGTATCTTTAAAGCACGTTTATGAACTTTTTCTCTTTTCAAATGTCAATGAGGTTTCATTTAGTGGTCAGTTGTGACTGTGCTGTGTGAGATTTGCTGTCTTGCCTCCCGGGTGGATAATAAATGGCTCTGGAGTGTAACATGGTTTCACATTATTCTTCCTTCAAAAAGTGAAGTCCAATAATGTAAGTGGGCAATCATGTAGACTGGGGAATAGATCTTCATCCCAGCTGGTAAGAGAAAAGTGCTACCTCTTTAGTTAGCTTGGGATATTATCTCTAGCTACTTTTCTTTTTTCTTCCCCTCCTCCCTTCTTTCTTGTGATTCTTAAAAATGCTTATTAAATCCACCTTTCTTAGCTTGAGAGTAGTAGTTGAAATGGCTGCCCACTAAAACCGTGTGTTAAGATGTGATGCTAGCATCCCCCTTTATCATCGTAAGAAGCAGTGTGATGTGATAGCTTAGAGCCTGGATGCCAGAGCTAGCTGGCCCAGTAACCAGCTGTGTGACCTCAGGCAAGTGATACCAGCTCTCTGTTTCCTTATCTGTAGCATGGGGATGATAATAGGACTTTATTCCTAGGGTTGTTCTGATGATCAATTGATATACAGAAAGTGCCTACCCGGAAGATGCTATATGAGAGTTAGCTATTATTATTTTCATAAAGCTTGCCTTGACCATGTTAATCCAGTTTAAAAGTCCTCATGTTGACATTTTAAAGATTGCGAAGGCTTCTCTAGACAGTTTATAGCATATAAGGAATGAACAATTGAAGAAGTTAAGATCTTAACATGTCTTTAAAAAGAGGTGGAGACATGCAGAAAATATACATGCAAATGCAAAGTTCTTTATAACATAAGTTAGACTGTATCATCAAGCAAAAAAAAAAATGGGTATATGTATGAGCAAGCAAAAGGATATGAGTGACTAGCTGGGCATGGTGGCATGTACCTGTAACCCCAACTACTCAGGAGGCTAAGGTAGCAGGAGATTGCTTGAAGCCAGGAGTGCTAGGCTGTGGTGAGCTATGACCACAACTGTGAATAGCCATCCAGCCTGGACAAGACAGCCAGACCCTGTCTCTTAAAAATATGTATTAAAAATATTTCTTTTGAAAGGGCTGAGTGACTGGAGAAAAAAACACTTAAAAGAGACCCATTTAACTCATATTTGAGTCACATGCAAGAAACAGAAACAACTACCCAAATAATCATATTTAAATCCCTAAATTCGTTTCTGTGTTTAAAGTACACTTGAATACTTGAAAATTTCTATAGGCAATTAATTAGAATTTAATGTTAACTGGCGTTTCTGGGAGTGAAGAACGTTAAACCAGTCTAATGATGAATGGTATTACATGGTATCACAGCTTATTTAGGGAATAGTGATTGGAATGATTTCTGAACAGTATGCTGTGTCTCATCTTTTGATTTAACAATTAGATTTTGATGGGCTCAAAGTATGAGATTTTCAACAACTGTCCTTCAAGAAAATTCACAAAGCTACTATTATACCTATAAAACATTTAACCCAAGAAAAAGGAAAACACATGCTCACATAAATGCTTCTCCATGAATATTTATAGTAGCGTTATTCGTAATGGTCAAAAAGTGAAAACAACCCAAATGTCTATCAGCTAAAAAATTAAAATATAATCTCTCCTTACAATGAGATATTATATTGTTTGGCTATAAAAACGAATGAAGTATGGATACATCCTACAACATGATGAACCCTTGAAAAATTATGCTAAGGTAGCCGGGCGCAGTGGCCCACGCCTGTAATCCCAGCACTTTGGGAGGCCAAGGCGGGTGGATCATTTGAGTTCAGGAGTTCGAGATTAGCCTGGCTAACATGGTGAAACCCCGTCTCTACTAAAAATACAAAAAAAAAATTTAGCCAGACAGTAGTGGCACGTGCCTGTAATCCCAGCCACTCGGGAGGCTGAGGCGGGAGAATCACTTGAGCCCAGGAAGTGGAGGTTGCAGTGAGCTGAGATCATGCCGCTGCACTCCAGTCTGGGTGACAGAGTGAGACCCTGTCTCAAAAAAACAAAATGAAAAATTATGCTAAGGTAAATAAGTTAGTCACAAAAGACCACATATTCTATTCATTCCATTTATGTGAAATGTCCCAAAGAGGAAAATCTGTAGGTACAGAAAGTAGATTAATGTAAGGGATGGTAGGGTAGATTGGGGGAGTAGATTTAAGATAGGGGTAGAGATGGGGTGAAGGGGGTAGGGTTAAATTTGGGGTAGGGGTAGCTTTAGGGGTTAGTTAGGGATGGGGTAGCATAGGAAGAAGGACAGATTTGGTATAGGGGTAGACACAAGCTGGGGGTCGGGGGTTGGTTTAGGGCAAGGTCTGGGGATTGGTAGGCAATGAGAAGCAACTGGTAATGGGTGTGGGGTTTCTCTTGGGGGTGATGAAAATGTTCTATTGTGATGGTTGCACAACTCTGTAAGCACCTTTGAATTGTATATTTTAAATGGGTGAATTGTATGATATATGAATTACATCTCAGATGTCACCATAAATAAGGCAAAGTGACAGATTTGGAGAAGATATTTTAGAGAAGGTGGACAAGAAAAATGTCTCTTAGATGGTATCATTTTAGCCTAGATTGGATAAAGTGAGATTGTGACAGTTGGGACAAGGGCAGAGGTAGGTGTGAATAATACACATTGTAAAGAATCCTGTCCAAGAAGTTTGGTTTGTATTTCATAGATACACATTATGTTAAAGAATTCAGTTACTGCACATGCTAACCAATATGGAAATAAATCTACCTTTTTATTTTAAAAGGGGTTTCTCCAAATTAGATGCCAGCCTTTAAACTCTAAGTTTTATTAAATATAAAATGAATGCTTAAACCCTTAGGAATTGGGTTCACACAGGATTGGATCATGGGTTAATACATATTTTGGTGGAATTGAGAGTCAGGCACAGTAAGGCAAACAAAATAAAAAGAAAAAGAATGAGATTAATGAAACAGTTAATCAACTGGCCAGCAGATCCCTCAAGTTCTGGGTTGCATGGCACTCTGATCATGCTTTCCTGGGATCTGAAGGCCTTGCCTACTGTCTGATACCTCCCATCTTTGGCCCTTTCCCTGTGTCACTTCTCTACCAGTTGGGAATCTGTAAGATGGCTCTGCAAAATGTATCACCAAATTGTGATTGCTGAACAGGTTTTCGAGGTAGGCTTTCCAGCCTGGTCTTAGAGCCCATAGTGCTCAAGATGACCAGGACTGGAGGTGACTCTGGTTCCAGCAAGAATCTTAATATGTTCCAGATCAGCCCTTACCAAATATCCCATGGAGCACAATCACAGTGCTCATACCAGAGAGCTCCTAACAGGCAGGACGTGCTGCTTACAACAGGAGCTGTTTATTCAGCAGAGGCTACTGCAAGCACCTGGAGGAGGTGCTTGCTCACCTCGATGGCACAGAAGGTTGGGGCCTTGGAAGCTGTATTGGGATGAGATAATGTGGCGTGACTTCATGTGTCCCCAAAGAAGATAATTGTCAACTACCAGGAAGCCAGCTTCCCTTGCCCTGGGCACACCTGCTGCGCCAACAGAATATTTAACTTAAAACTGAAAATGCCTGTAGATTTTGACAGATGACACTAATGAAATACTAAAGAACACTTAAAAAATTTCACCTTTTGGGATTTTACAAATGTTAAGGGACTTCTTATAACTATTACTGAAAATAGTCAGATTTCAAGAAATAAAATTATTAAAGGAACACCCAGAATAGTTTAAGAAAAAATTTAAGCAAAACAAGCAAATTCTGATCCTGGAAATATTTGAAGATTGCTTTAATTACATTACCCAGCCAAAGGAGTGGTCAAATAAAACAGTTCCCCTACTCATGGGGAAAGCCATAGTTTAATTTTTGATCAAAAATGAAGTTCACTAGGTCAGAGGGGTTCATTTCCCTCCAATGCACAAGATAGTTAAGAACTTGTTTGTACCCAAAATTGTCCTCCCAGAGAAAAAGCCCACACATTTCTGTCTTTGTTTCAGCCCCCTGATCCCTGTCCCGTGAACCCACTGCAGAGGGAATTCCTATCTTTCAGCTTCCCTTCTGTCTGTACAAACTTCTAATTTTTGGTCAAGGTCAACCTTAGGGCTGTTAACATTTTGAAATCTAGCAAGACCCCCAATTCCAGGAGACTTCCCCCAGGGTCATCTTCTCTGAGCCCTCAGATTGTTGAGTCTATTTTGACACAGATGCTTCTCTTTGTCTTAGACGTGCTAGGCATGGTCCCTTACTTGAGCATCAGTCCCTCAAGGGAGCACTTTTCTTACACTTAGTTACACAGCTTAACATTTTACGCAAGGGAGCTGTGCGGTAAAAAATTGCCTAATGGATGGAACAGCTGAACCCCACCTTCATTCCCTTGGGGCCGAGATGTTTGTAGGTACTTGGGTAGAACAGACATCCTTCCCATCCTACAGGGAGAGAAAACACTCCATGTAAAATAGCAGCTGTCCCCTTTGGGCTCCTCATCCAGCCAGAATGGTACAGTGGGGACACTTAAAAAGCTCTGACAGATCTGTAAGGAGAGTCTGGGCTTCATTTACTGCAGGAGATAGGGCGGTAGGTGCCGCATTACAGTGAACTAATGTCACCAAATTGCAGGCTGTATCTCACCCAATCTGATGGCACCTTACACACCTCACCACAACCCATAATGAGAGAGTTAAGGGATCATTAATACTCTCTCTTACAAACGAGGAAACCAAGTTTTACAGAAATGAAATAACTTGCCTGAGGTGGAAATGCCCTTTCAAAGTCTTTTTAAAGAAGACCACTGCATTATCATTAATAAATAACACTGTATAGCTTCTGTTGTAAGTTAACCATACCCGTAGTTTTTTTTTTTTTTTTTTCCTTTCTCATCCATTTTCTCCATAATTTTGGGACTTTTTTTATGTAGACATTTGTGAAACAAAGTATTTACTACTTAATCAGTTTTTCTGCTACTGCTTCTCTTAACTGTGAGCCCTTTGGACCCCGGGTTTCTCTTCCTAACACTGCCCACCTCAATGTCATTTTTATGATACAACCTGGTTTTACTACTTTTTTAAGTAAAGAATTTGAAGGAAGAAGCTAGAGAAATTGACCACAATTGAGGGGGTCAAAGATTCCTGACTTGGAAGTAGAGCTCTGTGTCTTGGATTCTTGTCCATGGTGACTCAGCAAGCATACCCAGCGGCACCTGAGGCTGTAACCTGTGGGAAGTTCTCCCTGCCAGCCCCTCTGCTGGGCTAGGCAGTGGAGGGGGAAGGAGCAGCACTGGGTCCTGCCAGGGAAACCCAAGCTTTGGATAAATCTCTTTGGCTCTGTACTCTTACCGTCTCTGTGAAGCAAGTGAGTGTTTTCTGACCTGCCTCACGTTGTCAGAAGGGAAAACTGAGGTTTCGCATGTGATCTTGAAGTCGGGTAGAATGGATAATGATTGTGAGTTTTGGTCGTCTGTGTTACCTAAGTCTACTATTTTATTGCAAACTCTTGGCCACTTACATCTGTGCTGTATAAAAGGACACTCGAGAGAGGGCAGGGAGGTGAGTAATCCATTGGAATTACTACAAGCAAGATCTTGGGTTACTGTCTCACTGAGCCCAAGTTAGTGAGGGAATCTGTAATTCTCTCAAGAGGGCTGGCTGTTTTTGGCCTGAGGCTGCTATTGCAGAAGCTCAGTGCTTGACATAAGTGTCGTTTTCTCATCTATTGAAATGGTGTCATTTGTCATCTTAAAATCTCAGGGTGTAGGTGCAGTTGGGAGGGATGCCTCAGAAGCCTAAGGTGCTGTGTGGAGGCATGGAGTTGGCATACTCAGACCTGTAGGCCAGGATTTCCCAGATGTTACCACTCCAAGACTGGTGTGGCTGAAAAAAGTGGGTAGTATTCTTCAATTTTAGTTTTGTTAGAGATGTTTCTGAGGTCAGCAAGTTTTCCTGCCAGCCTAATGAATGATTGATTTGTTTTTCATTATTGGGTCTTTTCTGGCCCACTAAAGCGAGTCTGTCTTTCAAGGACTCAGATGTGTTTAGCAACCTTATGGATGTAATTCATTTGTATCCCAGGATCCACAGACTTTGGGACATTGTACTAAAGAGACTTATGAATAAAAGAGTACTTTAGATAAGTACAGCCAGCACTCACTGTGTGCTTGCTCTGAGTTCCACAGTTACATGAATTATCTGCTAAGCCGTGAGGTTGATTATGTCTTTGCTAGAATGCCTTCAGTCTGAAGCAGATTGTTTTCAAAGCAGCCTCTCCTGTGGTTGGACCCATGATGTGTTTGAAGGGTCCTTGCATGGGAGGAGGAAGGAATGCTAACCTTTGTCTACTTTGGGTTCTGAATTTACAGCATGGCTTTCAACAAACCATTCAGCTGCTGTGCAGTCAATGTCACCCAGGAGAAGAGAAGGTAGCAGCCACAGAAGGGGCACCCAGATGCTGAGCAATAGTTCCCTGGAAGGGGAAGCACTTTCTTTCTGGTGAATTTTCAGGGCAGGTTTTCTAGGATGGCCTTTGCATTGGGCCTGGGCGATAAACAGGATTTGCACCTGAATCTTAATGCTTGTGCATCTGTGTACCTCGGACATCCAAAGCTGACCAGTCTACATCATTATTTCAATTGTATGTCTGTCAACAATGTAAGTCCAGTTAATGAGGAAACTGTCTGTATTTCTAGGTGATTTATCATAAGCGAATAGCTAGAACTTGGAATTAATAAAGGTTTCTGTGGTCTTCAGCCAGGAAGAGCAGTTAATACATTCATAAATTAAAGGCTGTTTAGTTTTTTCAAGCTCATCTTTCAGTTCAGTGGTACATTGTATTAGGCTAATGTTGACCATGAACAAGTTACAAGGTATTTGAATTGCTGCCAGTTCCTGAACATGTTTATGTAGTGACCCATTTCTTAAGCTGAGTCTGTAGCAGTGCTTCTTAACCCTAGCAGAACTCATGTTCTAGTAGAATATTAGAAGCACTTGTGGAATTTTAAAAACAAATATCTGGGCCTCACCCCTCAGAGATTTTGATCTAATTGGTGTGGTGTGGGATCCAGCAGAAGTAGTTTCCTAAGCTCCACGAGCACTTCTTAATGTACAGCCAGGGTTGAAACCACTCTGTGGTGAGCAAATAATGGTTCTGCAGTCAGCGTTGCCTCTTCCCTGAACACTACCTATGCTGTCCCACTCTTTACACAGCCTGGCACCTCTGCTTGGAATGGTCTCTGGGAACAGCTCGTGCAGGGCCTGGAGTGTCAGAGGCCCTAACTATACCCACCGTACTACAGGGTCTGGTGCAAGGGTGCTAAGCAGGGCCTGGACACATTCAGATGAGTGTTTTGGAAATATGTTTCCAGCAGCAGTGAGGGGGAATGGATTGAGTAGGGCATAGAATTATCATGGGAAGACCAGTTCTGCTGTGGTAGCATCTAGGAGGGAAAGGAGGAGGAACAGGGCTTCGTGGGGTGGATTAGAAAAAAATTCAAAGCAATACAGCCAGCTTGGCCTCAAGCAGTAAAGGAGAGAAAGGTGTCACGGGCAGTTCCCAGATTCCCTGCTCATTGCTGAGCCATCCCTCGGGAAGGCAGGATGAGGAACAGATTGGTGGGGAGCTAAAGAGCACTGTTTTGGACGTGCAGGCCTTGGAGCGCCTGTGCACCTTCCGCGTGTAGTTGTCCAGTGGGCAGTTGAGCATATGTGTTTGGCTCTCAGAGGAAGTATCTGGGTTGGGGAAATACCAGTGTGGACAACTTGTGGGTAGCAGTTATAATCACAAAGGAAGAGGAGATCACCTCAGAGGCCACCTGGAGAAGTGAGGAACGATCTGTCGCCCAGGCTGGAGTGCAGTGGCACGATCTTGGCTCACTGCAACCTCCACCTCCCAGGCTCACACCATTCTCCCACCTCAGCCTCCCGAGTAGCTGGGACTACAGGCACCCGCCACCACGCCCGGCTAATTTTTGGTATTTTTAGTAGAGTCAGGGTTTCACCATGTTAGCCAGGATGGTCTCGATCTCCTGACCTCGTGATCTGCCTGCCTCGGCCTCCCAAAGTGCTGGGATTACAGACGTGAGCCACTGCACCCAGCCACCATGATGCCCTAAATTTTAAAAAATGTATGGATGAAGCAGTATCTATCAAAGGAAGAATACAAGACTTGTATCTTACTGGTGGCATGCCAAAGAGACAGTGTGGTATAGAGAAAGAGGATGGGTTTTGGAATGAGGGACTCACATGCACCTGGCTGAAATGCCAGCTGTACTACTGGCCAAGGAAAAATCATTTTATTTGAATATACTTGAATATACTCCCTTGCTGCAAAATAGTTTCCAAGAACAAGTGAAATAAGTGAGTTTGAAAAGTGATGTTTATTTGGTCTGACAGGCTACACATTCTATATGTGTATATCATAGTTCACCCCTAGCTAATGACAACATTAGAATAAGTCTGAAAAGCATAAAATCACAGGAAACACGTGCCTCTGTTGCTCACTTTCATCTAAACCTGCAGCTTTCTGAATTCCAGTGTATTTTGGACATTAGCAGTTCTATAAACTTCAGTTGATATAGAATGTATCATACAGCTCCCATATAACCTGGATCTGGAATCACAGAATATAGGAGTAGCAGGAGATCCTAGGGATAATCTTCCAGACCCTTATTTTAAGAGCAAGGGAATTGGCACCTTCCCATTTACACCGAGGAGTGCCCTAACCAGTGCTCTGTCTCCCTCTGTCTGGCCTGTCTGCCCACGATGGGGTGGGCTGGGTGGCACTCCCCGGGTTCTTTCTGTGATGGTATCTCATCTGAGATGGAGACAGCCCTGCTTGGGAATAGCCAGCAAGAGGAAGGGACAGATTCATTTCGCTGCTGCCTATATCACACTACACCTGAGAGGCTTATAAATAGCGCTTAGCACTCCAAGGGCCACTGTTTAACTGAAGTGGGAAAATGATATTGGATATTAAATGTACTAAGTACTTATCTCTTACACTATCAGAAGGTTCATTTTCATCTTACCAAGTAGGCACTTGGGACTCTACCTGCCAAATGCCAATTACACAGTTTCCAGTGAATATTCATGACAGCCTTCCTGAATGGCTTGGTTTCAGTTCTGGGCTGTGGCTGAGTGGTGCCCTGGCCTGGTAGGGAGGGTATGGTAGAGTAAAATGTCACCACCTGGTGGCAGACTGCATGAGGACATCCCTCTGCCATTTTCACCCCAGGAACCCAGGACCTGCTCAGTCCTTGGGCCTGGAGAACCCCTCACACAAGTGCCCTGCCTCCAGGTGCCTGAGACACATCTCCTTCCCACTTTCAGGCCTGGCTGTCTTGTTGGAAGGGTTTGTAGACTCTCTTGCTTGGAACATTCCGGCCCAGCCCCTTCTTGCAGCAGAAATGTTATTTATAGTGTTCCCAACTTTGGGAGGAAGCCCTTGAATGTTAGAATAATTGTAATTATATGGCTCTGTTTTGAGCCCAAATCTGACTTATGGTAGTTTTCCATATACCTTCTCACCTGACTTGACTGCTATCTTAACCTACCTCTGCTCCCCAACCTTACTTTTCTCTCCCCACATAACCTTTCGTTCCCCGAATCTGATTTTTCTTTCCACTGGAGTCTTCCTCCTATCTAACTTCCCTCACTATAATAGGTTTTTTATATTAATATAGTTTTGTGTGTTTGTATCTCTTAGTATTCTGTTGTTTCATTTCGCTTGTTTGAATTTATCATGAAAATATACCATATTGAGTTGTTGTTGTTGTTGTTGATTGAGACAGTCTTGCTCTATTGCCCAGGCTGGAGTGCAGTGGTGCAATCTCGGCTCACTGCAACCTCCGCCTCCCGGGCTCAAGCAGTTCTCCTGCCTCAGCCTCCCAAGTAGCTGGGATTACAAGCACCCACCACCACACCCAGCTAATTTTTGTATTTTTAGTAGAGATGGGGTTTCACCATGTTGGCCAGGCTGGTCTCAAACTCCTGACCTCAAGTGATCCACCTGCCTCAGCCTCCCAAGGTGCTGTGATTACAGACGTGAGCCACTGCGCTCGGCACATATATACTATTATCATTTTAAGTCACCATTGTTTCCAAGATTCATTGTCACTGTATTTTTCTACCCTGTCTTCCAAGTATTAATACTCTCCATGGTACTTATACAAGTATCTTTGTTGGACAGAAATTATTTTAAAATTCTATGTATTCTCTAGCATAGTCCTTCTTTTTAAAAACTATTGTCGGTGATCTGTGTTTTGGTGATGGTGTTGACTATATGATTAGAGCATGTAGACACAGACAAGAAGCAGTAGACTGATTATCCCATTAGTGAACAGAATATATTCTGTTGACACACCTAAATCTTCAGATGATTTGTCACAGAGGATGAAATGATATAGAGGGGCTTCATGACCGGTTTGGAGATGGGATGTCCTTTCTGTGGTGGCTTGGCAAGCCAGGCTTCCCCTTCTTCCTGTTTTGCAACCATAGTGTGTGTTGGGCCTAAGTGAGTGTTGTTCCCACCTCTTCATCCTCTCAGGGAGTTTCCAATTCAGGTAAATAGAGTTGTACCTGTCTGAGGCTCAACTCCCTCCCATTCCCCACACACACAAGTCAGTCCCCTTCCTGTGGGTGAATCATGGAAGGCTGAGCATAGGGCAGGGACGACAAAGTTTGCAGGCAGTAACTTGTACAACTCGAAGGGGGCTCCAGATGGTGTGCTCAGCCGGTACTGCTATACATAACAGCCCTTGCTGAGGACTTCCTCTTAAAATCCAGGTGCCAGACCACTCATCCAAGTCCTTGTATGTGAGATTGACCATCATAGGATTTAGGTTCTAGTGGGGAGACTAGGGTGGGAGGAACACTAAGTGGATGAGGAAAATGTTAGTACACTGTATAGTGAGTGCTATGAAGGTAGGATGGTTAAAGGTGGGTGGTGGGGGCCTTCTAGAGAAGTGATGTCAAGCCAGCCAGCACTGATGACCCCAATACATATTTAAACTTACACTGAGGCTAAGTTTATTATGGAGGGATTTGTTAAAGGCTGCTTTATTATACAGGAAGGAGTGTAATGGTAATACAGAGATACAGGAGTATAATGATAATGCATTATCCTGTATAATTCCACCAGCATAACCTGGTGGAAAATTGTGCAAGGAGATGGAAGCCTGAGTTTGAATCCGGGCTCAGTGTCTCACTAGCTAAGGAATTCTGGGTGCATCATTTGACCTTTCCAAACTTCTATTTTCTCTTATTTAAAATGGGAAGAATGACATCCAGTGATCTTATGAATCTTAAGCAAAGTCTATATACTAAGAGTCTCATAAACCATTTGAGCATGATGTAAATAAATGGTTAGTTAATTACATTAAACAGCAGTTATCGATGAGCTGCCATAAGGCAGGATGTGATTGAGTACCAGGCATTAAGAGCTGTGAGATCAAAGGGGATTATCAGTTTGAACTGGGACAGCTTCAGGCCACTGCAACGTGGGAGAGAATAAAGCAAGAACCTCTGTGTGGCTTGAACATATCCAGTAGAAGAGTGGCATGCACTGAAGCTGGAGAGAGGTGCTCGGTCCCCCAGGGCCTTGAACACAGTAGATGTGGGTGTTATTTAGAGGATAGAGGGATGCCATTGGAAGGCTTAAAGCAAGGGAGAAGAATGGTCCGATGTTCATTTTCAGAAAGTTTCATGAGAAGGACATGTTAGAGGAGGAGGAGAGTACAGGCTGGAAAGCTGCTATTGTAATGTATGCCAGAGATGATGATGGTGTGGACTAAAAGGTACAGAGAAGGAAACAGACTACACCCTGGAGAGAAGTTCAATAGGATGTGCTAATGTAGGGCCTGAGGGAAAGGGAGAAATCCCCAGTGCCTCTTAGGTTTCTTGCTGGAGTGAATGAGTAGATACTGGTGCCACTTACATAGAGGAGGTGCCAGGGATAGGCTTGGATGCCAGGAGCCCTGGGAATTCGAGGTGAAAGCACAGAGCCTGCCAACAGCGAGCCCTCATTTAGTGATGTGCGAACTGAGTGTGGGTGATAGAACCTGGTGTTTGAGGAGGGAGGATACCACGGGTGCCACCCAAGTCTGCAGCGGGACACTTGGCCTCACTGGTCACAGCCAAACTGGTTGCTGGGGAGTGAAGCCTCTGGAGCTTTCCTGGGGATGCTTTGTCATCTCTGAGATGCTTTGAGTAGTGCTGCCGTGTGGGTTCTGTGTACATATAGCTAGTTTGGAGACCACAGGTGACAAATTATGCTCCTCAGGAAACCCAAACAAGATAACACTTAGTGGGATTTCTCAAAACAGAGCTCCCTGGGTGCCTCCCTGGCTGATCAGCAGGCCTCTCCTTTGAGCAGAGTGACCTCAGGTGCCCTGCCAGCCACCTGCATCACTCTCTCTCCCGGTGGCACCACCCAGAAATGAGGAGGAAGGGCTTGATCTTGCTCATCAGCCTAAAGCACTGCAGTGGTTTGGTGGGAAACTTCTAGGAGGAGTTAGAGTAGTTTAGCAGAAGCTAAGTCCTGCCTCTCAGGTGTCACAGAAGGGGGGGCCAGTGTGAACTGGGGAGGTAGTGTGTGTGTGGATGTGTTGGTTGTCAGGTCTTTTGCCTGGAAGCTGCAGAATGGCTAAGTTCCTTACCTCAGGCTCCTGTACTCTTGTCTGAGTCCTTCAAGAGCCTTTTGCTGTTTGACTTTCTGAAGACCATGTGGACCCGAATCATGGCTGAGTACTAAATTCCTTGCCAATGGTTTACTCCCTCTACATGAAAGGAATTTCACTGGGCTCAGGAGAGGTGGCTTTATTGAAAAGCAGATTGATGCAAGTTGCCAGCCAAGTCATTGGGGTGAATGGATGAAGCCACACATTGGTTATATTTTTGAAGGACATTGGGTCAGATTCTGTACTTGTAAACATCTCCCCCTTAACGAGCCCTAAATAGCCACAGTTTGAAACTAAGCTTTTCCCTACCCCTACTTCCTGTTAGGATTTTAGTCAGAGGATCATCAAATGTCAAAGGTAGGCAGTATCACTTGGGAAGTCCAAGTCACAGCCTTTTACTTTAGAGATGAAAAGATGGAGGGCCAGAAAACAGAAGCAACCCAAAGTCACACGGCAGGTGAAATGACCTCACTGGGACTGACTTCAAAAGAAGGCGAAATATGACAAGGTCTTAAAAGGAGGACAAAGCAAGTAATGGGGGACTTTACAAGCTGGTGAAATAATTGCCTTCTAGGATGCCTGGGTGGAGAGTCAGGGCAGACTGTCCAGGCATTGGACATGGACAGGACTGCATAGAAGCATATATATTGAAGGTTACCTCAGGTAGAGGGAATACCAGAAACGGCAGTGGTGGGAAAGTGTGTGGTCATCAAAGACAAGTAGTCCTGTTGGGTTGAACCTTGATACCATCATCTTATAAGAAATATAGGCCAGGCAGTGGCTCATGCCTGTAATTCTAGCACTTTGGGAGGCCAGGGTGGGCAGATTGCTTGAGCTCAGGAGTTCAAGACCAGCCTGGGCAACAAGGCAAAACCCCATCTCTACAAAAAATAGAAAAATTAGCCAGATGTGGTGGCCTATGCCTATGCCTATAATACTAGCTACTTGGGAAGCTGTGGTTGGGGGATCGCCTGAGCCCAGGAGGTTGAGGCTGCAGTGAGCTGTGATTGTGCCACTGTACTCCAGCCTGGGTGACAGAGTGAGATCCTGTATCAAAAAACAAAAACATGTAGAGGTCATCTCACAATCTTGCAGCAAATATATAAGATGGGGAGGTATTCTCTATAATGTGGGTACGTGGCTTACCAAGAATTTGTTGGCAGCAGAACCAGGACTCAGGGCAGATCCTTTAGATTACAACCCCAGTGTCCTTTTCACAAAACCCCATACTTATCAAGGGTTTTAGCATTAGGAGTATGCATCGTGGAAGGGTTTACATGCTCAACTAAAAAGCTTAGACTTGATTTGATAAGCAATGAGTAGTTATTTAACTTTTTTGAGTGGGAAAAATACGATTAGGACTGTGCTTTAGCAATTTAATCTGGCTGGAGTATTAAAATGAATTAGAGACCTAGGTATCTTAATCATGGTGACTACTTAGAAGAGCTTGGGCTTCAGGGATCAGAGTTCTAACAGACTGAACTGAGATGATCTGAAGGTCAAATAAGTTAACTACTTTGTCCAAAGTCAGACAGCTAATCAGTGGTGCGGCCGAGGTTCAAATTCAAGTCTGTCTTTAATGTCCATTTCTGGGATTCCAGCTCCAGGAAAGTGGATATGTACACAGAACACAGTGGGAGAGCTGCTGCACGCTGCACTTTGTAGGCTGTTACAGAATAGTGTGTATATGCCTAATGTGCACCTACCCCACCTCTATTTTTTTTAAGAGTTGAGATCTTGCTCTGTTGCCCAGTGGTGTGATCAGAGCTTATCATAGCCTTTGGACTCATGGGCTCTCATGATCCTCCTGCCTCAGCCTCCTGAGTACCTGGGACTACAGGCACATGCCCAGCCCTACCCTAGGCTAGGGAGGGAAGTGCCTAGTATGTGCAAAAGAAGTGCAATAAAGCTAAGTAAAAATCATCAGTTTTTCCAGACATTTTACCTCTGAATTAGGGAAGCTGTTGAATGGTGCTTGTTGGTCTAAGAAGTGAATTTATCTGACTTTAGCCTACATATCAGCATCAGATCTAACATCCGTGAAGTTAGGCAGAATTAGCACTACTGGTGATTTCCAAGACTTGTTCCCCAAAAGAGCCTCAAGTGTAAAGATTTTTTAAACTTGTGGTTTTTTCTTTTTATAACTCTTGATAATTTCTTAGCCATGTATGTCCACTTTTATCAGAACACCAAAATTTGCCTTTTGCATCCTGCCAGTTTTACTGTTCCGTTGCCTTGATTCCTTCTTTTTGAATTCTTGACACTTGTCACGTGACCTAGCCCCCTTTTTGATTCCTGGCCACTTACCTCCTCAGAAGAGCCCACTTTTTCTCCACATCTTGTATGAGTTGCTCTCTTTCCTGAAAAGGGCATGACTTTCCAGTCACTCCCCAGTGATATGCAGGGGAATTCCCTTATTGATGCCGTAGGTGAACAGTGACAAGCATCGCTGGTGTGTGCCTCATCTGTCTTTGCCGAGTGTAACCTGTCAACTGGGTCTCCTTGTAGTCCAGCATCCTGTGTGTGCTGTGTTGACGCAGGAGCCTGGCAGCACTTACCCATCTCCCCTCCTCCACTGATGGGATTCATTTCCTCCTGACATCTGTGTGTTGCTTCCCCTGGATCCTTATTAAGTACTTGGGATAGTATATACTTCTGCATTCTAACTGGTTCTTTGATGAGGATCAAGGCTTAGATACATTCTAAACTTATCCATTTATCTGGGGCTGAACACACAAATTTGGGACATAACTCTATACTTTTGGGTGTCGCTGCTATAATCTAGTTCTCCTTATTGCAGATACCCAGGAAGTTTTAAAGATGGTATCAAACTTGTCTGTTTCAGAGGTACAACGCCAAACTTGTGATGTTCTTAGTTGCCTGGGATGGTTGTGCTCTGAGCAGTTCTCTAAGGACTTGATAATGAAGATATTAGGATTAGAGGTGACACCTGTCATTATCCTCTAGGTTTAGGGATATGTTATAAAATTAAATGAGAAGAGGCGATACAAACATCCCCAGGCTGCTTTAGAGGCTACCTTTCAATGTTGAGATTTCACAGCAGCAAGGAGAGAGAAGCAGATGCTCTGACTACAATGATGTCTTAGAACTACAAGGGATCTCAGAGAGACACTGGTAATTCTATCCCCCAAATACTGGGTAGGATTCAACATACATTTTCAAGTAGTTGGTTGTGTATCAAATTTGAAATATACATTTTTTTCGGTTTTGTCTTCTCAACAATGCCTACTAGCCACCCACATCCACTCAGGTCCATCCCCATTGCTAACCGTTTGTGTGAGCTGGGACACTTCTTGCTGACCTTGAAGAGCAGCTCATAGTGAAGGATTTTTTCATCTCAGCTACCTCATGACTCTGCCTTCGGCTCCCACCTCCAGCCTGCTTCTTTTCTGTCTAGGCCGTCTCTAATTGGACCATTCCCTTGTATCATCTCACCATGTTTCCAGCTGTTAGCCTTGATCAGAAGAGAGGCTGACATTCATTCCCCTGTGCTGATAAGCTATGGCCTACTCATGTTGACAGTTAGCAAGGCAGGGCAAACCCCTGTGGTGCTTCTCTGTTCTTTTCTAACCCACTCTGCCCTAGGAAGCAATGGGAGCTGGTGTAAAGAGGGCCAGGCTGGTGACAGGGGACCCAAGTTCTAAACCTGTCCTCATATGGAAAAGAAGGGAGTTAGATTAGTTGAGAGCTAAGTTGCTTCCAGTTTAGTGATATATATTGAGTTTGTACTTTGTGCCAGGCACAGTTACAGACACTGGGGAGTGAAAGCAGAGTGCCTGCCCTCTTGACAGTGGGTTTGTGAATGGGAGGTAGGTGGTGGAATACAGCACTTACAAACCGTTTCCCGAAACTGCGATCCAAACGTTTGTCCTCACTCCCTGCTTTGAACATCCATCTAATCTAACCCCCTTCTTTTCCAAATGAAGACAGGTTTAGAACCTGAGTCTCTTGGCACCAGCGTGGCCCTCCTTCCACCAGCTTCTATGGCTTGCTAGGGACATCCATGTTCCTTGGAGACCCACTGAGCTGTTCTTTCCGTTGCTTGTCTGTCTTCCTACTACGTGTTTTAAAGGGATAACTACAGAGGTGTTTCTATCTGATGTAGAGTATCTTCTTCCTGCCCTCTGTTCTGTCTGACTCAGATCCCACTTATTGAAATTGATAGTTTTATCAAAGTTCTGAGAAACTTGAGGCAAGATTATTTTGGTGGCTAATAGCATGCCCTTTGTGACCTACCTATATGAAAAAAAATGTTCAAAACTGTATCTGCTGGCATGCTAGGCTCAAATGCAGGAGGAGAAGAAAAGATCCATGTTTTTGAAGAAATTGTAATGTATACAGTGACACAAGATGGGAATGTTAGGGAAACAAAGGGGAGATGATATAACTGAAAGTGTGTGCTTGTGAATTTTTTTTTTTTTTTTTTGAGACGGAGTTTTGCTCTGTTGCCCACGCTGGAGTGCAGTGGCACGATCTCGGCTCACTGCAACCTCTGCCTCCTCGGTTCAAGCGATCCTTCTGCCTCAGCCTCCCAAGTAGCTGGGACTACAGGCGTGTGCCACCATACCCAGCTAATTTTTTTGTATTGTTTTTTAGTAGAGACAGGGTTTCACCATGTTAGCCAGGATGGCCTCGAACTCCTGACCTCATGACTCACCACCTCGGCCTCCCAGAGTGCTGGGATTACAGGCATGAGCCACCACGCCTGGTCTGTGTGTGCTTGTGAATTCTTAAAGGATGTGTGTAAGGGAGTGATCTAGGGGCACTGCACCCAGTGGGAACTCGGGAGAGTGGCCAGTTGTCTGCACCACTCTCGCTCTAGGCCATAAATGAAAGTATGTGCCCTGTTAGAATTGCTTTCTTCCTCCTGCTTTCAGGATGTTTGCAGGTGTCGGGGAGGGCAGACTATTTTTACACTGTTCCTCTGCGTTTATCCATTAAAGTAGGAGAGATGCTCCCAGTGAGGCTCAGGCCCTTGTCAGACAGAGTCCCTGGACGGTAGCAGAGCCTTTCCATGGCCAATGACTTATCAGAGCTTTTTTCCTTCCAGAGATGAGAAGAATCAGTCCATCATAGTCAGTGGGGAGTCTGGAGCCGGGAAGACGGTATCAGCCAAGTATGCCATGCGCTATTTCGCCACCGTTGGTGGCTCGGCCAGTGAAACCAACATCGAAGAGAAGGTGCTGGCATCCAGTCCCATCATGGAGGTAAAGCCTTCTAGGTGTCCTGGCCTTCCTGGCTGGAGCTCCTCCCACTGGCAGCAAGACTGCTGGGCGTCAAGCCTGGGTGGCAGCCTTCACGCCTCTCCCTGAGAGCCCTCTGTCCACTGTGGAGGAAAAGTTACCAAGCTGCCTCTAAAACCATGGATGTTGACCTGGTTGTGTCTTTAGGTTCCCAGTACTGGGTAGAGTGTCCTCATATTCTCCATGTCCCTTGACTCTGCTGAATGCTGTAGTGACAGTGACTGTCCCTCCCCACCTCCTCCACCTCTGTTGCTGTCCCCTTCCCTGCTGACATCACGTGTCAGAAATCAGTGTTCCACCGAAACTCTTAGAAGCTTTGAGGGCCTGCTGGGTCAGAAAGGCAATTTTCATGGGGGACGGGAAAGCCTAGATAGAATATTTTTTAACCCACAGTATTTGGGCATCTTATCTTTTTAGCGGGGAGGTAAAGCCAAAAGGTATGTGATAACCTAGAATCTGTTGAAGCTCCTCAGAAAACAGTTCCCTATGATGGCGTGAATTGGCCAGGGCAGGCCCCATCTGTGTCTTCACTCCTCAGCCTTCATGATAGGGGCTGGACTAGGGTGGGCTCAGAGCAGTTGACACAACTACAGGCCAGAGAAGTTTGCTAAAAACTAGATCTTGCTATAACTAAGCATGCTTTAGGATCAGAATGCTGTCTCTTTTTCCCCCTTTTCTGTATGAAACCTTCATTTTGATGGATTAGAATGAAATGGCCTCGTAGTCCCTGGGACAGCTTTCATTCCCCACCTTTGAAGCTAAAGCTCTTTGTTGTTGTCTTGGTTACAGTTGGTAGGAGCAGGCCTTTCTGCCAGCCCTGGGCAGTCCGTTTGTTTTATGTCATCTAGTCCATCTCTAATTGGACAGTTCCCTTCTATCATCACACCTACAATAGTAAGAAGACATTAGTTGAGCCGCAAGCTGCCAAGATAGCATCAGGTTTCCATGCGGAGCCCTGAGCCCCATCGACTAAGGCACAAGTCACCATGGAGTTTGGTCTTTCAGATGATTTTGGAGCTTAGGGAAACAAGAACCTGCCTGGACTTTCCCCAGTCCCCTCTTTCTCTCTTCCTTTACCAAGTGCAGGCATAAATTGAGTCTTGATTCACAGGGGTTCATTGATTATCCAGGCAAAA
The DNA here is from genome assembly GCF_000001405.40 of Homo sapiens. Taxonomy (NCBI): domain Eukaryota; kingdom Metazoa; phylum Chordata; class Mammalia; order Primates; family Hominidae; genus Homo; species Homo sapiens. The sequence continues at coordinate 50,000,082 of NC_000018.10, read as the reverse complement.
TCTCCTGCCTTCAGAGTTGCGTTACTTTGAGGACTTTAATTCTCTGCTAAGTAACAGGATACAACGTGTTCACTATGAATTTTTGAAAAGCAAGTTTCAGTATTTGTTCTTACAAGATTTGGGAAATGGTGAATACAGTTGAAGGCATTTGTACTAAACAGACAAAAAGAAAAACTTTTATTCCATTACAGTGCTTCTCAAATTTGAGGGTGCCTGAGAATTGCCTGTAAGGCTTGTTAAAGCACAGATTGCTCTACTCCACTCCAGAGTTTCTCATTCAGAAGGGGTCTGGGAGGGGCCCCCCAAATTTGCATTTCTCGCAAGTTCCTAGGTGATGCTGGTGTTGCCCGTCTGGGTACCACACTTGGAGAACCACTGACCTATTAAAAAGATAGGATGGGCTCACTGGAAAATGTGAAAGAATGAAAGGAAATAATCCCCTTTAATACTACAGCCTGCTGATAATCATCCAACATTTTGGTATATTTTCTTCCAGCTTTTTTACTAACTATTACAGCATAAGCCTTGTCCCCATATCATTCAACTTTTTATGAACTATCTTATTGGCTGCAAACATAGATTAATAAATGGCTTTACCATAATTTGACTCCTTCTTTTCTGACATTTCATTGGTAGCATATTTACTCCAGCATTTAGTCTGAGCCCCGAACTGAGGCATGGCCACGGCCCAGGTCGGAAGCCGTTTGTGGACTGTGGCCTTGGCCTCCTTAGACCATGTACTATGCCTATATTGAACAGCTAAGACAGCCGCTCCACAATTAACCTCATGTTCTACCTCAAATGAGAGTGAAAGCAGGCTCTCTCCTTTGACTGAGTTTCAAGATTCTGTCCATCTTTTAGGCAGTAAGATATCAGAGACATAGTGTACTACTTCTTTTAGAAATAGAGTAGTTATTCTGAGCAAAACGAAAGACAAGAAACCTCTTTGAGCTCCAGAGACTGAACAAAGTAGTTATTATTAGTCATGCTGGAAGTTTAGTGAAGGCAGATCACCACATTAGTAAACATGTGTGAGACATGGGGAAATTTTTTACAATTTTATCATAAAATACACATAGCATAAAGTTTACCATTTTAACCATTTTAAGTGTACAGTTTAGTGGCATTTGGTACATTCACGATGTTTGTACATCCATCACTGCCATCTATTTCCAGAATTTTTTCATCATCCCAAACAGAAATTATTTACCCATTAAACAGTAACTCTCCATTCTCCCTTCCTCCAGCCCCTGGTAATCTCTCTGAATTTGCCTATTCTAGGTACCCCCACACAAGTGGAATCATATACTAGTCCTTTTGTGTCTGGCTTATTTCACTGAGCATAATGTTGTCAAAGTTCAATCATGTTTTGGCATATATTAATATTTTGCTCCTTTTCATGATTGAACAGTATTTCATTGCATGGTCATACCACATTTTGTTTATTCTTCTACCTTTTGGGTATTGTGCATAGTGCTGCTGTGAATGTGGGTGTGAAAGTATCTGTTTGAATTCTTGCTTTGGAAATGCTTTTTAAATCACAGTGGTCTGACCTTATCTAACATTTGGAATATCCATTATAGCCTGAGTAGGCCGCTAGGCTGTGGGAACGCAGGGTGCTTTGACATGGCAGAGATGAAAAGCAACATGCACACACAGACATATGCTCAACGTGCTTCAGTTGCTAAGGTCTGAAGGAGGAGTGTGTACATGAACCAGCTTAATCTTACATGGTCATGTAAATAAATGCTACAGTGGTTTGAGCTCAAAACATTAATTTTCTGCCTTGTGCAAATTAGTACTTTGGAAATTATGTAAGTCCTGAGGGTTTCTTCTGTCAAATGGAGCATTTTGTCATCCCAGAGACTGTCCCTTGAGCTGTCATTAAGTGTTATGTTTGAGAGAAGTCTTGGCTATGAACATGGAAAGGAAGAATTATAGCCAGGAAGAACCCTGAGTAGAATTAGAAAGAGGCTTTTGTTGCCAAGCAGAGAAAGAGGCTTTTGCACTTCCCAAGTCTGAAAACACGACTTTTCGTAAGTCGACTCTATCTGGGACCTTGTATCAGGAAGCCCAGTCAGTTTTGTGGCTGCTCAGAGTGTTATAACCAGCACAGAGCATGTCTTAATCAGGGGACAGACAGCTGATTACTGATTGATTGCTCTGCCCCATCCTAGGGAAGGATGGCACCTCCCAACAAAGCAATCGGTTATGGTCACGGCGTTGTCTCATTGCGTCTGCTGCCCAGCAGCTGCAGACACCTCCTGGGGAGACCTAGAGTTGAAGGTCTGAGGAGGCGGAAATCCCAGTGGTCTATGCTAAGTGGCAGTTGTTGGAATTAAAGGCGACTTGAGGATGGATTGAGATTGGCTGGGGTGCACTGGGATGATTTATTGTCATCACCAGCACTCTCTGACCCTGTTCTGTTTAAGAGCTTGTCAGCATCCCAGGAGTGATTTGTTCACAAGTCTGCACTGATTAAAAGAACATTGATAATCAAGAGACTGTTAGAGGAGGAACAGAACCCAAGTTTAGGCCAGAGATATCACATCATTTCTTGGGGTGACTGGACTTTGCAGGCAGACAACTCTGAGAGCCACAGAGAATGCCCCTATTCTGGGAGAAAGAAAGGAGACGAGATCATGCCATTGCACTCCAGCCTGGGCAACAAGAGGGAAACTCCATCTCAAAAAAAAAAAAAAAAAAAAAAAAAGAAAGAAAGGAGGCTAGAGTGAAGCTAGCAAAAATGATGATGAAGACCAGATATGTTATTTTCAGGATTTGCTTTTTTTTTTTTTTTTTTTTTTTTTTTTTTAAAGACAGGACCTTGCTTTGTCACCCAGGCGGAAGTGCAATGGCATGAACACGATCACTGCAGTCTCTTCCTCCTGGGCTCCAGCGATTCTCCTACCTCAGCCTTCAGAGTAGCTGGGACTACTAGACGTGCACCACCATGACCAGCTACCTTTTGTATTTTTCAGTAGAGACAGGGTCTTGCCACATTGCCCAGGCTAGTCTCAAACTCCTGGGCTCAAGTGATCCACCCACCTAGGCCTTTCTAAGTGCTGGCTTACCAGTGCCTGGCTAAGTGTTCACGCTTTTTAGGGCAAAGAAGAAAGCCAGACACTGTTAACCCATTTTTACAAGAATCTGCTCCCAGTACACCTTACCAATCTTATCTCCTGTTTTCTTTCATGTATCAACATACTTTAGCCACTTCAAACTTGTTTATTTTGTAACATAACCCCGTCCCTTTGTCCACACTATATTTATAGAATCTCTTCTTCTTTCCCACTGTCAGAATTCTGCTCACTTTAAGATCCACTTCAATTTTCCACTTCTTAGAGCTTTTCCCATACTGGGGCATGGTTGGTTTTGCTCCTTATCCGTGTTTTCATACTACTTGATACATACCTCTTTATTGTACAATCAATTACATTGAAATTATTTCAGTCCATTTTTATTTCACCGTGTATTTCTGTATGCATCGAAAAGATTGTTATACCATAAGTAGTTGGTAGCATATTCCATCAACCAGTTTGCAACTTTTCACTCTACATTTTTTTATTAATCCATGAGCTGTGTTCTAGTTTATTCTTTTAACAGCTTTATAGCATCTGATTGTGTGGATATACCACATTTTATTTATGTTTTCCCTACTGGTGAACATCTGGGTTGTATTTCTTTTTTATTATTAAATATAGTCTGAATGGAACATTCTTGCCTACTTGAATTATGTGAGAATTTCTCTAAGTAACACCTAGAAGTAGAATTGCTGATTTGTTAGGTGCATGCATGTTCAGTTTTACTAGATATACCCGATTTTCCTTCAGAATGGTTGTTCCAGTACTTTTAGATCTATCAATCACTTTGCAAAGTAGCCTAGTAAAGTAAGGAGGGCCAATCTTTTGGCAGTGATCTTTAGACCTTGGGCAAAGTTTTCCTAAGCTATCACAAGGAATGATCTCAGATATGGTAAAAGGTCTTATTGCTATCTTAGAAAGTAAGAAATTGGAAATTAAAAGTTTGAAATTGAAACTTATCTGTTGAAACGAGCTTCTCCTTTAGAATTTTCCACCAACTGGCCTTTGCTGATTACATCTGTATGACATTGTTTAACATGTGCCTTTGTCCACTTTATTTCCTGTAAAGGAATAGTAAAATTTAGAGGCTGCTTTAGTTTCTGTTTTGTTTTGTTTTTAACAGGAATCCTTAAGATGTGGTAGTTGGGCCTCCATTAGGAGGCACAGAAAATCTGGCTTTTTGTGATGTGAGCCAGCAGTTGATTATGCCTAGATATATTAATTAATCAGCAGTTACAAAATGCTGATATTGTCATTCTGTTACACCTCCTGCATGTATTAGCTGGAATAAATCTGTGCAGAGAAACGTCCCCTTACCAACTACTTAATTGCCCTGAGATACAGTTTACACTGGAAAGTAGATGTTTAAGGCTTTATTTACTAGGTTTCATAGTAATTAGTTGGTTTTCTAGCATCTTCTGAGAGGCTTCTCCCTGCTTTTACATAAAAAGATATAAGTGAGGATGTAATCCCAGCACTTTGGGAGCCCGAGATGGGTGGGTCACGAGGTCAGGAGATCGAGACCATCCTGGCTAACACGGTGAAACCCTGTCTCTACAAAAAAAAATACAAAAAAAATTATCCAGGCCTGGTGGTGGGCGCCTGTAGTTCCAGCTACTTGGGAGGCTGAGGCAGGAGAATGGCGTGAACCTGGGAGACAGAGCTTGCAGTGAGCCGAGATCACACCATTGCACTCTAGCCTGGGAGACTGAGCGAGACTCCATCTCAAAAAAAAAAAAAAAGGATATAAGTGAGGATTAATATCTATCTTTATCCTTTGACTTGATTTGGCCATTTGAGCCATGAGAAGTTGCCCACATGTGTGGTGGCTTTCTGTCTGGTAGTGAGTGGTTTGGAGGAGACAGAGTATGGAGGAGTGCTGTGACGCCGTGTAGGTAGAATGAACGCAGACTTTGGATTCAGGTATATCTGAATTTCTATCTTGGGGTTGCCACTTCCTAGCATGTGACCTCAAGCACGTGACTTGACCTTTCTAAGCCTAAGTTTTCCCGTAAGTATGGTGAAAGTTAGTAATGCCTATCTTGTAGGGTTCTTGGCAGCATTAAATGAGATTATAAGGGGCCCAGCCCAGGACCTGGCTTATGTTGAAGGTCCGGGAAATGCTTTCTACCAACATTTTAGGAAATATAGCCTCCTTTTCCATTTTTCAAGTAGAAATTGGCTCACTGAAGTCTGGCAGTCTGCCATCATCCTGTGGGGCCTTAAAGGCTGAGACTCTTTGTGGAAGGAAAGTGGTTACACTGAGGCCTCTGCTAAGATGACAAGGTTGGTGGGTGCCAGGAGCGTGAGTCCCCATCGCCTTTGGTTGGAGGAAGCTGATTACGTAAACTCTTCCAGTTAGGTGACTGAGAGTTACATCAGGCTGGCCGGGCTCTAGCCTTGTCCTGACCTTGGGCATGTTCCAAGCACCAAGATGCCCTTCAGAGCAATCCAACATACCAAGGTTGTACTTTCTCCCCCTACACTTCCTTCCAGAGTTATATACTGTGTCTGTAACATATAGATTGCTTTATACACTTTAAACCCTAAAGTAAAAGTGTATATTGTGACTCCAACTGGTTTTTGCAAGACTTTGCAGTGGCAAGTTACGTATGAGGACAAGGAGTCCAATACTTACATTTCACAAGAGAAAAACTGAAACCCAGGTTCATTTACTCTTTCACTTAAATATTTTTGAGTGCTTACCATGTACTGGGTGCTACAGAGTCTGTGCTGAAGCAGATGTATAATCTTTGCCCTCATGAACACAGAGGGTTAACCGCATATGGGCTAAGGGGAAGAAGAGGGAAATGTAGGGCCTGGAAGAGCATATGGCAGGAGGTGCTCCCCTAGTCTCGGGATCAGGGAAGGCTTGCTTGCCTGAAGAAGCGACATCGATGCTGAGACCTGAAGGAAGATGAGTCGACTAGGTGCAGAGAGCCGTGGGAAAAGAGGGAACTGCCTATGGGAAGCTTGGGTGAGGGCAGAGAGAGCATAGGGCTTTGGAGAAAGAAAAAGGGAGTTAGGATTGTTAGAAGCCGGGACCAAGGGCAAGATTAGAGGCAGGGAAGGGTCGGTTCCTGCCAAGCACATAAGCCATGCTAAGGATTTGAAAGTTGTATCTCAGAGGGCAGTGTAAGCCACTGAAGCGTTTTATACAGGGAGTATAATAGGTTTACATTCTAGAGGAATCACCCTGGCAATTGAGTGGAGAATTGACAGCAGGTGGAAGATGGGAGTGGGACCAGGGAGACCATTGAGAGCCCATTGAAGTTGTTCAGGAAAGAGGTGACAATGTTGCAGGCTAAGGCTATGGCAGTAGGATAGAAATAGGGACAGTTTGACCCGTTTGGAACTTGGCATCCTCTATACTCGGAGGGTGGTGAATGGAGGCCAGTCCTGGGCTCAGCAGCTTCCCTGGTGCAGAGCTGGACCTAGATTTCTGTGAGTGGGTGGTTGTATAACTCAGCGCCTCCCTGTACTCATCTCAGTAACAGGAACAGTTGTTCAGTAACAACTCAATGGCATGTTTTCAGGAGCATTAGTTTTAGGTCAACTTTGTGACCTTTTGCTTCTCACTATTCTGCCAGCCTTGTCAATAATAGATGGCTGCCGGGCATCGTGGTTTTGGGATGTCAGGCGACACTAATAGTTCTTCTGCTTGTATTGGGCTGGGCAGGACTTGAGGGGTAGGTTGGGATTTTGGCTTTTCTTTCAACTTCTTTGTGCCTCAAATTTTCTAGACCATTGAGAAGTTATAGCAGGTGTTTTTCAAGTGTTTTATCCACCTAAAAATGTAAGCATGTGAAAGGGATTAAATATTAATGTATTCTTTACCAATGCATTGGCAACATGGTGTTTTATAGGAAGCAAATCTTCACACGATAAAATTAGTCCCATATCCACTCATTTTAAAAATTATCGTCTAGTGTTTTGAACTGTAACCCTGATGCTGCAGAAGAAATACCAAGAGGGATGATGGCTTCCTGAGGTGGGAAGGAGTGTCAATTTGTGGCGTATTGCTAGGAAGGTATTATTTGTCAGTTGGGAGTGACATTTGACTGCCTGCTCATGTAGAACTGATCAAAGTGTATTAAGTACAGGAAGGTTTGTTTGTTTTTTTCCAGAAAGTTCAGAGCTAGTGGGCACTGGTATTGTTTTAGTGGCTCAAGAATGTCACAGCTAAGGTCTCTGTGATTCTTTAGGCCTTTTCCTCATGGTTCCAAGATAACTGCTATAGCTGGTACCATCACAGGTGCATTCCAGGCAAGAAAGAAGGAAGAAGAGGGACAGTGGGATGCACCTTCCATTGCACCTGGGTAGTCCCCTTTGAAGACCCCACCAATGAACTCGTTACTCTCATTGGCCATCCTCAGGAGTAAGAGGCTGGAAAAAGAAGAGTTTCAAGTTTTTGTTTTATTCTTTAGCTCAGTTCATTGTCATCCCAAGAACAGAGGGTTTCTGTAAGTAAGGAAGAGAAAGGGGACACATGCTGCCACAAACATACAATCCTGAAATCAAGAAAGCCCTCTTTTTTTTTCATACCTTTGTCTGTCTGGTCTGTGCAGGCCATTGGAAATGCCAAGACCACCCGCAATGACAACAGCAGCCGTTTTGGCAAGTACATCCAGATTGGCTTTGACAAAAGGTACCACATCATCGGGGCCAACATGAGGACTTACCTCTTGGAGAAGTCCAGAGTGGTCTTCCAGGTGAGTGGGAGGATTTGCGCCCTTTTGTGTATTTCTCATGGACAATTACCTTACTTCTGCTCCCTGCCCCACTCCCTGGACCCAAAGAGAATCTCTCTTGTGAGCCTGGAATTGAATGTAGTTGTTCTTTTGGTTCTTATCTTTTATCAGTAAGTGTTCATTCAGATGGTATAGGGATTAGATCTCAAAAACCTTTATACAGTACTGTTTTCAGATTCAATCAACAAACGTTGAATGCCTCTTATGTGTTAGCTCTGTCCTAGGCACCAAAGATACAGTAAAGGACAAGACAGAACTTTTCCTTATGGATTTTAAAGTCTTATCAGGGGAATGTCATAAATACGGAGTCTGGGTTTTAGGTTTCCTGAGAACTTCCTTATTTAGTAGGTTTAAAAAATAGATTATACTTGGCTACCTACTTAGTTTTCTTTTCAAATAAGTGGATGTCCCATTTTTTAAAAAAAATTATACTTTAAGTTCTGGGATACATGTACAGAACGTGCAGGTTTGTTACATAGGTATACACATGCCATGGTGGTTTGCTGCACCCATCACCTCATCATCTACATTAGGTATTTCTCCTAATGCTATCCCTCCCCTAGCCTTCCACCCACTGACAGGCCCCGGTGTTTGATGTTCCCCTCCCTGTGTCCATGTGTTCTCATTGTTCAATTCCCAGATGTCCCACTTTTCACCTGACTTGATTCTTCACTGTTCTTCGCTTACCTTTAGTTTCCTCCTGCCAGCTACTCTTTGCCTCTTTGTAATCCTTCTCCTCCTCCATCCTGACTTTAGTGGGCTTGGTGCAACTCACAACGCCGATAGAAGTCCTCCTCCAGCTCCCTTTACCCTCCCATCACTGAACCAAGATGATGGTTCAGGTCCTGGTTTGAGTCTGTGGCAGATTCTTGCCTTGGGTTAAATGGCTTCCTGGTCATTGAGCTTTAGCTGCCTTTAAGGAGACCTCAGAATTGCCTCAGCTGTTTGTTTCTTGGTGACATCTCCATGCTGATGATAGCAAACATCTAATGAATTTTTTAACCAGCTCCCCATGCTTTTGCCTGCATTTTATATGCACCTCACAGGTTGGCTTGATAATCCCCCCATCCTGCTTTACACCACAGCCAGGGAAGCAGCTTGCTGGGTTGGGTGTGGGTCTGATGTCTTGCTCATGGCTCTTTCCTGGACACCCCTGGAGCTTCCCTCTTCCTTAGCTCTCTTCGCTCAGGCCTCCTGAATCCCCACCCCCACACCCACCCCACCGGTGTAAGGCCAGTCCAGCTGCAGGTGTTCCCCAGACATCCTGCCTCACTTGTGGGCCTTTCCTGTCTGCCCAGCCTGACCTGATGGGCAAGCACAGCTTCCACTTATCTCTGAGCCTCCCAGAGGAGAACGGGAGCTCACAGAAGGGTACTGACAATCCATGGGACATCAGCCAAGCAGCACAGAAGACTGAATAAGTATTTGTTGATTGACTGACTCACCATTTGTGAAGAGCAATGATGTCCTATATAGAAGGAAAAAAGAAAATACATACATGCTTTTGCATAATTCAAGACATATAAATCCTCAGGTTGGAAGAAGTCCCCATAAGAGTGAATAGAAAGTCGGAAAGTGGGAATTGAAGGTGGCAGAGGTGTGGAGGAAAACACTGGGAAGAGTGGGGGGCTCAGCCTCCACCACCTGGAGCACCCTGGGATTACAGTGGCAGAGGGAACGATGTTAGAGGTCACTGCCCTAAAACTGCTTCACTTCTTCCTCCTCCAGGCAGATGATGAGAGGAATTACCACATCTTTTACCAGCTCTGTGCTGCTGCCGGTCTTCCAGAATTTAAAGAGCTTGCACTAAGTAAGTCAACAGGTGCATGCCTATCCTCTGGGGTGGGCTACTGCTCCAGCGGGTGCACAGCTGGGGGCTCTGCTCAAAGCCCTCCGTCATGGGTTCTTGTCTCGGCTCTGCCTCTTATGTGGCCATAACCCCTAGGCCTCTCTAAATTTCACTGCTCAATTAGTAAAAGAGGGTTAATTGTATGCAGTCCACCTGGCACAGGAAGTGTATGAGAGGATAAGAGGCAGGGGTGGAAAAGTGTTTTGCATGGCATGGAAGTCTTTTCATGCTTTATTATTCTGAAAGATATGTTTGCACTTTAAGCATCATAGGAAATGTGTCCCAAACCTAAGAATCTAGAGATAAAAGTAATATACATCATATAATCATAACCAGCATGTTTTAACTCATAGTTTAGGATTGAGGCAAAGAGAAAGGGGTGAGGATAAAGCAGAGAATAAAGCAGGGGTGGCTCTAGAGCCATATGGATGCAGTATGGCATGGCCACAGAGGATAAGAGGGGGCTCTGGCATGTGAGACTCTGGACTGCCAGGCCATCTGATCTCTCGTGGACTGGCATGGAAGCTTCTAGCACATCCTCACTGGAGGGAGAGAGATGGAGCAACCCAAACTGCCTCTCCACAAAAGCTGAGGGGATAAGGCACTTTGTCATCATCCCCATCAGATGAGCACCACCCTTTGTTTCCACTCCTGCTGCTTCCTGAGGGGTGTTAGCAAGTTTCATTTGCTTTGAGGCTATTGATGTGGAGCCAGTGGAGTAGTGAGCAGGCTTTAGTTCTTGACTCCATACCACAGAGCAGCTCTCCTTGGGTCTGGAGCCTTTGGCCCTTCTCTGTGTGGGTCCTTATGGGGTAATGACTGATTTTTGCTGCTGAGTCTTCAGGCACATATGTGTAAAGAGGGCAAGCCTTGAGCCCAGCAGCGTCTTGGTGTCTGCCACACTTCCTGCCATGCTTCCTGTCCCTGTCCTGCTGTCCGTGTTTTGGGGGCATGTGGGGAGGTCCAATACTAGCAGATGGTATGAAGATCCGGGTGTCTAAACAGAGTAGTTGGTCTTTGTGCAGCTGTGCAAGAAACAGACATCTGAGGCTTGGCTGTTCCTGATCCAAATCCTGGCCATCCTAAGAGTCCAGCACCAGACCCATCTGTGCTCCCAGTAGCTGAAATCCATCAAGTGGTTTCAGCGCAAGTCTGCCCTCATAACACTTGCTTATGAATCCCTGTATCTTCAATGCTTGTACCATGCAACTTAGCAATAATTCTTGCGTTTGTTCATCAAACTCTATTCAGGCCATGTTAGGCCCCAGGGATCCTGCATTGAGCAAAATAGTTGTGGGTCCTACCCTGCTTAGCTTGTCAATTATGATGCAGAGTGCTAAGGGCTGTGCTGAAGGAAGCAGAGCTGAGGAGGGCTGGGAGGCTCCCCCCAGGAAGTAATATTTAAATTGGGACCCCAGGGAGAAAACTCTGGCTGATGTCCATTGTTAGTTATGTCCTGTTCTCCAGCTGGTCAGTGCTTGCAAGTCTGATTTTCCCCGGAACACGATGACATGATAAAATCCTTGAGGACAAGGAGTGTGTGTTCCCTGCTAAGCAGAACAGGGGCTGAGCACTCTTTGCACACTGTCCTGAGCTGGAGCCTGTGGCTCTGAGGGTGCCTGTCACTCTCAAGCAGCCAGGTATGCCTCCACATTAGGGGCCACTGCCATCCTCCTCTTTCCTTCCCAGAGCAGAACATAGGCCTAGCAGGGCTTTTCGGGGCCAACTTGCAGGAGGTGAAATTTTTTTCCCTCAGGTCAGTTTTATAGAAAATAAACAAATATTGGCAAGACCCATCTGGATGATTTGGATCAGTTGTCCCAGTTGTAATTCTAAGGTAATGGGGAAGAAATCCTCCTAAATTTCTTTTTCAGTTACATGAGTCATATTGAGGTTAAACATGATTTCCCCTTATTCCCTGTCTCTGCAAGGTACATGGGCCCCAGGCTGCAGCACTTGAAAACTACCCAATTTGATCAGTATTTTTTTCCCACTCTTTCACCTTCATGTGCCCTCTGAGAATATTTTGGAGTGAAACAAGAGCCTTTGACAAGCGCTTGTGCTCTGGTGTCAGGCTGTCCTCGGCCTCATGGGTGGATTGGCTGAGGGCCCTGAAGCTTGGCATTTAGGTCCACTAATAACCCTAGTCGAGTAGCTGAAAACAGCAAATACATGGACTAGCCAAGGGCTCTAAGTGAATATTTGGACCTGCTTCATATCCTTCTTCCTCCTCTTCACCCAAAACACGCAATTCAAATGCACACAAGTCTCTGCAAGACCCCTTGGCTTGGCGTAAGTTTTGTGCATTTGTCTGAGAATGGAGGGTGCAGATTTGCATCCAGTTGTCCACACTCTTCTGCCCCATTGTTGGGCCATTGCATTTAAAATGACCTCAAGAGGAGATTTTTTTTTTAAAGTCCAATGAATAATTTGTTAAGGTGTGAATAAATGATGGTAAAAACCATACAGGCCAAGGTCAATACCCTAGAATAATCTCCTGGCCCTTTTGTGAAGTAGCTGCACTCTACCTTCCACTCACAGCTTATTTCCTCCCCATCTCTGCCTTCCAGATACACCAATCTCTGGTGGTACATCCAGTTGTAATGGGCCCATTTTCCCTTAAATACAGCCTTTAGGGGATAAGAAGTAAATTCCTTTTCTTCTTTTTCATTTCCGTGGTTGTATGGATAGTTTTATAAACAACCTCTCTGGCCTTGCATAGGTCAGAGCATAGCCTCCCCAGGTGATGTGCAAGTCCATGACCATGGCCTTGGTGGTCCGGTGCTCTAATCACTGGGTTCATGTTCTCCTCTGTGTTCTTTTGACTGCCTGATCCAATCTCTGCCTGTTGAACTAGTTAATAGGAGGTTTGTGGTACATTTCTCCTTGGGAATTCTTTGTAAAGAGAGAGACCTAAACTGGAGGATGAGAGAAGTTGCTTTGGGATGGGATAGTCAGTGTTCAGCTTTATGGGCCTGAAAGGAGGGCTGCGATCCAGGAAAGCCAAGCAGGTGGGGGAAGACTGAGTCCTATTTGGATGTACCTTACTAAGAGGGTCCAGAGAGTGATATGACGGAGTTGATGGCAGACCTTAACGCATATGGAAAGATGATCATTTTGATTGGTTTCAGATCATTCAGTAGAAAATGCTGTAACTGACCCAGGTGGCCCCTGCAGTGACAAGCCTCAGTCTGAGGAAGTTGCCCAGCTGGGCCTGAGTTGGGGAACTGGGCCTGAGTTTGGGAACTGGGATCTCGGAAGGCGGGGTGTCTATCTGATTCGTAGCAACATCAGGCAGTAGGACCTTGGCTATTGACAATGAAAGGTCTTCGAAAGATGCTGAAAATGCCTTCCCTCTAATATGAAAGTCTAGTCTCCTCCTTTGGAGTCTCAGGTGACTCTTTCTGATGTGTTTGGCTGACACTTGATGATGAGTTAGTTTGTATTTGTGGCAAAATCATGAGATGCCATAGATAAATTGTCGTTTTTCTACAATAGGGTAATCAAGTAATGGAATCCCAGGCCTGACCAAACCCTGGGTGACCCTGGGCACCCCTTAAACCCCATGTTACTCAGTTTGCTTTTCTGAAAAATGGGAGTAAATAATATAGACAGTCTTCTTTGGTGGACACTGTAAAAATAATCAAATGAGATACTTTGAAAGGTGAGTGTAAAGGGAAAAAAATTGGTACTTTTATTAAGCCTTTGAAACTGTTGTATTGCTCTGTGCCGGTGCTTGCTGAGTGATTAGGTAAGAAAGAGCTAAAATGCTGTCTTCTACAAAGATCTGATGTGGTTTTCCTCATTAAAATGTGCTTCTGCCAAGGCTGTGAGTGACCACAGGGCTGGAGTCCTTCCTCTCTCAGTTCAAGTGCCTTGGCCACTGGTCCTCAGAATTTGTTACTCCTCCAGGAAACCTTCACTCATAGAGTACAACTGATGTTCTCATTATTTGTGCCTGTGGGCAGGGTCACCTGGTGGTTATAGTTCAGGTTGTGTAGTCAGACTGGGGTCTAGGGCTGAGTTCTGTCTCTCCTTGCCTGGCCTGTCCATGTATGCATAATAGACTTGGAGGAATGGGCAAAGCTCAGTATGGCTTGGAGCATAGGATGCAAGGTGGGAAATGGGGGGAGGTGAGGAAGGAGAGGTAGGCAGAGACCACTGAAGGCGTGGACAGAGGGAAGAGCTGATGCATGATAATAAGGAAACTGGTGTATCTGGAACATAGAGATGGGGAAGGAATAAGCCATGAGTCTGGAGGGTATGTGGTGGCCACTTCACAAAAGGGCCAGGGGCTGTTCTAGGGTATTGACCTTGGCTTTGTGAGCAGTGGGACCTCTCAAAGGGCTTTTTAAGCAGAGTGGGTGGTATGATCAGACATACTAGCATTTTCGAGGTGGATTTGAAGGGACGGGTGCAGAAGCAGAGAGATTGGAATAGTGTCTTTTTCAACAGTTCTGACAATGGAGCTGAAGGGCAATGGCAATCAGGATGGAGAAAGGAGAGAGACTTCAGAAATTCTTGAGATCAAATTGCAAGGACAGGTGTTGAAGGAGCACTGGGAGTTGCAGTGAAGCTGCATCTAAGCACCTTTAGCTGATGTGTTTCAGCCCTGCATGCTCAGGTCCAGGGAAAAGAACTTAGGGTTTTCAGGGAAGAGGGAACTTGGCCAGTGTCTCCTTTTGACATTCTATCAAAACCAAACGTTATACACTTAGAGCATGAAGTGCCAGGCAGGATAGTACCAGGCAGGATCACCATACAAGATACTATATTTTGTGAAAGATTTAATCAGTTTTTAAGGGTAACTTCGATTACATGCAATTGTTGCCTTAAATGCTCACTTTTAAGCCCTGCTTCCTCCTAAGCACTAATTCTGCCGTCCTCTTTGTAGGGCAGATACTACCCAGGGCTTGTTGCATTTGTGTCCTCTTCTAAGCTTGGCTCTGAATTTTAAGACACCACCTGGGCCCTTCCTTACCAGCTGTCCCCTAGGCTGTTACCAGAGGCCTGACTGAAGAAGAATTAAGCTGGGGGATGACAGCAAACATGTAAGGGTATCAACCTGCATTTGTGCATGTGCCCAGAGAGTTCAGGTGTGCCCAACTTTGTAAAACAAGTGAACAAAAAAACTGTCACCTCGGGCACATCACTGTTCCTCATTTGTCAAATGAGCTTGTCGGACTGAGATTATGTAAGTCATAGAAGTCTGGTTCTAGGGTGGGGATACATTTTACTTGTATCAGATCTTTTCAAAAACAAATCTGTGATGAATCCTATTAAACTGAATTGTCTGTGACGTATATGCCTTTTGTGTTAACATATGTTTCCCGTGCCAGTTTTACATAAATACAGCAGCACATTTCTGTCAGTGTCGTATAATTTTCTTGTACTATTCAGTTTTCTCTCCCATTTGCCGTTGTGGATAAAGACTATTTTAAAGAGTTTCACATCCAGCTGGGCCTAAAATTTAGTCTGGGATAGCATGCTAACGGAGTAGAATTTTCATGGGTCACGATCTGTGGGATGAAGTGTCCTCCAGTGCCTCATGCCTTATTTCCTCGCCTCCCACAGCAAGTGCAGAGGACTTTTTCTATACATCACAGGGAGGAGACACTTCCATCGAGGGTGTGGACGATGCTGAGGACTTTGAGAAGACTCGACAAGCCTTCACACTCCTCGGTAAGGAGCTTCTTAGTTGGGGAAGCAGGCCCCGAGGGCTGATGGCACGGAGGGTAGAATGCAAGGCGATGTCCCACTGTGCTTGCCAGCAACCTGCAGGAGCTAATGGGAGATGCCCTCTTGCCCCTGGTGAATGTCATCTCTTACTCTCTTACCCATCCCAACCCTCAGGCTCTAGAACTTAAAATTTGGAGCTTCATTGCCTTTTAAAAAATAAGGTTATGAGAGTCCCTCTCCCAGGCACTGTGCAGTGACCCTTTCCACTCGTGCAGGCTGTTGGAACCAACGGAGGCAAAGCAAGTGTAGCCACGTCTTCTCGTGCTGTGGTCTGGGCTCAAGTGTGCTCTAGCAGGAAGAACACAATGTTGCGCACACCCAGTGCACCTGTGCACCACAGCATGAAATCAGAGTTGGAAGCAGGCTGTGAAGGTCTGGCAGCTGCATCACACATACAGCGTTAATTCTGTCAGCTCTGTTTCCATATAGAGCTTTAGCGTTGGAATCCTTCAAACAAGAAGTTCTCTGTCCTTCAGGGGCATAAGGGGACAGTATGACTGGAGGAAATTGCCCTGCTTCCCTGCCACTTTTGGGGGAGAAGCGGTAAAGTAGAAGGTAAGCCTTTCTCAGTTGGGAAATTGAAGTGTTAAATTCCTGGGACCTGCATCCAGAAAAAGGAAAGCTCGAGAAGTCAGCCTGAAACCCCAAGTGGCGCAAGATGGTGCTTGTGTCTTCCCCAGCCCCTTCTCTGAAAGAGAACATTTGGCTTCTGAGCCATGTGACTAACCCAGAGCAGCATGTTAGGTTCTTTGGAGGTCAGGGAAGTTGTAGCCAATGTCCAAATAAAACATGGTCAAACGGGACACACCTTAACCTCTCTATGGGGAGGCAACCAGACCCTTATTTGCCACGCTCCCAGAGCCAGTCAGTTCTCTGGGAAACTGGTACATAGTTCATGGGTACAAAAGACAAACCCTATCTATCAGTCAGGAGACACAAACCACACTGGTTATTCCAAAATAGAAAAATTAATATAAACAATTGTTAACTACAGCAGTAGCAGGTGATTGACTACAAAAGGGATAAATGAGGACTTTATAGAGGGTCCAGAAGTAGCAGGTACAAAAGAACATCTGCTATTCCTGGCAGGGGCCGGGATGGGGTGGTGGGGGAAGAACAGCCAATAAAGGTAAGAGAGGCCTCCATCCTAGCTGAGCTTTAGTTCACTTCTAAGAGGATGTGATGAAGAAACTTGCCCAGAGGATGCAGGCCAGAGCTGTTTTGTACAAGCAGGCTGCAGGTGCCCCAAGGTGTAGGGGGCCAGAACTGCTCAGAAGCCACTGCTGATGGGGAGACAGGTCTGAGGGCAGAGCTGGAGCTCATCTGGAGGTTTCTGGGCTCCCTGATAAATCATGATAACTATGGAGGACCAGAACCAGAAAGGGAATTGTCTTCATGTTCTGTTGCCTTGCAAATCGCCGGAATACCCTCTATTGAGCAAGCTTGACATTCTACCAGTAGGCAAAGGAGAAATGTTTACAGGGCCCAGCTTCAGTTTGATAAAGCAGGGCAAAGGGGATGCTTTGAAGCTGAGAGATAAGTTGATAACTGGCATCCCTGACTTCCTCAGCACTACATGCCTATCCTAGTCTCCAGAGTTGGGCAGGTTTGGAGCAGACTTGACAGTGTGCAGGATACATTCTTCTCTGAATTTATCAGAGAAAGGAGAAGATCTCTGGCAGCTGCCCTTGTAGTGCTGATGTGGGCAGTGGGCACAAGCTGATATAAGGAGAGGATTGCTCCCTCCAAGGCTCTAAGGACACTGGATACTTTAATGCTCAAAGCAAATTGCTTTTGTAAAACTAATTATTGTAATAAGACTTTCTTCTCTATTCTTTAATAAACATGTCCCTTTTTTAATTGCAGGGGTTAGCAAACTTAAAGGACAAAATAGTAAATTTTTTTAGTTTTGTGGGCCATACAGTTTGTTGCAAAGCATTCAACTCTGCTGTTTTGTGAAAGTAGCAATAGACAGAACGTAACAGAGTGGGCATGACTGTGTTCCGATAGAACTTAGTTATGAAAACAGGCTGTGGGCCATAGTTTGCCAACCCCTGTTTTACTCCTTAGGTTTGTTTGATTGATTTTTGTTTTTAGATTTTTTGCTTCCCATAGCGTGAGGTACCACTTATTCAAAGAATCCCACAGCAGGAAAGGATGTTCTCATCAATGTAGTGCGAGGATCCTAACTATTGTTAGGATTCAGTATTCATTCTGTGTCTACCACTTAAATTCCTACCATGACAGGGTGGTTCGGTCTTTGGAAATTGACAGAGCATTGGTTCTCAAGAGTAAAGGAAGTAGGCCAGGTACAGTGGCTCATGCCTGTAATCCCAACACCTTGGGAGGCTGAAGCAGGAGGATTGCTTGAACCCAGGAGTTCTGGGCAACACGGGAGACCCTGTCTCTACAAAAAATAAAACAAATTAGCTGGCCATGTTGGCACACACCTGTCCCAGCTACTCAAGAGGCTGAAGTGGGAGGATTGCTTGAGCCCAGGAGTTTGAGGCTGCAGTGACTGTGCCACTGGACTCCAGCCTGAGCAACAGAGCAAGACCCTCTCTCAAAAAAATAGATAAACGAAGTAGAAAAGCTACTGTCTAGGGAGTATATCCTTCTTGTTCCGTGATGGTACCAGCACCCAGCTCCTGTCTAGCACTTTCAATGGGACTTGACTTAAGAGCAAGATACTCTAAGCTCAGACAAAAAACCCCAGTGTTTTACCTCCTACAAGGGTGCATAAGTGCCTAGCTTCCTGTCTTGTCCTGAATACCAGCCTCTGGCTTTAATCTGTCTTCCTTTCACCAGGTGTATTCAGTTATGCTGAACCAAGATGGACGCTTAAATTCTTTGGTGTTTTTTGGGGGGGATTTTTAAGCTAATACCACGTATTCAAATAATGCATATGTTTTGATAGCTGCAAATACTTGCAGCCTGTGTAGTAGCCAGCGATCCGGTCATTCTACCATTCAGGTTTCTGAGCACCTGCTATGTTCCAGGCAGTGTTCAAGGCCCTGGGAATCTAATGACAAGCAAGAACAGGGATTCATTATATTATTTACTTTGTTATTCTTTACTTTGTATGTTTTGAAATTTTACATAATAAAATCAAAAAAGTAAATCTATGATGCTTACATGGTAGTGGCCATCTAACATAAAAGCCTAGAGTTAATGTTGCTTGGGTTGTCCACTTTGTAGATTATCTGGGGAAATTTTTTAATCCTAGCATGGCACATCTGTGCCTCCCATTTTTACAGGTGTTACTGTTTTTTAGCCTGAATAAAATATTGCCTTAAAAATTAACTGCAGCTGGGAGGAATGGGGAGAGCAGCTGTATTTCTTAAACTAAGTGGAAGGTTCACTGGTATTCATTCTATTGTTCTGTAGTCTTTTAAAAATGAGTCTGAATCATTCTGTAAAAACGCCAATGCCTTGCAAGCTAAATACAAATTAAGAGATTATCCATGCCTTTGATGATTCGTATAGGTAAATAACAAATCTGACAACACGTGATTGCTGCCACAGTGGTTCTGGGATCAGTGTGCCTGCCTATGACAGTGCATATAGTGTGGCGAACAGCTGCTCCATCTGGGGATGGCCAGGGGCCAGCTGGCCATCCAGCCCCAGAACAGCAATCCCAAGAGAAGTTTCTCCTTTTCTTCCCTCATTGGCACTGGGGATGTGTGTCACAGATGTTTACAGGATATTATGTTGGAGAAAAAATGATTGCAGATACATGACCATTCTTATTAAACTCATAAAAACATCCATAAAGTGTTTGGTTGAAATGAAGCCCAAAATGAGCCTGCAGGATTGCTGCCTCTGCTTTGCTCTTTGAGAAGTTAAAATGGCAGCTTGACCCATCTGATTTGGTCAGGACGATCATAGTGAAGATATTTTCTTTTTAGTCCAAGGAGCCCCTTTGCCCTCTGAGCTGTTACTGTGAGTGGTAATTACTTGGTGAGGAGCCTGGATCATTTTAGGAGTCATCGGGTCAGAAAGAAAAATCAAACCTTATTAAAAAAAAAAATGTCCTTAAAAGGGGTAAAATGTCCTTTCTGTCCGACCATGGATACTGAGTGTCATCCATTCATTTTTCTTTTCCAGGAGTGAAAGAGTCCCATCAGATGAGCATTTTTAAGATAATTGCTTCTATCTTGCACCTTGGAAGTGTGGCGATTCAGGCTGAGCGTGATGGTGATTCCTGTAGTATATCAGTAAGTTGCACACCAACACCGGAGATAAAATGAACACAATTTACCCTGTTCTTTGATATGACTGAAATGTGTCTTTCCAGTTAGAGGACACTCATAGGTTATTTATTCTTAACAGTAATGGTTTCTGTTCACTTGCTGATAATTTTTTAAAAGAGCCAACCCTTTAAAAATCAGCTGCCATCAAGTTTCTGTTGCCGAGGACAGGGAATGTAGTGGCTATTTGATAAATTCTTTTTGTTGGGTTGATTTCCCAAGTACCCTGAAGTACACAGAATTCTACTTGTTGTCAATCAATTGAGTACTTTCTGAGTGCCAGACTGAGGTCCCCACTGCAAGGAGATGAAAGGGCACAGGGCACTGTACCTGGTGATGCTTCAAAGGGGCTTATAGTCTAATTGGGTGGACAAGACAGGTGGCAACCCTTGCCAAGATTCTGACAGCACAAGGCAGGCTGTTAAGTGAGACACACATGTGAAAGTACTGCAAGCTGTCAAGTGCTCCGTGAAGGCTCATAATGAAGGTTATTTTCCTGATGCCCAATGTAGTACTGATATGTGGTAGGTAAATGTCTAAGTGGATGGACGGGTGATGGAGTAAGCACCAGGGAAGTGGCACCCACAGCAATTGCTGTGCCTTCTGGAATTTAATGGTGTTGGGAAAAGCTAAAGCTGGTATTCTAACCTTGGATAGGTGAATCTGCAACTGTTTATTCTATACCTCTTATGCCCATTTATGGCCAGGTTCTGGGGAGGTACAAAGTATGATTCTTGCTTCCAGGGACTTGGAATTTAAATAACCAGACACTGGAAAAATACAAAAGACAACACTACCTGAGGGCACGTGTCCATGCTGCTCACAAGCTAATGCTTATTCAATTGAGTGGACGTAAATTAACCTCCTTCTGTTTGTCTAGAGTTGGGGGTTATGAGAAGTTCAAACTGGCCCTGTCTTCAGGGAGAGGAAGACCTGAACTGTAGCTGGGATTCAGTAGAGCTCATTGTGTATCATCCATGGATGGATACACAATCTGTGGGGAATGATCTAGGGTTTGAGAGGGCCCCTGGGCCTGTCTGGCCTGCTGCCATCCCTGGCATGGACTCTGCAGCCTCGTGAGAGCCTTGAAGCTCCCCTGTCGGGCCCAGTGGAAAAGGAGGAGGTGTTGGTGCTGGTAGCGTTAGGTGCCCTGGAGCTGTTTTGGACATCTGCTGCTTATATACCTGTGTGGGTGCTCACCTTAGGGGGAAGGAGGGCATGGTACAGTGGAGTTGGCAGCAGTGATGCCATGAGAAGGACTGTCATGTTCAGAGGAGGACCTGTGGCCCAGGGGGTGGTGGAGGAACCTCCAGTGCAGGACAAACCTTCCCGTAATCTGAGTCTTCAGGGCCAGTGATGTATTGTCCCAGTGTCTTTCCCCTGATAAGAAAGGCATAGAGCATCTGTGCCTCCCCATGCATACAGCTCAGTCAATGTCCTGTGGTTCCTCAGGGCAGCTGTACTCTGTGTCAGGGACAGGTGAGATGAGGAACACCTGCAGTGACCAAGGCCTGGCTGAGGCTGGTAAGAGGCAGGAAAGGTGACAGATGTGCTCTGTGGTCTGTGGACCTCCAGCCCGCCCAACACCCTGCTCCTCCCCAGGCCCTTCACAGGTCACTTCTTCTTTCATGGGTTCTTACCTCTCCTCTGTGGGGCTGAGCATTTTGTGTGTGTGTGTGTGTGTGTGTGTGTGTGTGTGTGTGTGTGTGTGTGTGTATTACTTGCTGCCTACCTTTCTCCTTTGTGACACTCCAAACTCTGAAAGAGTAGGGTCAGTTCTCGCTCTTTAGTCTATCACCAGCATCTATTGTGGTGCTCAGCACTCACCAGGTACCCAAGAAGTAGATGGGTGGATGACTGAGGCTCTCCAGGCCTCAGGGGTGGCACACAGGAGAGTAAGAGTGGATGGGCAATTCTGAGATCTTAGTGAGGCTGATGGTTAGCATGAGAACCAGGGCTGGGGAGTCCGTGGACACCTACCTGCATTGGGGGGCGAGACCAGCAAAATTAAGGCTTAAGCCTGTAAGTGAAGTGTCTCTGATCTTATAGTTGACCCTCCACACCCAGCCTCCGGAGAACGTTCAGGTGAGAAGGGAAGTGAGTGTTTATTAGGACTGTATCTGTTGGGCTCACTGTTCTCCCTCTAGTACCCACTGAGTGTTTGTGTGGAGATAGTATGAGGGTGGGAACATCAGGGCCTCTTAGGGAGGCATGGATGGAGGATGCAGGTGGTAAAGGGGGCAGGAGGGAGGAGGCCTGAGAGGTTGAGGTTTGGATGCTACCTGGTGTGGCAGCCCTTTCTCTGCTAGGCGGCAGGAAGTTCCAGAAGGCATTTGAGTGCAGGTTTGTGGTCTAGGCTGGTCTTCCATTGTTCTGCAATCAGAGCTGTACAGAGAGCTAGTGGACAGCAAGGACTCTAAGTCGAGATGGCCAAGGTTCATATCCTGATTCTTCTTGCTGGATGTGTGACTTACGGCAAGTGTGCTAACCTCTCTGTTTCCTCTTCTGTAAAGTGTGGATAACCACCTGCCTCAGGGCTGGAGTGAAGATCCCAGAAAGCCCTGTGTGGAAAGGTTTTAGCACAGAGCTCGTGGTTGAGAGAGTCTTTGTCTAATATCAGCCTTGTTATAGCCTGAGTGGACCTTAAGAGCATCCCTCTTGCTGTACAGGGGAGGAAAAAATAAGGCCCAGAGAGGGGAACCTCTTTCTCTGAGGTTAGAATGACAATGGCAAAGGTGGGACAGGGCCCAGGCAGTGTTCAGTCCACTTCACTCCTGCCAGCCTGGCTTCCTCGGCTGGACTACAAGTCCTTGGGGAGGAGACTGCCCTCTGCTTGCCTGGTGAGCCCCATTGGTGCCCTCACAGTGCCAGGCACAGAATGTGTGCTTGAGAAATGCATCGTTAATAGTTGCTACCGAGAGCCCCACTGATTGTGGTTTATTCCTCGGGCACATAGGATGGAGCTTCTATTGGAAAGGCTGTCTTTCCATACGCAGTGTGCCTTCTGCTCAGTAGTTTTTATTTTTAATTAAAGCATGAGAATGTGCTCCATGACTGCCAGGGTTGCCTTGGAGATGCAACAGCATTCAATTTGTTTCTTGAATTTAGCAATATGGGCCCATAAAACTGATCTGCTACTTATTATATTGGCTATTTTTAATGGATTTAGCATCATTTAATTTTGCCTAAATGTAATTGTACGATGTTAAATCAGTTTCAGTCAGCACCTTCAATCAACAGTCGGAAGAGGGTGAGAAAATCAAGCCCCGCCCCACTGTGGTGGTTAAAAGCCGGTCCCCAGGGTGGTTTCTCAGACAAGTCTCTAACTTGTGCTTTCTCCACTGCACTCACAGCGCGAGGCCTTAGGCAGGGGAGGGTGCCCGTGGGCATGTCTTGGGCAGTCATGGTAGCTGCTGGCAGGCCACTTAAATGTCAGGGAATCCATCTGCAGTGCCGTGCCTAGCAATTAAGAATTTCTTGGAAATAGGTCAGATGAACAAATTGGACGCTTGCCACCTCTGAACTTGTTGCCTGCCAAGCGGTCCCCAGGCACTTAACTCTACTACATATGGCTTTATGTTTAGGGGAGTCGGGGAGCAGGGGAGACAGGTTGGCTTCAGAGAAAAAGGATCTTGGCCAGGAGAAGTAGCCATGGAAACTCTCTGCTGAGTGTGAAAAGATGGGGGCTTCTCCACACCCACCCGGCCCAAACCAAGCTGATTGTCCTGCAGGGCTGGGGTTAGGAGCTCTGGGCCAGAAGGCAGGAGGCCTCACTCAGCTTCATCTGAATAGTAAGGGACATCGGATTAGAATGCAATTTCTTAAGAACATAAGCATTCTTTGGTCAAATACATTCCAAAAATGCTTCTTAAAATATCTATCTCTTGGTGCTACATGGTGTATTAAACCAGTTCAGCTGTGTTTAACCTGGTCCTATCCTCTCCTTCTGTTAAGTAAAGCCAACTAATGTTCTTTGCAACTACTGTTCCATAAACCATACATTGGAAAAACACTGGCCTTAGTGATTTTGGATTCTATTATTCTGGCGTTCTATTATTTTATAACTGTTTTGGGTAGATGGATTTTAAATATATGTAGGAGGAAAAAATTGCCTGGGGATATGGTGTTAAGGGAGAAATAATACAGTTATCTGTGTTAATTTTCATTAAGCCCTCATTTAAATCCTACAAGTCAGCCTCATCAGAAAATGAGTCCCACAAGCAATTGAGGGTCATTAGGAGATGGCACATCATGTTCTGAAGGATTCCCTTTCAGCCTCAGCGTTAATAAGCTTTCCAGCAGGCTTGAGCCTGGGCTACCAGCTTTCCCAGGTGGATTCAGTTGAGGGAATGAAAAACAGGTGAGAGAATGAATAACAACGATGAGCAGGTTTTCTCAGAGTGCCCCAAGTGGGCTGCAAGGATTATCCAAGGAATTTGTACATTTTGGTGAAAGAAGACAAGACCCTGTGGGAAATGTGGCTTTCCAGTGACTCAAATGTCAGGTGATGTGATTGGTATTTG
Source organism: Homo sapiens (assembly GCF_000001405.40). NCBI lineage: Eukaryota > Metazoa > Chordata > Mammalia > Primates > Hominidae > Homo > Homo sapiens. Next base: position 49,975,887 of record NC_000018.10, on the reverse strand, counting down.
GGTAAATGAGGGTCAAGACTCACACATAGTCAGTAGAGGCAGCTGGGGTAGGCAGGAGATACATCGGGCAGGACCGTGGTAGAAGCCTTGTGCTGGGGGTGGGGCGGGGGCCTGGTTGAGTAGTTGTACCTCTCTGGGGCTCAGCTCAGCTTTTTGCCTGTAGGAAAAGAGGCCTAAACTGGAGGAATTCCAGTTTCTTTCCAGCTCTGAGCATGTGTGATATTATCAGTGGAAGTGTTCCAGATGATCTTCCCAGGTCAAGATGTGGTCCAGGGGTTTGCCATGTATCTTAGCTTTCCACGCTGAGGAACTTTGTTTACATACTTAAAACGCTTGCTTCTTGGGGAAAAAAAAGTTCAGTTTCTATGATTTTAGCATCAATGAGGCTAAGAAGAAAGCGAGCCTGCTTGGAAGCATAGGACAATGCAGGGTCAGTGCTGGGAGTGACATCGTCTATTGCGTTTCAGCCTCTCACCCAGCACATCTGAACCACTCACTGGTATCATATACAATTTCAGAAACTCTTCAAGGTGATTCTCACTTAAGCTACCCACCCAGAAGAGAATCATTGATCTGGCCCATCATGTTATTTTACAGAGTAGGGAACTGACTTCTAAGGGAGGAACATGGCTAGTGCCTTCGAAGGGCCCATCCACCTTAGGAGCCTGGGGCTTGTTTCTGAGCATACAGCTGGTTAGATGGGTCGGGTCAAAGGCAATGCCTGTAAGGGAGGAATTCTAAGAGAGAGGAAGAGAATTGCTTTCTGGGCTGTGGGTCAAGCACTGCATGCATACCTCAGCAGATGCAAACTGCATTTGGTGTGAATGTGTTCGTTACTCCGAATGGATTGCATGGTCATAAGCTCTCAATTCTCTTTCTGCTCCCTTCACTCCAGGACCTGCCTCTTACCAGTTACTCAGCAGCAGCCTGGCATGGAGGGAGGGGACAAGAAAGATGGAGAATGTTTTGGTTTTTAAAGTCCTATAATTTGGTCATTAGCAGGTGGAATGACCAGTCTGAGCATTGCTCTCTTATGGGCTCTGTCATCTCCACTTAGCAGTGTGTGTGTGTGTGTGTGTGTGTGTGTGTCTGTGTGTGTGTGTGTGTGAGAGAGACTGCTGGGCTGGCAGCAGGGCATGTGCTGGGATTCTGGAGGGCTGGGAGGCCTTGAGTTTGGCTTGTTTTCCCTCTGGGCAGGAGGGTGGAAGACATTGGTGGGGGGCGGCTTGTCTCCCACACTCCTCCTGAACCTATCTCCCCCATCTCCCACAGCCCCAGGATGTATACCTAAGCAACTTCTGCCGACTGCTAGGGGTGGAGCACAGTCAGATGGAGCACTGGCTGTGTCATCGCAAGCTGGTCACCACCTCGGAGACCTACGTCAAGACCATGTCCCTGCAGCAGGTGATCAATGCGCGCAACGCCCTGGCGAAGCACATCTATGCCCAGTTGTTCGGCTGGATTGTGGAGCACATCAACAAGGCCCTGCACACCTCCCTCAAGCAGCACTCCTTCATCGGGGTCCTGGACATCTATGGGTAGGCCTGCCGCCTGTCTCGCTCTATCTGCTACCTGGGAGTGGCTTCCTGCTCATACTTTACAGCCAGCAGGGGCATTGGAGAGCTTCCTGGTGGTTCTCAACTTAGGGCAGTTTAAAATGTGTGGGGCCATTTTTAGTTGATTAGTTGACACAATGATGGGGCCTGAGGCCAGGGAGGCTTAGTGGTCTATAATGTAAGGGAACAGTCCCCAAGCAAGAATGGACCTGTCAAAACACCAGGAGTTTCCCAATGAGAAACCCTGTAAGCGTCAGTTTTTACACCTGAGAAAGTGAGGCCAAGAGAGGGAAATGACCTGCCCAATGTGATTTTGCAAGTTACTGTGAGAAATGGAACTTAAATTCAAGTTCTGTATCTCAGTAATGTTTTATTTCAATCTACCATTTGACCTCATTGACTGTAACAGTCAAGGTGGCTATTTTAGTACCATAATTTTGTCCAGGGCTGTGCAGATTTGTGTTGTGTGTGGTCATTCCTGAGGTTTCTCTTCCTTTCAGAATTCCAGCCTGATTGAAAGGACTGTTATTTATAACTTTATTTTTGGCAGGGAGAGCCACCGTGGTGTGGTGAAAGTGTACTTGCCTAGCCATCGGGAGACTGTCACCAACCAGCTGAGTGAATCTCCACAGATAGCAGACCCTCTCTGGTCTTTCATTTCATAGCTTCAAATGAGGTTTTGAGCCACAGTCTCCCTGAGGTTCTTTCTAGGTCCTTGTTTGAAGTTAACACGAACTGGGTTGCAACCTACCTTGCACTTCTTTTCTGACCAATGTCCTGTCCTCTTTAAGCTAACAATAGACTAAATCCTCCTGGATCTTTAAATTATAGAAGTCATGGCATCTTAAAATAGAAATTCAGATCCATAGAAGTGAAGCGTCGTAAGAACAGTGACACTCTAGTGCGAACAACTGCTTAGCAGGCTAGAACTCACCCGGTACTCACCTTATGATGAGGTTGGAATAAAGGCCAGTCCCCTGTAGAAGTGGCCACTTCCCCACGTGGCATGCGGAGACAGGCTCTCCTGATTACATCTCTGATGCTGTTGCTCATCCCTGGGTTTCAAATTGAACTATGTTGCATGCTATGGAGAAAGAAGACAATCTTTGTGATTTCTGACATCACAAAGGCCTCAGGAAGATGCTGAAGGAGTTGTCTCATGCACGAGTTAAGTGACATAAGAGGCATCAGAAGAAATTGTGGAAGGGTCTATTTGAGGGTTTGGATGCTTCGTGCTGTACAAGTTTCAAGGCTGGAGAGGACACGCTTGCACAGTTGGGCAAGCTTTATGTGGGAGCTAAGATTTGAACTGGATCATATGAACAGGGGAAGAATATGGAAAGTGAGGGAGGCATCTTTGGGAACAGGAGTGCAACCAAGATATGAGGAAGGAGCAGAGTGTGAAGGCAAACCTCCTTGCTGATAAGGAGCACACAGTGGAGAATCACCGAGAGTGGGAGGTGAGAAGAGGCATCCTCCCCAGGCCTTCAGTTGCATGACCCCAGGCAGGCCCCTTCTCCTCTGGTCCATCGAGTGCTTGCCTTGTGCTCAGCCCTTGTAGTTGCTCTTGGGAGAGCATAGAACAGTGTGCTCTCTGGGAACTTCCAGTCTCATTGTCAATCATTAATTATGTGTTGATCTCTCTACTTTGAGTATTTTCAGGTAATTGGATATCCCAAAATACTGACCTTTCGGTATTACCTTCCAAGTAAGACCTGGGGAAACCCAAGCTGACCCAATTCCCTTAATCCACTTGTAGAAGGATATAATTTTACTGAGGTTTTGATTTAGGAAGATTAACATGCAGACTTGTCAATAGCATGTAAAAATTTTATGATTTCCTTACTACTGCTACATAAAATACCATGCCTCAGTTCTGTTGTATTTCTATATCATCTTAACAGTGCCTTGAATTTAAAGAGTCTGCTTTCTCCTTCCCTGTGATCTTCCGCTGGGTTTTTTGCTGTTCTTAGGAGGCCTCCGTGAGCTGGGCTCGTGGGGCTGCTGAGTCCACAGATGTCAGCCCGGTTTGTGCAAGCTGGGATTTTGTGTTTATATTTGCCATTTAATTTTTGTAATTGTTTGTTTTCTCTAACATCCTGTGACTGCCTAAAGGGGAGAAATAGATCGCAAGGATGGCTTGTCTGGTTTGAAAACAATAGTTTTCCATGGATGGGGTGGCAACCTGGAGGACTTGGTCTCCTGTTCCTAGTGCCAGCTCCTCACCTGTGTCTCCTTCATCTCAGAGTGGCTTCCGGGCTCCTTTGAGACTATCTGACAGCTCTTCCATGAGGGCAGGGTCCCGATACAGGGCCATCAGCATAAGGCCATTCTTGGGAATTTTCCTACCCTTTGTGCTTTCTTCCGGGCATGCTATGTTGTTTTTTTCTTAATCTTCATTCTTTCTCAGAAACCAATTCACTTTTTTTGTTATAAAGTTGTCATATTTTAAAAGTGACTCTTCTTCTTGAGACAAATAAGTCCCATGCACAGTTACTCCTCTGTAGCTCAATGCAGTGCTGAGTTCACACTCTCTCTGAGTTAAGGATAACAAGTTAGATACAAGGGAATTCAGAGTGAACAAGCTAGCTGTGTGCCTGGGCCATTGGTTGCCAAGAAAGCACTTACATACATGCCCTAAATATGGAAGTGCATGCTACTCAATGGTCTGATTCACCAAGAAATTTTACAAATGTGGACTGGCCCAGGCTGTCTTTCTGGTGAGAGGGTATGTAATGAACTCTTAGGAGAACTCTTAGGAGATTAAAATCAACAAATTAACGGAAGAGCAGGTGGCTTGAGTCTGGAGGTACTTTCTAATCTATCAGGTCAGTGATATCATTTCTTAATCTGGGAGAAAACAACACAGAACCCTGGGTGGAAACTTGGGATAGCATGTGTGAGCCGTTTACTGTCATCTGCCCCTTTCCACTTACAGTGTCTTATCTGCCTTATTTCCTTTGGACTTCACATACCTTCCAGAAACCCACCAAACCTGCCTTTTTTGTTTTTTAATGTGGTCATTTCTTGGTTACCTGGAAGTGGGCATCACACTCAGCCCCACTTCTCGCCCTCTCTACTCACCTCCTTCCCAGTTCAAACTCATTCCAGTCATTAGGCTTTATTCTATTCATGACTATGGGAAGTGATTCTAAGGAGTTTTTCATCCTCTGTGGCATAAGAAAACCCAAGCGTTGTTTAGTTTTTGAGTTTTCTATTCATATCCCTGGCCATCAAACCCTGGAGGAGAAGACCATCTGTCCATTGTCTCACTCCTTCTTAGTGGGGGTGTGGGGATGCCTGAGTACCCATAGAGGATGCCCTGGGGCTGACCTGATGTCTTTGATTTTCTCACTTCTCCTTGTCTCTTTTGAGCAAGAGTGGCAAAAGTGGAGTCCAGAGAGAACAGAAAGAATACTGGGATGAGTTTCTGAATACAGCCAGCCACATCCGGGAAGTGGAAAAGAACGAGACATTGCCTCCCTCTCAGGTTGGAAATGGGCAAAGCTAGGAAACGAGGGTGGAACTGCTGCTTCTTCCCCTTGACCCCACCAGTGGCCACTGATTTCTTCCACTGGGATAACTGTCCCCGGATGAGCTGCAGTGCCTATCTAGGGCATTCCTGGCCCGCCAGTGAAGCTCATTCATGAACCGAAATAATTCTGTACCAAACATGAGCCACTCCACTTTTTCCTATAAATGTGTTAAATGTTACCACAGAACTCACAGCCAGAGTGAATACACACTCACTTCTTTCTATAAGCAAGCAGTACACACGCCAGCATCGTATACACACATTTCTCCCCATCACTGTGTTCTGACTCATAGTTAGCTTGTAGAGGAGAAAGGCTGTGGGCTTCTAAACAAATTAGCATGGGCCACAGCTGCTTCCACCATGACTGTGGTGAGTGCTCTGCTCAGAGGCCCTTCCCCAAGGCTTTTCTGAATGGTTCCAGACCCCCAGTGTCTGGTGGAAGCTTCCCTACATCTTGCTCCTCTGTCCCAGCTCCACAAAAAGTGCAAAGCAAGCAGTACTCAGAACAATTTAGTCACCCCAAGCTGAGCTCTTCACCTTAACCAAGGATCTGTGAAGTCGCCTTCAGGGTATTTTTGACCAGGCAGGGTATGGAAATTAATAGGGGAGATCCTGGCAGCTTTTGGCTGGGATTCCCTTTCCAGGTTGCATTAACCTGCATTTGCCTCTCTAGGCCTGATTAATTGCAGTCTGTAATCCTTTATACCTCTCCTCCCCTTGAGTCTCTAATCCTTTGTTCCTATCCTCTCTTTGAGGCAACAAGAAATAAACGGCTTCAATTTGGGAAAAATACACATTTACTTGTCTTTGATTTCAGCCTTCAAGATGCCAAGGTAGCAGAGGGCTTTGGCTATGGCCAGCCCATTCTTGCGGAGGACAGTTGGCCTGGGAGCAACACAGGCTGTAACAGATTCATGTGTTCTGCTGAGGAACAGCTGGGGAGAGAATGGGGTAGAAGGTGGGGAAGTTTTGACCCCAGGAAGCAGGACATAGGATTTCCTGGGATTTTATATCCTCATCAGTCCTCTGTTACTTTCTTGTGGTACTTCCTAATAATAAATTAGCATCCAACTCTATTCGGTGCTCTTTAATGGTATGTTTAAAAATGCCTTTAAGGCCGGGCGCGGTGGCTCATGCCTATAATCCCAGCACTGTGTTGTTAACGGTGGAGGGTGTCCAGGTTCTTGGCGTCTTGAACAAAGAATTGGACAAAACGCACAAAGCAAGGAAGGAATGAAGGGATTTATTGAAAATGAAAGTACACGCCACAGTGTGGGAGCAGGCGGAATGTGTTTTACATATTCATTTACAAGTTGTTACATATTCTGGTTATTAATCTTTTATCAGAAATATGATTTGCAAATATTTCCTCACGTTCTGTAGGTTGACTACAATGATATATTTTAAGTAAACTTCTTAGACCCACTGTTCACCTTTGTTTGGTGGGGAAAAAATATTCTTTTGCTTTAGTTTTCTTGGTCTCGCTCTCCAAAATAAACATAAATAACCTCAAAGCTGCAATAATTATTTGGAGGCTACCCATCTCTTCTCTAGCCAGTATCGAAAGGTTTCACAGAAAATGGAGGGGGAGAAATCAGGAATTGCATTAACCCTTCAGCCTGTGACAGTGTCTCAGCCCTGGACAGCCCAGAAGATCCCTGGACATGCCTTCTTCAGGGAGGACATGCATGGCTAGCCACAGTGTTCTCAAACCTTGCAGATCATCGGAAGCTGTTGGCTTCACCCTGGAGTCTCCCAGCCTCCTAGGAAAGCCTCATAGCTCAAGAGGGCTCTAAAGCCAGGCTCCACCTTCCCGAATTGTTCTGAGGTGGCCCTTTGGAGTGTGCCTGGAGCCTGACACCACTGTGTGCTTCCAAGGCTCAGATGAAGTTCCATGTTCTCTCTGTCCATGCCAGTACTCCCACACTATGTGGCAGTCCAGGTCTCACTAACGCAGGCCTCTATAGCAACTGTTTCAGTACTGAGTGAGTGGTTAAGTTAAATATTAAAAGCTAAAAAAGTCAGTGCCCTCATACAAAGGCTGGAATGTAACAAGAGCCCACCAAGAGTCTTGCCTAGGCCCTTCCTGGGCCTTAAAGCATGACAAAATAAGGAATGAATTCTTAACAGGACCCGTTTAAGATTAAACAAGTTTTATTGTGGGTCTGAAGAAACTCCCCAGGCCTCTAGAAACAAGTTTATTGGGGGGCCTGAAGGAACTCCCCAAACCTCCGTGATTTAGCAGGAGACAAGATAAGGGTAATCACCCCAGCACCCGGACCCATTTAGATTAAGTAAATTTACTGAGGCTCCAGAGGAAAGTCTTCAAGACTCAGATCTTAGTTATAGATTAGAAGTTAATCACTTATGTCTTTGGATGAATGCACACTTACATGTAGACATACAGCTTAGAAGGTATATAAGCTCTGAAAAACTTTGTAATTTTGAGTTGGGCTGGCGATAATTTCCAGGCCTTCTCCCTGTAACTGGTTGCAGAAAGTAAAAACTCTTTTCCTCCCCAGCTCATCTGCATCTTGTTATTGGGCCACGAGAATAAGCAGCCCGACCCTCAGTTTGGTTTGGGAACACTATGGCCTCATTGTCTTTTAAAAGCCTACAACACATACAATTTCTATTCCTTGGGGAGGCTCTCATGTACTAGTTTCCTGTCATCTGCCCAGTAGCTCTTCTGGGCAGGGACTGTGACTTGCTCATCTTTACAGCCTTCATAGTTTGGGACAGTTGGCTGTTAGGTTGGGAGAGGATCGCCATACAGTGGATGTTTTCCTGTCCTGCATTGGAGTTTCAGGCCTGAAGACGAGCTGGGAATTGGAGCATTTGGCAAACTGAGTGGATTTAGGTCCTCAAGAAGAATAACTGACCTTCGCCTTGGGGTGTGAACAGTGCCTGGGATTGTGTTCTGTCTAAAAAAACTAGTCCTGGGTGGGGGCATCTAGGCACAGAGAAGCACCTGAGCGGAATGCAGGCCCCACCATTCCAAGGTACAGCCAGCATCCCGAGGTTGTTCAGTAAAGAGATCAGAAGGGTTGGCCTCTCTGACAGACCCAGGGTGGCCTTGTGAGATTTTATAGGCTTCAAGATGGAAAGGGACCTTGAAAGGATGTCTGGATCATTTCTCTGACCTCAATGCATGATGGCCCTGCTTTTAAAGGCTTCTCCAGGGAGAATTTCTCCATGTTATATTTTCTGTGTGACTTCTAATAATCATTCCCTGGAAGCTATCGTCTGTATCTAATCTGTAGTCCATCTTTTCAGTCTACCAAAGGCAGAATGCTGGAGAGTGAGCTTTATAAATTGGAAAGACCAGGCTGAGCTAGGAGATTTTAGTTCCTTTGACCTGTGCCAGGGGAACGTAGAGTTTCCCAATCTTCAAAGCATCTCACTGCCTCTCTGTTCTCTCTCCAGGTCATGGAGTGAGAGATTCAAGGAGGTTGATCATTAACTTAGTGACTAATTGACTTTTTATTGCAGTTTCACTTTCCAACGGACACTACCTTATTTGTAGAGGCATCTGTGTCCCTTACTACACTCTGAAGTTAAGGTAGAATGAGAAGGAAATTGTATACTTTTCGACTATGAAAATAGAAATGGAAACAGTGTGATCATTGTGCCATCGAGAGACCAGATGCCACATTTCAGCATCGATTCTTACTCTATGTTTTGACCTTCCTCCGGCCCAAGGATTCTGGTTTAAATATTTTCAACACTGATTTTACAAGAGAAATTCAGTTCTCTTTAGCATATAAATTTCTTTGTGACACTTTAATGTTGTGAACTATAAATTGATTCATTGTGTTTATTTTAAAAAGTCTTCTCTGTTGATGGGAGGAATTACTATAAATATAATTCCATTGTAAAGGAAAAGTTACCCAATCTCCCCAACTGTGGCTTTCTGAGGTCTGTCATTTTAGATGTTTCCCCAAGCTGCCCGAGCCCCTCATTCATTTCTGGGCCTCCGGCATTTAAGTAATTATGCTAGATGGCACAGGAATTGTTACCAGATAATATCTTAGAAATAGGAAAATTACAAGCTAATTTCAGTCCATCTCAAATTAATGAGAATGTTCTTTGTGGAGTGCTACCAGTGTAAACCTTTAGAAAATGACAAGTCTGAGATATTTAAATCCTCTGTGGAGCTTAGCACAGCTCTGCCAGCACACCCAATTGCTATTATCTGGCCAATTGCTGGGGTGGCTCTTTTATCTCCCACCTAGGTTTTATTAATTCAATTTCCTCTGGGGCTTGGCTGCCATCAGCAGCTTCTCTCAGGGTGGAGGATCGGGGAAGGCAGTAAGGTTCTAAGGGACATAGCTCAGTCTTTAAGACTATCATCTGGGCTGGAAGGGCCCCAATTCAAGGCAGTGACTGGCAGACACAGTGCTTCTCCTGCTTGGTCTGGAGTGCACAGGGGTGGCCTCCTTCATCCCAGCATACACTTTACATCTTTGATCTTGTTTTTTCAACCTAGAATTATTTCTCACACGTGGGCATGGCCAAAGGCTGTGCTTTAATGTGGTTTGTCTCCAAGCAGTTGACTCATTTAATCTCTAAATGATTTCCTACTCCTCCTGATGGGGGAGGTGAGCACCAGGGTGGGAGAAGCCTGATGTATTCTGGGCACCGGCCCGGCCCCTTTGGGTATCTGATGCCTCTATCTGTGGTGTTCCCTCTGCACAGGTGCTATCTCTCCACCACCACCATCCTCAGCCCCCATCAGGGCCAGCTGCAACATTTCTCTCTGGGGTGGTACTGAGGGACTATGCTCTATTTGGAAGGGCTTGCATGACACTTTGTATGTATGACACTGAGAAAATTTAGTTGTACTGAAGAATGGAAAGGGTAGAGACATGGAGTGGGCTGAATGGAGCCTGTGTCCATCGCTATTACCTCGTTGGTATTACTGGCCCTTTCCCATTCACTATGAGCTCAAATACCTCCTTCTAGGACATCATCCTCCATATTCACAGCCCTTCCACCTCATCTGTTTTTCCTTTTTCATGAAACTTCTCCTCCTCTCTGAATTAAGACTGTGGTCTCAGAAATCAGACTGTCTGGGTTCACACACTGCCTCTGCCTACCGACTCTCTGGCCTTGGGCAGCACAGCTTATTCAGTCTCCCTGCCCATCAGTTTCTTCAGCCACAGGATGGGATTAATAATAAGGCCTAACTCTTGGCTGCTGGAGGCATTACTCAGAACTTGTGGAGCACTTGGGCTTAGTGTTCTGTGGGCTCTCATTAGTGGGGCCACTGCCGTCCATTTGGTGCATTGGGCAGTATAGAATGAGAAGAGGTGTGTGTGTGTGTGTGTGTGTGTGTGTGAAAAGAAGTGTGTTTGTATGAAAAGAAGTGTGTGTGAATGAGAAGAGATGGAAAATGTCCATCTCTTCTTCATAGGCTTCTGCCCTTCTCACCCCTCAGCCTGATGCTGCTGTGGAGCATATAAGGTGGGCTGCAAGCATTTGTAGCTAAAGCTGCCAATGTGTGTATAATGTTGCCGGCATGGTGAGTGTGACCACATCCATCCTGTTGCCTGGGTCTTATCTGCACATCCAGTTGGTCATTTGAGGCCCTCTCATCCACATCTTCCTTCATGCCCAGAACCTTTCTATTGGTTGGCCACCAGCAGTGTACGTCAGGCCCTGACTGGATCTTTCTGGCTTCCTACTGTAGTAAGAACTACCTTGCTCACCTTCGTGCCTCCAGGCTTGCACACTCTCCCCCGGCTCACAGTTGTTCTCCTGCCGGTCTCTAAGGTGCAGGTCAGGTTGTCAGTTCTTAACTTGACATCCTTCGGAATCTCTCTGCTGCTGCCTGGTAAATTCCAGACCCCTTGGCGTAGCCAGCATGGCCTGAGGGAGGACCCCTGCCTCTGCCCACTACGCTGCATATCATGACCCCCATCCTCCCCTCTAACGGTTCCACCTTCCCCTGCCCAAAGATTGGGCCATATTGCACACATTGGAGTTAAGCAATGAATGATAGTGTTGATATTCTAAGATACAAAGCGCTCAGGTAAGTCCATTTTTAAAGTTAAAATCCAACAAAATTGACCAAGCATCAGACAATTCACGAAGTACAATGACTAGTACAGTCAGACAGAAAAATGTTGAGCTGTAGTAATGATAAGTTAAAATTCAGACTTTTTATGTTCCAAGGAACCAAAGACTTTAAAAAGCTAACATTACACAGTTGACCAAAGAGCTGTGATACACTACCATTCCCAGACTCCCAGTAAAGAGGGGCAGGACCAGATGGGGAGAACACTGGAGGCTGACCCGAATGGAGCATGGGGAAATTTTCCAGGTGATGAAAATGTCCTCCATCTGTGTTTGCATATTCACAGAACATCTCGATATAAAAATTCTCTATCAAAAATGCATCACCCATCAACAGAAGTTGAGAAAAAAAAATTTAAGAAAAATGCATGAAAATATACACTTAAAATTGGTGTATTTTACTGTGTGTAAAGGCTAACTCAATAAAGATGATTAAAACAAAATATTGTTAACCAGTATTAGAAGAACAAGACACTTTCGTACATTGTGAGGCTGGAGGTGGGGTCATAACAAACATTAGTTCCACCTTTCCAGGAGTTAATTTACTTCTACCTTTTAAGAAAAGTGGTACTGTTTGACATGGTAATTTCTTTAGGTTAGCATCCTAAGGAAAGAATTATGAATTCAAAGAATTTGTCACAAAACTAATAGCAGCTAACAACTGAGAAAAGAACCAAAATGTCCTCACTGGGGGTGTGGTTAAATGATGATGCATCTCTGTGGGGGCCACTGCCAGCTCATGGGCACCTGTGTTAATTAAGTAAAGGTGTCCCCTCTGGATGGAACACACCCCTCTGGGGCTTGCGAGGGGGCTGACTGAATTTCAGCACCACCTGTCCCCTCACCTGGACACCATTGCACTTCCCAGGTCTAGACCACGGCCCTGATCTATACAGTGGTTGATGAGACAGATGTTAAAACTGATGCCTTCAGAACAGTGGTGTGGGGAAGTGTTTTCAATGGAATGTTAAATGATGATAATAGAAGGTAAGGCCAGGTGTGGTGGCTCATGCCTGTAGTCCCAGCACTGTGGGAGGCTGAGGTGGATGGATCACTTGAGCCCAGGAGTTCGAGACCAGCTTGGACAACATGGCAAAACCTTGTCTCTACAAAAAAGTAGAAAAATTAGCTCGGCATGGTGGCGTGTGCCTGCAGTCCCAGCTACTCGGGAGGCTGACTGAGGTGGGAGGATCCCTTGAGACTGGGAGACAGAGGTTGCAGTGAGCCAAGATTGCGCCTCTGCACTCCAGCCTGGGTGACAGAGTCAGACCATGTCTCAAAATAAATAAATAAATAAATAAATTAATTAATTAATTAAATTAAATAAGTAAAATGTTACATAGTTCTGACTTTTTTCAAAAATGCAAAATTCCTAAAAGGAAACCCACCAAGATATAACTGGTGGTCAATATGAATGATAGAATCATTGCTGACTTTCTTTTTTAAACTTTCTTTTCCAAAATTTTCCTGCTGTCATTACTTTTTCTAGTTTTGAAAATAGACATGTTCTTCAATTAGGCTCTGTGTAGTGCTAACTTCTGCAACAGTGGTCTCTCTGAACACAAGATGAGACAATGGGGATTCTGTAGTGGCATCGGGGGAGACCTGGGTCAGAGCAGCTTTGTTGAAGTCCCAGTGATTCCTTTGTTGAAAGGAGACGTCTCTTATCTTCTCTTTCCATTCTGTAGGTTTGAGACATTTGAGGTAAACAGCTTTGAGCAGTTCTGTATCAACTATGCAAATGAAAAGCTCCAGCAGCAGTTCAACTCGGTAGGCTTGGTTTCTAGACCTGGGGGTACCAGGATTGGGGGGACTCCTCTGGGAGGGACAGACAGGCCACTTCTCTTCCTCTGAGGTGGGTGGGCCCTGGCTACGTTCTGATATCCCTTGGTTTTCCTGGTGGTACCTCCAGCTTTCGGAAGGGGCTCTCCACTGCTCAGGAGGGAGAACTGAATGGGGGCAACTGTGCTGAGAGGGGAAATGATCTTCTCTTTGGCTTTGACTCCCATTCCTTGAGCGTAGGTGTTAGGGTATTTAAGCAACAGCAAGCCAGATATGGGGCTTCCTGTGATTGAATGGGAATACGGCAACTCAGGTGATTGTTAAAGTGCCCCCAGGAAGTGTTCACCCAGGCATGAGGAATCGCCTAACTGTGCTTTGCTTTTCTGCAGTCATAACTATGACTTAGCATCCAAACCTTATCTGGCAGTTCTCTGCTGTCCTCCAGAACCCAGAACTCACTGAGCCCCTGGGGGAGGTGAATGTTAAGGTGTGCCTGCAGTTCACTCGTGTGACCTTTTTACTTGCCCTAGCATGTTTTCAAACTGGAGCAAGAAGAATACATGAAGGAACAGATCCCTTGGACCCTGATTGATTTTTATGATAACCAACCTTGTATCGACCTCATTGAAGCCAAGCTGGGTATCTTGGACCTGTTGGATGAAGAATGTAAGGTAAAACTGATGATGCAAATTAGTTCAATTCTAGGGTAGGGATGTGATACAAGGAAATCACATAAGATCTCAAAGGTGGAATTTCATCTGTGATCAGCTGGCCTTCAGTGTGCTGGAAGAAGCGTTGGCAGGCTGCATACTAGAAGCATGTACCATTCTGTGTGCTAGAAGGCAACATGTTTAAAGTGACTGGCAGGTGTTGCTACACTGGTAAACGTATGCCTCTCTTGGGGGAGCCTGGGTGGCACGGGTTGGCATAATATGGTGGTTTGGACTTGATGTCCCAGGTGACCTAGGTGCCAAGAGAAGAACTGCAACATCTAATGGGCATCCCTAGAGAGTGAAGACTAAAGTCTGGGATTGCTAATGCCACGTCAGATGGCTTGTGAGTGATAGAGTTGCATGGCATGGTGGCAGGTGAAATTCATAATTTCCCCATCTGGTTTCTGAGGGGCTGTACCTGGTGGGATGGGGTGAGTGCTGACTTGTCAGCCTGGAGAGTGCCTGGCAGCATTGGGAGGGTAAGGTTTAGAGGATCTGGGTTTTATCAATTACCTAACTTCTTTAGCCTCTGGTTTCCTGCTCGATGATAGGGGTTCATCTAATCTGCAAAATCTCTCCCAGTGGAGTGGTTGATTGCTAAAAGGGGTAAATATATACCAGTTCCTCCAGGGATGGAAACACTAATCAACAGGTATAAAAGCCACATGATTCTTGCTATTGCAAGGGAAAGAACCCACTTGCTTTTACTTTCTGCTCTCCCACATCTTGCCTGTAAAGGCTTAAGTGTGGCTTGATGGTTTGGTAGGAAGTGTTTCCTTTCAGAAGGGCTCTCCTAGTTTTGTTGCCTTTGAAAATGAAAGGGAAACAGTAGAAGACAGAGAAAAATATACCAGTTCTACAGCTTGCATATTTTTTTTTAACCTCCTGAAGGTTTTTAGCATTTCACTAGAGATGTGGGCTTCATCCCGAGAATCGGTATCCAAGCAGAGATAATCTCTCAGTGTAGCAAGTGTTTGTCCAGGCTTGCCTAACCTGAGGGGTAGCAGTAAAGGTAAAACAATTGTCCCTAGATTGAGTAGCATTGGCTAAATGGCTGAAGTCACAGCCTAGGCCATCCTGCTGTTCATGATTCACTTTTATTTTCTTGGTTTCAGCATCCACTACTACCACCTCCCTTCCCAAACTCAGCCAAGGTCATGCTCCTTTTCCCCAGTCTCTTTTGAGATTCCCATCAGTAACCGTCTCCTCCAGCTCCATACCCCCGAAGCTAAAGGCAGCGCCATGTCTTGTGTCCAACCCAGGCCTCTGGGATGCTAAGCTGGTGTGGCTCCCTGGGGCCAGTACTCAAGGAGGACCCTGGCTTTTCACTCTCCTCCCAAGTGGTGAAGGTGAAGGTCGTATACAGTTCTCAGGGCACATGGAGTAGGCAGTTTGTCCTACACAGGTTTGTGGAAAGCCTGGGTTTCCTGCCAATCAGGCTGGTGGGGGCTAGACATGTCAAGACATTGGGTGGTACTGTGGATGTGACACGTGTAAACTCACACTGGTGGCCAAGAAGATGAGTTGAACACCACATTAGGGAATAAGACAAAAGTCCACAATGTGGAGACTTTTTGTAACAGGTTTAATTGTTCTGGAAATTCAGGATGATTTAGCATAGTCTGATAGAGCATCAGTAACAGGTGGATTTTAAGCCAACAGGTGTTATTACATTTGTCAAAACTCACTGAACTGTATGCTTCAGTGAAAGGGTGCATTTTACTGCATGGAAATTATTCTGCAATGAACCTGACTTTAAAACATAGTAGGGCCTGGAAGCACCCATGTCTCTGAGCCTGAGGAGGTTAGGGAATCCCCCTGGGTTTGCCGTGGCTGGGCAACGCGGTGCTCCTTGGGAAGGATCCTGTTGGGCTGTGGAAGCAGCCTCAGACACGTCCTTTCTTCCCTGTCTCTCAGATACTTTGCAGGGTGAGAGTGAATAATACATTGCACTGTGAACAGTTGAGTTCTGTGACCCCATGAGACAGGACATAAAGTCAGATGAAGGATTGGACTCATGGTGCAGAAGCAGCCTGTGGGAAAATCACTTTTCTTGGGGAAGCTGTGCAGTGGCAGGCAGGGTAGTGAGCTGGGGTTTAGATAAGAAGTGTGGAGATGGGGTGGCTGTGAGTTTAAAGGGGGAGTGTGCAGGGAGCACTCCCCAGGGCCTGTGACTGGTGCCACAGCTGCAGAGGAGAGTGCAGACTGGACCAGGGTATTTATTAAACCACCTGAGGTGGAAAAGCCCCTTTGCAGACAGGCCCCAAACAAGCCACAGACTAAAATTGTTCCTCCGTTACCCAAGCCCACTCCTCCAAGAAGGTGTTTGAGTGTCAGCAATGTTAATTTCCAGGCTGCTCGTAACAAGACTCTCCAAAGATGTCTGGTGGCGGGTGGGGAGTAGGTGCCCACCAGCCCCTGCTGCCTTCTAAGCCCTATTTGGGTTGGGATTTCCTAATATCCTCTTCCCATTCATCAGTCCACTTTCTCTCAGAGGAACAGGCAACCTTGAACCCTGGAAGCAATTCTAGTAAGTGAAGCCCAGGCGCTGTATCAAGTTGGAGGTGTTGGAGCAATCAACGGCAGGTCTGAGTGGGGCGGCAGGCTCTGCCCTGTGTCCTGTGATGAGGATTCTTTGTTTCCTGGAAGAAAGGAAATCACTCAGGACTGTGGAGTGAAATCAGCTCACTCAGTGGGGAGGCCAGTGTCCCCCGCCCCCTGTTTCCTCACCTGGCCCAGCCTGCTGTCAGGAGGATTTACTCTGTATTCAGATCAGGGGATTGTGGTTTCTTAAGAAGTGGCCCCAAAGGTTTCCTTGTCTAGCGCTTTCGTGTAGAGGTGTGACTCCTGTGATGGAGGGAGGTGAAGTGCCCTTGCCACATTTATGTATTCATTCACATGAGAAACCACATGTTCACGGAATAGTGCACTGAGCCCCTGCTTTTCAGATGTCAGCACTTCTTGAGAGGGTCAGGCAAGCACTGAAGTGTCATCTTTGATGACACAGAACCAGAAACACTGTGGAGGAAATGACAGAAGGAAGAGCGTCGTGGGGAGAGCATTCCCAAGCGAAGTCAGATGAGGAGGGGGTGTTCCAGGTGAAGGGAATGTCACACTTGGAGAATTTGAAGTGATCTGATTTGTCTGGAACTCCTGGTGGGGGCAGGTAAGGTTGGAAAGTAGGGACCATGGGAGAATGAGAAGCCGTGTCCACCCTGAGCAGGCACTTGGGCTTCACCCTGAAGCTCAAGGTATCAGCCCACAGGGGAGAAGCAGGGGAGAGGGGTTCAGATGTGAATGATCAGATCAGCAGGTCTCCCAGACTGTGTGCAAGCTGAGGTGGGGAGACCCTGGAGGGGGCAGCACCCTGAGGCCATGTGGTAGGCCAGGCAGGAGAGAACCAGGGCTTCCAGGAGCTCAGCAGGGAGAGGGCCTCCGTGAGTCCCTTGGGTGGAGGACTTCCTTCCAAGGGAGTTGTTGGGACAGAAACCTAATTTCAGTAATTTGAGGAGAGCAGGAGGTGAGGCAGTGGAGACAGCGAGTTTGAACTCTTGGAGGCTTGGCTGTGAAAAAGAAGCGGTGCGAGAGAGGAGCATGGGCTTGGGTGGACTGCGGCCCTCCAGGAGGCAGGGGTGGGTGGATGGAAGACCAGCCAGGAGGGAGACCTTTGTTCCATGAGAAGGACAGAAAGGTGGGATGGCTGTGGGTGCAGATGAGTTTCTGCACGTTAGGACAGGAATTTGGGATTTCCTGCTTGACAGCTTCTATTTCCCCATGAAGGAAGAGACGAGGCATCTGCTGAGAGGCAGCAGGGTCAGAAGCTTGAAGAGAATGGAGGAAGGTGGGAATGGCTGCCCAGTAAACAGAAAGAGAAATTGCAGAGTGCGCAGATTGTTTGGCTGTGGTTAAAGACCATAAATTGGGGTTTAGGAGTTGTCGAGATCAACTTCCTCCATAGATCTAGGAACAGTGTCTTAATCCATAGAAGTGATTCTCCGAGTGAAATTCAGTTTTATTTTTTGGCTGCAGTACTTGTATAAAAGTATAATGGCAGGGCTTGGTTAAAGGAAGATGAGTTGATGTGTGGTCTCATCCAGCCACCCAGGTATGGGTAAGGAGAGAATGGGTAGTTGGATTTATCTAGAATTAATGTTTTGCTGAGCGTGCAGAGGGGTATTTTGTAAAGGTGAAAAATAAAGGCCTGGAAGCAGCACTGGGGGTGGCTGGCAGGTGAGGAGGAAGGAGCTGCCTCCATTCTAGAGAGCAGTGAGGACTGCAGAGTCCTGGGGGGGGCCAGCTGGGCTTCTGTGATGGCAAAGAGGGGAGGGGCCAGAGGGTACTCCTTAAAGAGGCTGGGGATCCAGAGGTATTTATGGTACAGTGATTTGAGAGGTCAGCAGGGGTACAAGGCCTGAAGTATGGAATGGAAGGAGACAGTGAGTGACCAGGAAGGTTGGTGCCAGTGGCCCAGGAAGACAGGGACGAGAAAAGAAGCAGACATAGAATAACTGGCCTTGGGGTCTGGTTTTTTTTTTTTTTTTGGCTTTTTTTGTTTTGTTTTGTTTTGTTTTGTTTTGAGACAGTGTCTTGTTCTGTCACCCAGGCTGGAGTACAGTGGTGTCATCACAGCTGTCACTGCGGCCCCAACCTACCAGGCTCAAGCGATCCTCCTGCCTTAGTCTCCCCAGTAGCTGGGGCTACAGGCAAGTGCCACCATGCCTGGCTAATTTTTAAGTTTTTTGTAGAGATGAGGTCTCCCTGTGTTGTTGCCCAGGCTGGTCTTGAACTTCTTGGGCTCAAGCCATCCTCCCACCTCGGCCTCCCAAAGTGCTGGGATTACAGGTGTGAGCCATTGCGCCTGGTTGGCCTTGGGGTCCTTAAAAGTCAGCTCCTGTCAGCAGCTTTGCTGGGGGCAGGCTTTGGCCTCAGAAGATGTCCCAGGCCAGCGATGGCAACATCTGTGATAGAGAGTGTACAGTTTCTGTTTAGAGATCCACAGGGAACATTGAGAGGGGCTCAGGGAGCCCAGAACTTGCACTCCCCCACTGCCATGCCTGCTTTTTTTTTTTTTTTTTTTTTTTGCTACTTTATTTTACTAGCAAGGAGTGGAATCAGGTCTAATGTATTTTTAACAGCTTTAATGAGATATAATTGACATACCATACAATTCACCCATTTAAAGTATACAATTTGGTGGTTTTTAGTATGTTCACAAGGTTGTGCATCCATTACCAACCACAGTCAATTTTAGAACATTTTCATCACCCCATAAAAAAGCCCTTTAGCAGCTATTCTCCATTGCCCCCCTCCAGCCCCAGGCAACCACTAATCTACTTTCTTTCTGTATGGATTTGCCTATTCTGGGCATTTAATACAGATGGGACCTTTACTTTTTGATGTGATCAGTGGCCAGTACCACAAGGTCAGAGGGATTTAGGCCTCTGAGGGACAGAACCTGCCTAGACGAGGACTGAGCTATGGTCCCGGCTCCTGGCTCAGTGGTCTCTCTGCGTTGCTTTGAGAAGAGCAGAAAGAAGTTCATATAGCTGTATGTGCATTTCCTTTTTAAAGGATTCAGTTCAGCTGCATATTATGGAGCTACCGATATCCATGACCCAGAAGTTATCAAAATATAAGATTTTTTTTCTTTCTCCTGTGGCTGTTTAAAATCTATTTCTATGGAAAGATTTTTGGAGATAAGCACCTTCTACCTTGTTCTGCTTTTGTGGCAGCCTTTAAAACTCTGTCGTCAGGCAGGAAGAATTAACTTGTCCTGTTTGGAACACCAGCTCTGCTATTTAATGGCAAAAGCCACAATTACTTTTGCACCAACCTGATACTTCCCCATTATGTGACCTTGGCAAGTTACTTAACCTCTCTGTCTCCATTTCCTTGTCTCTAAAATGTTTACAAACATAGCACCTAGCTGACATGATTGTATGAGGGTTAAATGAGTTGATACATCTAAAATGTGTAGAAAATGGCCTGGCAAACAATAAGCACTAGCTATGAGTATCATCTGAGACTCTTGATCATTGTTAATTCCTGCCGGCCCTTATTTTTGGTTGGAGGTGGGGTGGACAGTGAAAGGAGAGACTGATCCTTGTCAGAAAATTATGTATACACTTGACCTTGGTTGTTGGTTTCCTCTGCTTATTAATTCATGCCAATCTGAATTAGTGAATATGCAGGATTACGAAGTCTTCTCACAGAAGTCCAATTTCATCTCCAAGGCAAGAAGATTTTGTTCCTAGCCAATTTTACGTGTTTGCCTATGTGGGCTTCCCACCATGGTTCTGTCTGCCCCAGTTTTGCCAGTCCTTCTAGGTCCCTCTTGTGTTCGTCCTCTGTCCCACCCGGTCCTGACAGCCATACTGGGAAGACCACTCCTTCCTTCACACCCGGTGGTTCTAAACACAGAATGCTTGGAGACAAATATAAAACAGTATATATGGAAAGTGCTGAATTAAATATATTTTATTGTCTGCCCAGTGCAATTAATAGCCTCCTTCAAGATAGTTTTCTTTTCTTGAATTTCCTATGGTGTTTAGCATTGAGTATTCAATATTAGTTATGCCAAAATGAATCTTGAGCAAAATCAGTTTGCTTACAAAGGATTTAAGAAATTGGTTCCCAAGTATGTAAGCATTTTCTTTATGGTGCGGATTTTATTAGTTTACCATAAAAATCCCTTTGTAAACGGCTAGTGCAAGGGTCACCATCAACACTTCCTGATCCAAATATGCAATCTAAACCAAAGAAGGGCAGGTCAGTTAGTGACCCGTCACTGAGGACTGGACTGATACTGGTCAGTAAGTGTGTGCAGCGATGACCAGGGATGACAGAGGAGGGAGCACCTTCCCATTGGAAGAGTTGCTGTCATCCTTGACAATTTGAGTGGTGGTTACGGTGACTCTGTTACATTTTCAATGAAGTAAGATGCTTTTTACTTTTAAAGCCATCCATAAAGATATTGAAAGGGGCTGCCCTTCAGAATTCTTAATGCAGTGGAGCCTCTAAGTCTGACTTTAGACAGTGAGAGATGCAGAGATTAGCACCATGTAGAACACTCACTAGGTACTTAGTTCTCACTGCATGGCCAGAGCCCAGTTCTAAGTTCTTTCAGGGACACATAAGCAACGTAAGGCACAGCCAGTCCTTGATCACAACAAACTTACAGTTTGTAGTGATGAAACCCAAAACTCAGGGGTGCACAATATTCTAGGGCATGTGTAAGAGCTTGATTGTGAGGAATTCCAAAGAAGAGGGAAGTGAGATCAACAGTGGTCAGGAAAGGACAGACTTGAGCCAAACCTGGACAATGGTATCTAGGTGAGTTTAGGGAGGGAAGGTAGGCTTTCCTGTGGCAGGAGTTCACCTGGGTGAGTGGGTGAGCTTGGCACTGCAGGTGGATGTGTTTTGTGATGCTGATGTCACAGCCCCAGTTGCAGGGAAGTACCTTCAGGTGGTCCTGCAGGCTGTGACTCTGCTCCTGTGACCTTGGCTTTCACCCTCATCCTCCCTAGCACTTCCAGTGTCTGCCAACCAGCAGGCTCAGCTGCTCCCACAGGTCCCAAGGGAGCCAGCCCACATGGGATGAGGGCACGCCGTGGCCGGATCCTGAACATGTATGGTTGAATCATTCTTTGCACCGTCCAGTTAAGGTCCTGGTTCGAGGGCTGAATCAACCTTCACAGAGCCAGCCTACTGGTCCCATCCCTCTGCTGCAACCCAGGGCTTCCTTCTTCCTCTTCACAAAGCGCTCTGCCCTATCTTGTGGTTCTGCAGGTCCCCAAAGGAACTGACCAGAACTGGGCTCAGAAGCTCTATGACCGGCACTCCAGCAGCCAGCACTTCCAGAAGCCCCGCATGTCCAACACGGCCTTCATCATCGTCCACTTTGCAGACAAGGTGGCTCTCCTCTCTGTTGGCTCGGGTATTCCCTTGGCCCCTCTCTAAGTAGACTCAATGGGCTCTAGACCTAGAGAGAAATCTGTCCCTTCTGAATTCAAATGGCCTGAAGCCTCAGCTAGGTTCCCCTTCCATCCTCTTTTACCCACCCCTCTACTTCTAGGGGATACCAAGCTTACCACAAGGCATAACTTCACAGGGGGTACTATAGTTGCCCAGTCATTCATATATATATATGAATACACACACACACACACACACACACACACACACACACACACACACACATATAAATACATACACACATATATGTCTGTGTATATATATAGTCTATACACACACACATACACACACACACATGTCTGTATATATATAGTCTACACACACACACACACACACACACACACACACACACACATATATGTATATATAAATTCTAAAGCAGTTAACAGTCTACCCTCATGGAGCTTGAGAGAGAAGGGAGGGCTGTAAACAAAGTACCAAATGGTTTGGCTTCTTACCTGGAGCCTGTGTAGCTGCTCTTCAGGGGGCTGCTTTCTCAGTAGCTGGTGGGTGCATAGAATTTTTCTAAGTGGATTTCTGTTTGCTATGCACTAGCTCGGTGTTTCTTAAATTGCAGTGTGTGTATGAATCACCTAGGGTCTTGTTAAAATACAGATTGATTCATTGGGTGTGAGGTGTGGCTGAGAAGCTGCATTTATAGATCCCTGAAGAAACCTTTTATTATGGGAACTCCCTTTAAAACAATTTCTTCCACAAAATGAATACTCAGTTCCCTGTATGTAAATCCTGACCATTTATTGGGTTTGCATTTTAAGTGGAAACATCTGTGGGTTTCCTATCTACTCACAGCTCTTTTCAGAAAATGCTACCTGGATGAGATGAAAGTGGTTGAGAAACTGCTGAAGCACTAACGACTGTGTCTCTCTCTGGTTGCTGTGGCCCCAGGTGGAGTACCTCTCTGATGGTTTTCTGGAGAAAAACAGAGACACGGTGTATGAAGAGCAGATCAATATCCTGAAGGCCAGCAAGGTAAAGAGTGTCAGAAGTGGGGAGTGGAGCAGGAATGCCCACGGCCAGTGCTGGACAGGGAGTGGTGATGCAACCTCCTTGGGGTGGAAAGACAGAGATGCTGGGCAGGGAGGAGGCCAACGGGTTTGTTGGTCATTTCGGTATGAAAACAGTTGAATGGCCATACCACTGTGAATGTGTCCAATCTTGTCTGAAAACACTTTAGTATGGCCTGATGGAGGGAAGAAAGCAAGGAGTGTAGGGGTAGGGGGAGAAAACTGGGAAAGATGCCTGCTAATGGAGGGGATAGGGGAGCATGGGAGGTGACAGGAAGAGAGGACGGTGAGCGCAGTGATGGAAATGTGGCTGGTGTCCATCATGTCATCTGTCCTCCGTCTCCTGCCTGCAGATGTAAGATTATTTAAACCCCATCACATCTAGTATCTGCATTTAATTTGTTCAGCAGTCTATAGAACCTCTCTATAAGCAGAAACTTAATGGAATAGAAGGTGGGATTTAAGGAACACTTAAATCTACTACTTTGGACTCTTTCTCTGTTATTATCAGAATTTCATTTATTTCCAAGCATAGGAAAAAGGTAGCAAATATTGTGTCCATTCTACAGGTAGAGGAAAGAAGGCACCAATTCACCCAAACATATATTTACTAAGCACCTGCTTTGGAAGGCACTGCCCTAAACACACCATTTTCACACAAAGATGAGCAAGACAGAGTCTGCACTCTGGTTGCTCCCCTTCTAATGGGCTGTGAGTGGGCAGATGAAGACACCCACAGGTAACTGTGAAAGGAGAGAAGGAGCACGGGGAGAGGGTGGTAGAGTCAGGGGAAGCGTGTGCACTGGCATTCTAAAAGCCGACTCTGATGCAGATGCCGTTACTGGCTTTAGCCCTGCAGAGGAAACCCAGGGCCGGGGGTGGGGGAAATTCCCAGGATTTAGGAGGCTTTCTCCCAGACCACATGATACTGAACTCACTGCAGGGGCCTGATAACATTGGAGAAATGGCAGATTAATTTCTCTTTGTGATAAGCTTTAGATGAATGCAATAGGATGAGATGATAGAATGGAGAAAATATATCCAGCAAAATGGACCCAGGACATAAAGCCAAGTAAACCCTGTTCTATCACGTGGTGAGGGGTTTAGGGAGGATTTGAGTCAGTAGCAGCATGCAGACTGCCAAGAACAGACCCCTGCCCAGTGTGATCTCTGGATATCTGGAACATCAGAGAATTAGTCATCACTGGGACAAATTGGCCGTGGGTAAAAGTGAATATCACTTTGGAGTTCAATGCAAGATTGACCTTGCAGCTCCCTAAGTTTTTAGATCTCCAGTCTGTGGTGGTTAATGTGACTTTTTCCATTTTTTCATGAGGATGGTGGCATAGGGAGGAGCCCCAAGGCACAGGGAAAGAGAGTAGATGGAAGTGTTCTGAGCACTAGGATCCCCTTCCTCACGATGGTCTCTTACGATGCCTGGAGGCCTGTGACAACTTATAGGGCCAGAAAACTCTGTTGTCTCAGTAGAAGTTTGTCCTTTCAGATTAGAAGCAGAAACGAGGGATGGAGAGAAGAGAGGTGGGTACTTTTCATTTAATACAGAGTCTGGTTCTGCCATTGTGTTGATTTCTGAGCATCTTAATTTGAGTGACTCTCAGGGATTCCAGAATCTAAAAAGGAGTGGTGCCCGGAAAACTCTGTTATATTCACTCTCCAGCAGGTTATCTTTTATTAATAGCTGAGCTGCTTTTCCCTTATTTTTATTTATCAGCTTTATTGAATATTTGTGTAGTATATAGTGGTAACCGACACATGTAGTTAATCTCATGGAACTTAGTGAAAAAGATGCACAGTTTAATTACAAACTGTGGTAACGCTAAGAAGGTCAAGAAGAAGGTGCTATGGAAGAGAATGATAAGGGTAGGTTGGTGGCCCCCAGGACCACCCCCAGGTTCAACCATTTGCTAGGAAGATTCACAGAACTTAGCATATAGTTATGGCTATAATTTGTTACAGCAAAAAGTAAACAGCAAACTCAGCAAAGGGAGAGGTGGATGGGGTGACGTCTCCCGGAGACCAGGCACAAGCTTCCAAGAGTCCCTTCCACCTGGAGTCATACAGGATGCACGTAATTCCCCCTAGAAGCAAGTCATGACACTTCTTTTGACATGCCTACCAGGGAAGGTCACCTGAGCCCAGGCGGCCAGGGTTTTTATTTGGGGTTGATTATGTAGGCACCCTTAGCCTAGCACAAACCAAAATTCCAAACTCCCAGAAGGAAAGCAGATGCTCAACATAAATTATTGTTTGCATGAACAATTTAGGCACAGTGAACTGTTCTTATCAGGGAATGGTAAAAATCCAAGTTCCCCTGACACCAGCCAGGGGTCAAGCAGCCTTTCTAAGGATAGCAGATGCAGGCCTGCTGTGTTAGCTCTTTTCTATACAAGAATATTGTTTTAGATTGCAGGTACTGGGTTTTTATTAGAAATTAAATGTAAGCTCATAAAAAATTAAAGTATTGTAGAAATATATAAAATAAGTCTTCTTTCCCACTCCTTGACCCATCTTTTGATGGGTCAGAATATACCCTATTCTGCATGTTGGTACATCTTTTTAAGATTAAAATAAGTACATTATAGACACGTAGTCCTCTGTAATTTAATTTTTCAGTTACCATTGTATCTTGGTTGTCTTTCCACACGAGTACACATCTATTTCTCTTTTTTAAACAACTGCTGATAATTTGCTATTTCAAATAATGTAGCAATGAATATCCTTTATGTATATCTTTGCATACTTCTGTACAATTATGTCTGTTGGGTAAAATTTTAGAAGCAGATTGATGATGGTTCAAAGAGTATGCACATCAAAAGTGTATAGATGTTGCTAAGTTGGAGGACAAAATAGGTGTGATCTACTCTTGAAATGCAACTTCCTCCTCCTCTTTCCTGCCCACTAACCACAATGCTAGCTTTCCCCCTCACCAGCTAAAACGTCTAAAGAGCCAGTGACCTTTTTGCCACCCCTGTCCCCATCCCAGCAACAACCCTGAGATGTGGTGATGTTGGCTGGCAGCACTGAGATTAACCAAGAAGGGCTCTGGCTAACCAGACCCTAGCTGGAGGAGGGCTTGAGAACTCTCTACCCTGAGCCCCTCCTAGCCTGTTTCAGACGTCTCAAAAGACAGAAAGCAAAGATTGTTGCTGTATCACCATAAACCTGCAGATGGGCTATACACAGACTGCAGCTGCAAATCAAAGAGTGATTCTAAGTATGCTCTACACCATTTGGGCAGATGGGCATGTCTGGCAGCATCTGTCATTTTAGTATCTTTAAAGCTCATCATTTACTGAGTGATGAGTCTATTTTCTTTAAAATTTTTAGTTTTCATAGTAGCCCTATGAGGCATATGTTTCTAACTCCATATTAAAGAAAAATGAAAACCTAGAAAGATACAAGTTTC
The DNA here is from genome assembly GCF_000001405.40 of Homo sapiens. Classification (NCBI taxonomy): domain Eukaryota; kingdom Metazoa; phylum Chordata; class Mammalia; order Primates; family Hominidae; genus Homo; species Homo sapiens. Next base: position 49,949,797 of record NC_000018.10, on the reverse strand, counting down.
TATGTCATTACATTAAAATTGTAACGCTTAATTTTTTATTGGTTTTCATTTAGCACAGCTAAATCTCAAATCCTGTTTGTAAATTCATAATTTTACCTAAAGTACTTTTATTTTATGAGAGACTTTTTTTTTCTGTTGGGTGACATCCTTGATAAGAAATTAACAAGTCATCATGAATAATTAAGCAGTAGGGGATAGAAGACACCCATATACTCTACCAACCAAAGGGATGTTCGAAGAACTCCCACTACGAGCAGTGAAATAACAGGGTGTTAATGAGAATGTAATTAGTGAAGCCAGTTCCATTGTCTGAGCGGTTGTAATGTAGCTAATTGCTTTCTCAGCTATCGGAGCTGTAAATAGAGACTTAAGTAAAGAGATGCCTCTTTAAAACATGACTTCAAGTTATTAACAGAGTCATTTTCTTTAAATACTAAAGGATGGAGGTTTTCCTTTTTTTTTTTTTCCAGTTTTCCAGTTTTTATTTATTGTGAAAAGGAATAATTTATCAACCAGGAGAAAAAGAAAACTTTAAAAGGAGAATGTTTTTCCTCTGAAGATTGCCTATTCCTGGCCACCACTACATGTAGGTCAGAGGGACAAGCTGTGGGTCACGTGTTTGTGCCAGCATGTGCTGGGCAGTGAGGGTGTACTGGGCAGTATTTCTGGGCTATGGGACAGGCATCCCAGTGCCATCTTTCCACTCTATCCCAGCATAAGGGATCTTGAGATGAATGTGGTCCAGAGACCACCTTGGCCCAAAGCTACTTACCCTGAGTTCATGAACCCTACACCTCCTTCCCAGAATTAATTTTCCAACAAACTCATCCACCTCTGAATCTCAGAGATCCTACCACTTCCAAGTGCAGTCTCAATGACAGGGACCTACAATTAAAACCTAGATTTTAAAATAAAATACAAATTCACCAGACTGAACCTTGGTCATGTTGGTACCCAAATTACAGCACAGGAGTCGCAGGAACAGCTCACACAAGGCCCAGGTGTTCACTCCCCTTCTCCCTCCTGCTGCTTATGGCTTGACTTCAGCTTGTCAAGGAATGACAAGTACACATGTCCATTGCTTTCCACACTGATGTGTTTTTAAAAGGTTATATACACACACCTTGTTTTGACCAAATAAGTTTGCTTTTTAAAAATCTTATGTTTACTTTTAATTTTTTAACTTATTTTCTGAATAGGAGCTTGAGATAATAAACATACTATAAAATGTTCTCAAATGTACTTTGCTTCCTGTTTAAGATGTGCTGGTATTTGAAAAGCTTCTGCCAATACTTAAACCAAGCAGGGTACTATGTAGGATAACTTTTTAGTTGACAAAACAATATCGTCTCCCTTATGATACAGGAGAGTCCATGTTGTCTTCCAAAAAAAATGAAGTACTGAGACTTTTCCTCCAAAGCCTATTTAAAACCCTTTTAAAATATTCATCTAAATGTCAGAGATTTTTCCCTCCAAAGGGTACCATTAGTCATGTAAAAAGAATTGATTGAAAGGAAAAATGTGTTTATTATGTTTACAGCCATAGATTTCTTTTTAAAGAAAAGATTCTGGGGAAGAGACACCACCCAAACTGTTCTTATACTATGTCTTATTTTAACTTTATGTGTCTGTTTCAGAGGAAATATCTTTTATATTCTTATAAACACAAATGAGTAGGTGTGATTTCCAAGGTAACAGCTATGTGTCAGCTGTAATTGACTTTTTATTTTATTATTATTATACTTTAAGTTTTAGGGTACATGTGCACAACGTGCAGGTTTGTTACGTATGTAGATAGCATTAGGAGGTATACCTAATGCTAAATGACGAGTTAATGGGTGCAGCACACCAACATGGCACATGTATACATATGTATACAGATGTAACAAACCTGCACGTTGACTTTTTTTAAACTGCCAAATGGCCTTTACAAAGTTTTTTCATGCTTCTTAGTCCCTTTTTGATTTGCCCCAGGCTTTTAAAAGCTATATATAGGAATGAATAGCAGAGAATACCAAAGCCAGTCCCTATGTACAGGTTTTAAACAAGTGACAGGAAAATATTGGTTTGTCTGGAGGTGCTAGCTTGAGTGTTTGAGTTCGAAGGGGACAAATTGTGAGAAATGCCCGGGTGGCTGCCCTAAGGTAAATTGTGGCAGCTCTCTTACTGCTCAGTCAGCTTATAAACAGACTGCTTAATAACTCTAAACACATAATTGGAGTTTGTCAATTGCCCTGATCTGATTACTATACACTATATATGTCAAAACTAGGTACCCCATGTATGTACAGTTATTATGCGTCAATTAAAAAATAAAAATTTAAAAACTTCTTTTCGCTCAGAAATGTGATCCTTTGTATGGGTCCTTTGTCAAGTAAGAGCTTGGTGACTACGGCTGGGTGCGGTGGCTCACGCCTGTAATCCCAGCACTTCGGGAGGCCAAGGCAGGCGGATCACAAGGTCAGGAGATCAAGACCATCCTGGCTAACATGGCGAAACCCCATCTCTACTAAAAATACAAAAAATTAGCCAGGCGTGGTGGCGGGCGCCTGTAGTCCCAGCTACTCGGGAGGCTGAGGCAGGAGAATGGCGTGAACCCGGGAGGTGGAGTTTGCAGTGAGCTGAGATCGTGCCATTGCACTCCAGCCTGGGTGACAGAGTGAGACTCCGTCTCAAAAAAAAAAAAAAAAAAAAAAGAGCTTGGTGACTACTTTTCATTGTGACTCTGGGCTTGTGTATAGTTGGGACACTTCTCAGGTGAGGTATCCTTACGTAGCCCAATCTTCTTAAGGGATGGGTGTGGATGGAACCATAATTTGTATTTCTTGCCTGGGTCTTTTGCGGATGTCTACAGCCCAGCGTTGAACATGGTATCTCTTAGTCTTTCAGTCCTGTCATCAAACTAGATCTCTTATGTTCATTTGAGTTTATAAAACAAATTTTGAATAGAATACGAAGCATACTGGTACCTCCTTTTGAGAACTAATATTCCAACACAGTCATCTCCCTCTAAATCCCAGATCCTGCCACTGCCAAAGGCAGTCTCAACAGCAGGAACTTAAAGGAAAACCTAGCTTTTCAAATAACATACAAATTCTTCAGACTAAACCTTGATTATGTTGATTCCAGATTATAGCACAGTGCCAGCTTAGGTACAAATCTGCCTTGGACAGTTTTTACTTTCTGTTCTTAAGTTACAAAGTCCCTGTTTAATGTATAAAATTAAAAGCATAGATAGCCTTTCTAATGGAAGCAGGAGAAAGGGGCTGAAATCTTAAAATTCTCCCATTGGTGATTCTGATTTCCAAGTTCCTAGTGTGATTTTTCATACAGATCAAGCATCACAAATCTAGAATGCTCTAAAATTTGAAACTTTTTGAGCACCAATATGACACTCAAAGGAAATGCATCTACGGCCATACCACCCTGAACGTGCCTGAGCTTATCTGATCTCAGAAACTAAGCAGGGTCGGGCCTGGTTAGTGCATGGATGGGAGGAAATGCTTACTGGAGTATTTTTGCATTTTGGATTTTCAGATTAGGGATGCTCAACCAGTAAGTATAATGTAAATTCTCCAAAATCTGAAACACTTCTGGTCTCAAAATTCTCAAATTTTGAATAACGGATACTCAATCTGTACCTGTTAATGACCTTAGGGCTTAATATTTTTTTTTTTTTTACAGTAAAAGCTACTATGAATGATTTCTGTAAATTTAACCCCCTCCCCACTACCCAATAGTATAGTTATGCAGATTGGTAACTTCTACCCATGCCTCAAACATCTTGAAAATTCACTTCAGAAAGTATATGAATTAGAATTATTTAATAAGCCAGTGTTTTGCTTTGCCATGACAGACAGGCATGAATCACAATGGCATCTTCAAAATGTGAACCTGCCTCCAGCCTCCCATTATTTCCCCATGGAGCTTTCTCAGCACCAGTCTGACGGGCCACTTTGTCCTTTCTTACCTGTGTCTTGGCTCTCTGGCCCTGGTCCATGGAGCCCCCAGGCCCAGCTCTCCTCTCCTCCTCCTCCTCCTCCCCTCCTCCCCTCCACCAGCCCATTCTGCTCCTGCCACTCTCAGTGTTTAGTTCACCTGAACACTGTTCATCTATGGCTTTCTGCCATAGACAGTGAGGACAAACAAATGGGCCTTTAACATGTGGCTACTGGATAAGGTTTGCATCCAGAGAAAACTCTGGCTGTTGGTTGGAATGTGTTTGGGTGAAGGTGTGCCCGGAGGTATGCCCTCACGCTTTCGGTGACTGTAGTGATCCAGGAGAGAGCTGGGTAGTCCTGAGCTGGAGCAGCAGCTCCAGCTCCAGATTAATGAAAAAAAAAAGGACTGCATGATACTCCCCTGTGGGCAGAACTTGGTACTTGATTGAGATATAGGAAGTAGGGTGAGGACAGGATTCTAGCCTAACCTAGGAAGTCAGTGGGTGAAGGTGGTTTGGGCTGTATTGAATTCGGAGTTCCCAGTGGAACACCTAGAGGAAAGAAGAGCGAGCTGGAATTGTGAATCATAGTAACAGGAAAAGATCCAGACTGGAGTGGCAGGATCTGGGAGGGATGGTTGGAGCCATGGCCTAGGGGAGACTGTCCCCAGGGACTGAGGTAAGTGGTGAGGATGAGGCTCTGGAAAATGGCAATGCAAAGGATGGAAGTGCAGGAAAAAGCCCCGTGGGAGGTTCTGGGAAGGGCGCCGGGCAGGGAGAAGATTAGAGGAAGCAGAACTGCTAAGTGTCAGGAAGGGACCTTTACAAGGAGGCGTGGGCCAGTGGCACAGAGGCCTTTGAAGAGGTCGGGTAGGATCAAAAATGAAAGCACACCACTTCTAGCCATTGGACTTGACAAGCACTGGAGTTGCTTTCAAGGTACATTTCAGCAGCATGGGGAGGAGGCCATCTGGTGGAGGGAGGTCTGAGGAGGAGCGGCGTGGAAGGCGGTGTCTGTCTGTGGATGCCTTGCTCGAGGTGATCGATGGTAAAGTGAGAAGAGAGACAGGCTGAACAGGGAGGGGTTTGAAGCAACAGAGAAGCTTGAACGTAGCTGTATGCTTGGTGGATAGAAGCCAGGGGATGGAGTGATTCAAGTATAAGAAAATGCAGGAATCCAGGTCAGGGAGTGACTTAAAGGAATCATCTGGTCAGCTCTTCCATTTATATAAATGAGCAAGTTAAAATCTAGTAAGCCTGAGAGGTTTGCCATGGGCCACACGGCTATCAAGTTGCAGGGTCATATCTAAAGTTCAGGTCTCCTGACCCAGCCCCATGCCCTTCCTGCTATACCTCATTACTTCTGAGCTCACTGCTAGGTTGTAAGCTCTTCTGGTCTCCATGGTCTCCCTTGACTCCTCTAGGCACCCAGGACAGGGCTTCATGTGCAGTGGGCTCTTCCTTATGCTGTAGCCAGGGATCTGTTTAGAAAGAACTGCCATTGCTGGTTCTAGTCATTGCCGTTCTCTGTGGTGCATTGTTGCTTGGACTCTGGAGACAGGCTGTCTGGGTTCAAATCCTGACTATGCTACGTACAGCTCTGTGATCTTGGGCCCTAAGTCTCAGTTTCCTCATCTGTAAAATAGAGTGCAATGGTGCTTACACCACTGGGAGGCTTGGAGGAGTTCATGTGTGCCAGGCATAGTCAACGTGCTCAATAAATATTAGCCCCTGTTATTTTAACCCTTTAATGGCTTCCCATTGCTCTTAGGATAAAAATAAAAATTCTTAACTGAGGCCTACATGAGCTAGTCCCTCTTGCTTCCTTCTCACTGTGTACATTGTACGTTGACCAGCTTTATCTTAGCCCCCCGAATGCACAGAGCTCCTTCATAGGTGCCATTACTTCCACCCCATAACATGCTGTCCTCCCCATCCAATGTCCTACAGTTCAGACTTCCCTCCCTAAGAGAATCCTGTCTTCATTTCCCACATCCCAGACCCCCGATTTAGTCGCATCTTTGTTGTTGATTTCCTTTAGGATATTCATCTTCTTGTCATTATGTTTTTAATTGTGGGTTATTTTCATTAGCATTCACCTTCCATGCTAGACCATAAACTCCATGATATAGAAGAGGCTAGGCTTCTTCTATAACACTTTTGTTTTACCAGTTCCTAGCACAACATTTGTTGCATATTTGAGCGTCAGTAAGTGTTGATGGATAATGTGTGGATGAATGAATGAATGCACAAACTAGTCAATCTAGTTTCTTGACAGTCAGTGACCTAGTATTTACTTTCTCTGCTTTGACTGCACATGGAATTGAGTACCTAATACAAATATCGGTTTTTTATGATGTTGGCATATGGATTTTAGCCACAGATCTTAAATTGTGTTTTTATTTCTGACAGCTCACTAGTTACCTTGCCATCTAAAAAGACAATATTTATGACTTTGAAATGCCATGCATGAAGAGAGGGAGGAAAATTTTTTTTTTAATTATACTTTAAGTTTTAGGGTACAACGTGCAGGTTTGTTACATATGTATACATGTGTCATGTTGGTGTGCTGCACCCAGTAACTCGTCATTTAACATTAGGTATATCTCCTAATGCTATCCCTCCCCCCTCCCCCCACCCCACAACAGTCCCCAGTGTGTGATGTTCCCCTTCCTGTGTCCATGTGTTCTCATTGTTCAATTCCCACCTATGAGTGAAAACATGTGGTGTTTGGTTTTTTGTCCTTGTGATAGTTTGCTGAGAATGATGGTTTCCAGCTTTATCCATGTCCCTACAAAGGACATGAACTCATCATTTTTTTATGACTGCATAGTATTCCATGGTGTATATGTGCCACATTTTCTTAATCCAGTCTATCATTGTTGAACATTTGGGTTGGTTCCAAGTCTTTGCTATTGTGAATAGTGCCGCAATAAATATACATGTGCATGTGTCTTTATAGCAGCATGATTTATAATCCTTTGGGTATATACCCAGTAATGTGATGGCCGTGTCAAATGGTATTTCTAGTTCTAGATCCCTGAGGAATCGCCACACCAACTTCCACAATGGTTGAACTAGTTTACAGTCCCACCAACAGTGTAAAAGTGTTCCTATTTCTCCACATCCTCTCCAGCACCTGTTGTTTCCTGACTTTTTAATGATCGCCATTCTAACTGGTGTGAGATGGTATCTCATTGTGGTTTTGATTTGCATTTCTCTGATGGCCAGTGATGATGAGCATTTTTTCATGTGTCTTTTGGCTGCATAAATGTCTTCTTTTGAGAAGTGTCTGTTCATATCCTGCGCCCACTTTTTGATGGGGTTGTTTGTTTTTTTCTTGTAAATTTGTTTGAGTTCATTGTAGATTCTGGATATTAGCCCTTTGTCAGATGAGTAGATTGCAAAAATTTTCTCCCATTCTGTAGGTTGCCTGTTCACTCTGACGGTAGTTTTTTTTTTTTTTTTTTTTTTTTTGCTGTGCAGAAGCTCTTTAGTTTAATTAGATCCCATTTGTCAATTAGATCCCATTTTTGCTTTTGTTGCCATTGCTTTTGGTGTTTTAGACATGAAGTCCTTGCCCATGCCTATGTCCTGAATGGTATTGCCTAGGTTTTCTTCTAGGGTTTTTATGGTTTTAGGTCTAACATTTAAGTCTTTAATCCAACTTGAATTAATTTTTGTATAAGGTGTAAGGAAGGGATCCAGTTTCAACTTTCTACATATGGCTAGCCAGTTTTCCCAGCACTATTTGTTAAATAGGGAATCCTTTCCCCGTTGCTTGTTTTTGTCAGGTTTGTCAAAGATCAGATGGTTGTAGATATGCAGCATTATTTCTGAGGGCTCTGTCCTCAGACATAGATCCCATTGATCTATGTCTCTGTTTTGGTACCAGTACCATGCTGTTTTGGTTACTGTAGCCTTATAGTATAGTTTGAAGTCAGGTAGCATGATGCCTCTGGCTTTGTTCTTTTGGCTTAGGATTGACTTGGCAATGCGGGCTCTTTTTTGGTTCCATATGAACTTTAAAGTAGTTTTTTCCAATTCTGTGAAGAAAGTCATTGGTAGCTTGATGGGGATGGCATTGAATCTGTAAATTACCTTGGGCAGTATGGCCATTTTCACGATATTGATTCTTCCTACCCATGAGCATGGAATGTTCTTCCATTTGTTTGTATCGAGAGGGAGGAAAATTTATTTCAAAGATGCTGAGAAGCTGAGAATAGGAACAGAATTGTCACCTGTTGGCAGCTAACACTTGGGGGCATCCTTAGTGATCTCACTGGGGTACCCTCCAGGGTACCTGCCTGACAACAATATCATCAGTATCCTTAGCAGGGATTTGTCTCTTTATCTCCTTCCATGGAGCTATTTAGACTCTGCATATTGTGAATAGGATTATCCCTTCCATGCCCTCAAGCAGGGATTTGAGGTGTGCTTTGCTCAGAAATATGGTAGCATTCTCTAGTGCTAATCATGGTGTCAGCAGCCTATTGTAGCCACAGAATAGCCAGCAGTGAGAATGGGCTTGGGCTGCTCACCAGAGATGGCCTTAAGATCATTGGTTGGTGCTTTTAGACTGAACTTAGAACCCAGGCCAGGGAACTAAGGAACTGCAACTTTTATTTGCATGCAAGTCACTCTGGTGGAAAATGGAAATTGGATGCTTCTAATGGTTGGTGTGTCTGTGAGAAATGAGGAGTGTGAGGGAAAAGTGAAACTGACACGTGTTGATTCCCGCATGATTGTCCATGTAGGTGCACATGAAACACAGTTGTTTCATGGCTTTATAACCCATTAGACTAGCTCCTGTGCTGTGTAAAACAAAACACTGACTTGTGTTAATTTCTCTTGACTCTAAAACTGAAGCTACTAAGATGTATGAACTTTGTAATAACTAAGAATGAGGTAAGAGGAACTAATTTTTTTGTATGTTTTTAGTTTAAAATGCTTGATGTAGAAGATTAGCCCATAATTTTCACCAGCATTAGGTGCTGTTTTAAACATTAGGCATTGTAACCTTGTACGTATGTGCAGGTGGGCACACTCATTCTAATCCACTGTGATAGTGAAGTGTTCCTGCATAAGGTGAGGCTTAAGTCTTGCTGAAAACAAACCCTTGGATCCGTGGAATTCATACAAGTTGCTTTATGCTTGATCTTATCCAAAAGGCCTAGAAGTGATATGGGTTACTTTAATATGTGAAAAATACCAGAGTCGTCAGACTGAGGGGGGTTCACTGAGCAAAGTGTCTGCATCTCTCCAGTTTCTCCTTGGACGTGACCTGGGTAGTTGCTGATGGTCTTATGCCTGCCTTAAGTGAGGTCAGGTTGCAAGAAGCCCCATGGAAATGGGATGGTCATCATGTGTTTTATAACCCCCATCATATCACCCTGGAACTCCAGCACAAAGGTACCTAATAAGGTTGCAGAAACTGCCTTTGAGTGTGCGAAGTCACCTGAATCTGACAGGTTCTGAGAACAGTTCTAGTATGCCACCAGCACCATCTTGCTACTCTGTCTGGACACTGTAATGTGCTGATGTGATACCATGACTCTGTACTGTCAGGTATCTCTGACTGCAGAAGGGAGATGAGCCAGGGCCCACTGTAGACTGTAATGTGAAAAAGCTCATACTCATTGCGTTGTTTTGATATGCTTCTAGGACTTTTTGAATTCACCTAGAATAGTGAATTATTTTGTGAATTTTGGACCTATTCTTACATGATTCTTTCTTTCCAAGCTCTTGGCATGATGCTGTTGATATGAAAGCCTTTGTAGGTACTCAGTAAATACTCCACTAGGCTGGAACTTAATTTATTGAAGGTCTCGGCAGTGCAGAGCATCACCAGAGCATGAGCTGTCACTGCTATATGGGACCTGTAGCCATACATGAAGATGATGCTGCATCTTCAGTAGGTAGCTTGCCTTAGCCTGAATCTCCTACAAGTCTCAGGAGATGATGTCAGCTAGAGAAATGTTTCATGGAAGTGTTATCTTATGTATTTAATTGTTGTTGCAAGTACCTCAAAAGTCAAGGCTATATCTGAAGCCCTTTTATATTTCTACTTCCTTGATATTGTGGGTTTAAATGACAAGGCTATATTTCTGTATTGAAACAAATTCTGACCTGGGCATCCGGAGGCCGAGGTTCTAGCCCAGGCTCAGCCACTGACTAGCAGCCCTTTGAGAGCTGGTGCTGACCATTGTGCTTGGTGGTGGAGGGAACAGAGGTTGGAGCAGGATTCCGGTAGGTTCCTTCTCCCCAGTCGCCTACATCCTCACCTGCCACATGGAGGTGAAAGTTGACCTTTACATTTGTTCCAGATCTAAAATTCTATGTTGTTTCTTCAGATCAAAAATACAACTTTCTTAAGCATCTGTACTTACGTGGTTCAGAAAGATCATTCATGTAGGCCGGGCATGGTGGCTCACACCTTTAATCCCAGCACTTTGGAAGGCCGAGGCGGGCGGATCACGAGGTCAAGAGATCGAGACCATCCTGGCCAACATGGTGAAACCCTGTCTGTACTAAAAATACAAAAATTAGCTGGGCATGGTAGTGCACGCCTGCAGTCCCAGCTACTGGGGACACTGAGGCAGGAGAATCGCTTGAACCTGGGAGGCAGAGCTTGCAGTGAGTTGAGATTGCGCCACTGCACTCCAGCCTGGTAACAGAGCGAGACTGTTTCAAAAAAAAAAAAAAAAAAGAAAAAAAAGAAAGAGTGTTAATGTATATAACCCCTAGTAAAAGTAATAAAACTAGATAATGTCTGAGCCCTATATGCTGGACACTTTTCTACATGCTTACACGGATTCTCTCATTCAGTCCTCTCCTCAGCCCTTGTTCTCAGGAGGAAGGGAAGTCTCAGCAAGTGTAGAGCTCAGGATTCAACACAGACCTTGAGGGGGTGAGGGTGTCCCAGGACACCACAGAGCCTGTGGGAGACACAGACAGGAGTGATGGGTGCTTTGGGAGAGGGTCACGGGAGGGGCAGGGCTCAACCTTGAGAGAGGGGCCTCTCAGGATAAGTATAGAAGAGAAAGGGGTGGGGGTATTTCAAGTAAAAATAGCACAGTAAGCAAAGGTATAGAGGCAGGAGTAGTGAGCATTGTGCCTATGAGACAGCAACGTGACCAGTTGGATGGTTTTGCAAGGTATTGTCTGAGAGGGGTGAGTGGGATCTGATCAGGGAGTCCTCAGACACTAGACTAGGGATTTCAGACACAATGGCAGGAGAGGGGAGCCATGCACTTAAGTGGGGGTTAAAGGAAGAGGGCACAGGGTAGGTGAGAAGGAGCAGAGCCTAGCATCTGAGGCTGTAGCATTTAGCCTCTCTTCTGTTGAGATTGGAATTGCTCAAGGTTAGTGAATGGGGCCTGTATGTTCCTTTTCCCTCCCTCCTTTTCCCCCAACCCCTGCAGGAGTGTGGTAAAAGCCTTGTAATACTTTATTCTAGCCCCAGCATTGACTTCCCCAAGGGATGATGACAGGACTGTGTTCCTGTCAGACTGAACTTCTTGATGGCTGGGACTCTGTCACCAGCGCCTCATCCAAGGCCTGCATCTTCACCTTGTTACAGATGAAGATATTAACCTCTTATTTAGTATTCATAACAACCCCATATAACAGGCATAGGCTTATCCCTATTCTGATGAGAAAACAGGTATCAGGGAAGTTAACTTGACAAGATGCAATAATGTAGAAAAATAGAACTTAAACTTAGGTGTATTAAAGCATAGCCACCTCCTACCACACCACAAGGAAATGAAGTTCTGCGCATCTTTGCAGGTGAAGATTGAGTGAGATTGTATGGGAAAGCAACTTTTTTCCTACCATTTAAAAAATTGAATTGTCATTCATACATTACAAAATTCACCCTTTTGAAGCACACAATTCACTGGGTTTCAGGATGTTCACCAATTTATGCAGTCATCACCACTAAAAGTCTGGGAATATTTTTATTACTCCAAAAAGAAATCCTGTCCCCCTTAGCAGGCACTCCCTTTCTCCCCTTCTTCCCCTTCCTCTTCCCCTTTCTCCCCCAACCCCTAGCAACCAATAACCTACTTTCTATTCCCTGGATATTTCATGTAAATGGAATCACACACTATACGAACGTTTGTGTCTGGCTGCTTTCACTTGGTATAATTTTTTTGAGGTGTGTCCATGTTGTGGCATGGATCAGGAGGTCATTTCTTTATATTGAATTTATTAATAATGTTGAATAATCCATTGTATGGAGGTACCACATTTGTTTGTCCATTCATCAGTTGGTATTTGGGTTGTTCCTACCTTGTGGCGCTTTTGGGAGTAACGCTGCTGTGCAGGTTGGTGTGTGGGTTTTGGCGTGGATGTGTGTTTTCCGTTCTCAGGTATATGTTGAAAAGCAGCTTTGAGAGGAAACATGTAAGGTGCAGGAGATGTCACTTTCATCATTCTTCCTGTGATTGTTTCTAGTTCCCACTAGTGGCTGACTTGTTTCATGATGACAAGGACCCTGTTCCTGCCACCACCCCTGGGAAGGGGTCATCTTCGAAGATCAGCGTCCGTTCTGCCAGACCCCCCATGAAAGTCTCCAACAAGGAGCACAAGAAAACCGTTGGCCACCAGGTCAGCCCCGGACCAAAAGCTATGGGCTGAGGTGCATGTGCAGGGCTGGCCTCTCTGTAGATGAAGGATGGCGGCAGGGTGAGAGGGAAGCCATCACAGCAGCCTTGACATCAGTAGCCTCAGCCATCCAGCTCTATCTTGTGTCCTTAGAAGAAGGAAACTCCAATACCTTCACCACAAGGAACTAACAGAGGGAGGAGGGAAGGGGCCGACCGTAGCCTCCATAAGTATGTTAACGCCTGTGGTGGGGCTGTGCCACAGGGCCAAAGACACCTAGTGTGGGAGGCAAGAGGGCCTGGAATTTATAGGTTAGAGAGGAGGCTTAAGGAAGCTGTGGATCAGGAGACTAAAAGCAACTTCTCCTGCTGTGGGGTCTCTGTGGCTGTTCTGCCCATTGTGTCTCTGGAGAGAAGAGAAGAGAATGCTTGTCAAGTCCCTGGCAGCCACCACCTAACATTTGTTCCTATGAGTTTGCCATTCTGGACATTTAGTATAACAAATTATTTCCAGGATACCCAGGCATCGGATGTCAGGGTCCCAGGCCCTCAGGTTTAGGAAGAGCAGGCTTCCGGTGCACAGTGACCAAATCTCTCCTACAGTATTTGCCCACCTTTCATCTTATTTGATCCACAGCACTGGGAGTTAGGCACATTAGGGGGTAGTCTGTCCCCCATGTAATTCAAGGAACCCTTAAATAGGAAGGACTTGATTTTGGTCACAGCAAGATAGCAGTGTCAGAGCTGGAATCTTACCCCAGGTCTCTGAAATTTCTTCCATCCTTCTGGATTAATAATATAATAGTAACAATAACTACCGCCACCCATATATGAGTTTTTCTTTATCACACATCCACGACTTGTTAAAACTAACCAAGCACTGGCTTTTGTCTCTCTAGTTCCGTACCTCCCTGCATCTGCTCATGGAGACCCTGAATGCCACGACACCTCACTATGTCCGCTGCATCAAGCCCAACGATGAGAAGCTCCCCTTTCAGTAAGTGCCTGCTGGGCATTAGCCTGTCCAGCCCAGCCTTAGAGGTTCAGGTGGAACAGGGTGGCCCAGGCCTTGCCTGGGGGTCTGTGGCCTTCAGCATGATGACCACCTGGACTTACACTCCCCAGACATCTTACTTGCTGCAGACAGACTGACAGACACTTGCTGAGTGCCACCAGTCTGCTGTCCAGGAGGTCTTAAGAGAAAAAATGCCGTTCCCCGTATAGTGGTGGTCAGGAATGTGCATGCTTGAATAAAATAGAGAACGTTAAATGTAGCCATGAGTACATCTCACAGCAAGTGTTAAATTCAGGCTTGGAAAGGTTGCTGGAGTGGTCAGGAAAGGCTTTTCTTGTGTTGAAGAATCAAGACCTCACATGATGTGTTGGACGATAGGACATGAACATGGTCCTGTTTCTCACATTCCCATCTGCTGCTAAGCTTCCAGAATTATCCACATTTGCTCCCCTTTTCCTCACTCCTCAACCTACTCTGATCCAACTTTTGTTTCTACCCTGACCTTGAAACTTTGTTCCGGTTCTGTCCATGCTCATGTGGCTGACCTCACCCTAATCTGTAGAACTCTTAATGATCTTTGTACATCTTGGTTTCTACTAAATTCCAGACAAGTGTTTGTGCAAGCCTACTACAGCTTCATTATCCACCTTGCCTTCAGCACATCTGAGACCACACTCTTCATCTCCTGCCACCCCCCAAGAATGATTCCTCTTTCATTGGTCTTTGTTGTAGTAAGAGGCATAACATTTCCTGTTATCTCATCCACCCATGAGACCTGATCTCCCATACTAGAAGTTCTCTCTAACCTGCTGTGCAGGGGGAATCCCTGTGATGATGGGTATGTGCTGTCATCTGCCTTATCCAGTGTGGGAGCCGCTTGTCACGCATGGCTATCGAGTGCTTGAAACCTGTCTGGTGTGAGTGAGGAACTGAATTCTGAATTTTATTTCATTTTAATTTATTTTGGATACCCCGAGGTGCTAGTGGCCACCATACAGCATGGTTTAACCCTTGATTCTTCCGTCTCCTTCACTTCCCAGTGTCTAACTGACGTCAAAGTCCCATGAAGTCTCCATGCACGTTCCTCACCCTGGTCTCCCTTTTCTCTTCCTTATTCACCTTGTTCCAGATCCTCTTTTCTTGCCTGAAATACTACCTTAAACCTTTAAAAAACATCCTCTCACTCAGCTCTGCAGTCTCTTCTGCTCTGGGCCTTCACGCATGCTGTTCCCTCTGGCCAGAGGAGGTGTATTTTTAAATTTTTTAAGCACCTTATTCCCATCTTTCCTTCCCCATGATTTCTGTTTCGGGCCTAGTATAATTTCTTTCTGTGAAATAACTTACTTTGACAATTTTGACTCTCAGACTGAATATCTGAACTGCCTTCTACACTCTGGTCATGTAATAAAGCTTGGCTTCCATTCAGATGGGCTCTGTGTGGAAAAGGTTAAGGAGACAGAATGTTACCAGTTTTCTTTGCAGTGTGCTGCTTGCTTGCTCTTCCCTTCCTCCAAATCTCTGAGACATGCTTAGGAATTCCCCCTGGGTGGCTTCTGTTTACCAGCTGACTCCAGAAGAGAAGAGGCTGTTAGAAGCGTAGTGTGTGTGAAAGACTCAGATTCTGTGTGAAGGGCAGAGTGCTGTGCAGGGCCCAGGGGAGAGGAGATGAGGGCTCTATACCAGCTGGGCCAGACCAGCTGTGGCCTTGGGCCTTTCCCTCATCAGAGCGTGTCCCTGCTGTGGGACAGATACTCTGCTGGGTCTCCCCTCTCAAAGGAGAGAAGACACTGGGGACTTTCTAGTCCTGAGGTCCCACTTTTCTAAGACACTGCCTTATCTTCAGAACCAAAATCTTCCTCCCAATACAAAGAAAAGGTGGGAGGAATACTGACCATGTCATGATACCGGGATTCTAGTTTGAGCTCACTGCTGATTTGGCCAGTCGCAAGCTAGTCTTTTGCTCTCTGTGTCTAGTTTGAGCTCACTGCTGATTTGGCCAGTCGCAAGCTAGTCTTTTGCTCTCTGTGTCTCATTTCCTTACCTGTTAATTCTGATGAGGGCCTGGTGTGGTGGCTCATGCCTGTAATGGCAGTGCTTTGAGAGGCCAAGGCAGGAGGATCACTTGAGGCAAGGAGTTTGAGAGCGGCCTGGGAAATATAGCGAGACCCAACCTCTACAAAAAATTTTAAAATTAGCTGGGCATGGTGGTGCATGCCTATAGTCCCAGCTACTCCAGAGGCTGAGGTGGGAGAATTGCTTGAGCCCAGGAGTTTGAGGCTGCAGTGAGCTGTGATTGTGTCACTGCACTCCAGCCTGGATGACAGAGGAAGACTATCTCTCAAAAAAATAAAAATAAGTATCCTGATGAAAGAATCTGAATAGGAATTATTCATGAGAGTATAAAAATTTATGTGATTACAGTTATTAGTTACATCATCCTAGAAGGAAGTTTCTGTGTCTCTCCACCCATTTCCTGTAATCGGAGTTGCTCAGCCTCAGCAGCACTGACATATTGAGTCAGAGAATTCTTTGCTGGGGCAAGGGGTGCTGTCCTGTGCATCATAGGATGTTGAGAAGCATCCTTGGCCTCTACCCACTAGATGCTACAAGCATCCCATCATTGTGACAGCTAAAAATGTTTTTAGACATTGCCAAATGTTCTCTTGGGGACAAAATTGCCTCCAGTTGAGAACTCCTGTCCCACATTAAATGCTTTGATAGCATGACCTATACAAAAGGCTTTTTCCTCTGCTTTCTTCATTTAAGAAACATCTATCATACCTCTTACTAGGCACTGGGCTAGGACAGGTAGAATGACAATAAGACATGTCCCCTATGCTTAAGGAATTGTCTGTCACAAGTAACTGGCAATGCCACAGAAGTGGCTGTCGGTGGCTCTGTGAAAGTGCTGACAGGGCAGAGGCAAGAGAGAGATGAAGTATCCAGAGCAGCAGTGGCCTGGGGCGGTTGTCATAACCTGGGAACGCTTTGTGGAGGACCTGGTCACTGGTTTTCCGAAGGCCAGCCCAGGTCTCGGAGTCTCAGAGTTCTGAGATGTGACTGCAGGATGCTGCTGAGCCTGGGGAAGCAGGTAGGGAGCTTGCAGCCCATGGAGAAATCAATTCCATGGCGGGCAATTGTGGAGGTAGGGCTCGGTTCTAACACAGTGGGATCCTCTCTTTGCATCCAGCAGGCTCCAGGGTCTGCTAATCCTATTGGGAGAGGAAAGCATGAACTTCAGTTTCAGCACTGTGACCTTCTATGTCTTTGGTGATTTTTCTATGTTAATTGTCCTTGCTATGGTCCTCCAAGATTTAATAGAAGGAGGGCTGGTTTTCCATTCCTAGTCACCTAATAGTGAAAGCAGTGAGGCGGATTGAGAGATGCATTTGACGGTGGGTTTTCTTTACTGTTGGGGAGAGGAAGTACAGAAGGCCAGCTGGCCTCCCATATCCCCTTGGGATATGTGAACAGGGAAAGATGATGGCAATATCTTCTTTGTATAGTGTCTCTTAGCTTTTTCTAAAAGCATTCTTCTTGTTTTTTTGTTTGTTTGTTTGTTTGTTTTTGTAACATAGTCATTACAGCCACCACTGCTTTATAGTTGGGCAGATATGTTGAGCTCTCATTGAGTAAATGAGGAAAATGAGGTACAGAGAGACTGTGTCTTGCCCAAAGTAACACTACCTGTTAGTGGCAGAGCGGAGGCCACACTGAGTTCTTTGCCCCAGACCACAGGGGAAAGCAGTGTTGCCATCACAGGAGGACAGAACAGGTGTGGCAAAGGGAGGGGATTTGCTGAGCTGGTCACGAAGAGGGAACAATGTTAAGGCTGAGTTCAAAAACTCTGTGCCAGGTGCCTTCTGGGGACCAGCTCCAGGCACGCTGTGTGGAGACTCTAAGAGAAAACCGATGTCCCCAACCCTGCCCTCAAAAACTCATGCTGTGCTGTGTGAGGGGAGGGGACCAGCACCAAGTGAGCCATTGCCTGGCCCTTCAACAGGACCGAACTGGGATGCCAGAGGTCAGGAAGCATGATGTGGGGATACCAGAACAGAGAGGGAGGGGACAGATGGGGAGGAGGAGCAGTACTTTTAAGGAATGACGGGGTTCTCAATGAGCTTCTGCTCATTTTATTAGTACCATGAGGAAACAGTAGGAGGTCCTGGAAGAAGAAGGGACCTCCAGCTGGTCCCATAGCCCATGTGGGACCTAAGGGTCCCAGATGCTCCTGAACACGCTGCCATCCCTGGTGTGTGCAATGGGCTGAACTTGACCCTGTGGTCATGCTGAGCAGAGGAAAGAAGCCGGTGGCTGGCTTGGGGAACACAGCTGCTGTGGGCAGGGGCAGAGTGCCTGGGGAGGTGGTCTGCAGGCCACAGGATGCCTTTTCCAAAGCACAGGGGTGTCCGCTCTGCCTTCATGCTGCAGGGCCTGGCTGACAGCTTTAGCAGTGAGAGCCTGTGAGCAGGGGAGCCCGCAGCCCGAAGGCTTCTGATCACTCGCAGTCATGGGCAGCCGAGCAGCTGCTTATGACTGGTCATTGCCGCCCCTGGTAATGAAGACCCCCTTGGATCCTGGAACTGTGCTTCCTCTTGTGGCCGAGCAACCACAGGAGGCATTGGAGTGAGAGGGTGAGCAGGCAGTGAGGTGCTCAGCACATACTCCCTGCTGTCCTGTAAGGCCCTCGCACTAAGGGGCTTTTACTCTAGTTAGAAAGATGAAGTCTTCTGAAGGAAATGTTTTGTTCAGAGCTGTGTAAATCAGTGTTCCGTTGTGCCTCACATGCTCAGTGCCGTGGGCTGTTGGAGCTGGAGGAGTCGGGAAGATTTTATGGAGAAGATGGGTGTGGAAAGAAGGTGGGGCTTGGGAGGGCAGAGGGGAGCAATGAAGCCACAGTGAGCACAGCCTGGAGGGGAGAGTGTGGGTGTCTCATGGGATGAGACCCAGGGCTGATGTGCAACGTGGAGTGTTGCCTGGGTTGAGGTGGCATCTTGCAGTCATCAGTTGCTTGGCAAATGCCCACTGTTTTCCAGTGCCAAGTACCCACTGAGCCCAGGCAGCTCCAGGGCACCATCTATCAAGCACCATGTCCCAGAGTGAAAGGAGGAAAAGAAGCATGACTCTTAGCTCCAGCTGAGCTGCAGGACAGTCAGAAGGAAAGGGAGCATTTGTTCCTCGTCCCTTCTGATGGAGTGGGGCAGTAATCTTAGCAAATTAAAAATAGTGATTAATTCTAGGTTGCCTTAATTCTTTCTCTATGAAGACTCCCTGCTTACTCTAGACAATGGTGATGTCTTGCTCTCTGCCTTCTTTTTTTTTTCTTACTAGTGTTTTTTTTTGAGACAGAGTCTCACTCTGTCACCCAGGCTGCAGTGCAGTGGCACGATCTCAGCTCACTGCAACCTCTGCCTCCCGGATTCATGCCATTCTTCTGCCTCAGCCTCCCGAGTAGCTGGGACTACAGGCACCCACCACCACGCCCAGCTAATTTTTTATATTTTTAGTAGAGATGGGGTTTCACCGTGTTAGCCAGGATGGTCTCGATCTCCTGACCTTGTGATCCACCCACCTCGGCCTCCCAAAGTACTGGGATTACAGGCATGAGGCACCGCATCCAGCCCTTCTTATTAGTTTTTATGATTTGTGTTTAACAACCTCAGACAATTGCTCTCTGGCTTCTTTTGGCATTTTCACCATGTTTGTTATGTACTGTCTTGTATAAAATTTCCTCTTCAAGCGGGGATACTCAGAAAGCTCACACAGCATCTGGCTTTTTATTCTACACTGCCATACTCAATATATGTTTAAAAACATACTGGGTTTTGAGTGCTAGCCTTAGCTTTGTAGGACATGTGAGTGGTTGAAAATGGTGCACATATCTCTGAAGACTGGAAAGTAATCTGTAATAATGTAAATGAAGTTCATCTACATGATTCTTAACTGAACAGCTGTTGTGATCATAGCTAACAGCATACACAACGTATGTGCCCTACGCAGTGCTAGGCATGGTTCCACCTGCTTTCAGGGACCATTACATTTAAGCTTCACACTAACCTGATAAAATAGGTACTGCTGTTTTCCCCCATTATATGGATGAGGGTACTGAGGCCCAAGGGGACATGAAGTGACTTGCCCCAAAGTAGACACCCAGCTGGTAAGTGACCATGTCATGATTGAAACCCAGATCTGCCTAGTCTGAAACTCATCCTTTTAATGCTTGAGCCAAATAATGGGGCTAAGCATATATGCTTGGGACAGTGAGTGAAGATGCATGCCCTTGTGGATAAAAACAGTAAGAGTAGGCTCTGGAGAGGAGCAGGAATGATGAGTCTTGGAGGGTGGGGAGGATTCGGGTGGGCAAAGAAGAAGGGTATCCCAGGTGATAATGAGAATGTGCACAAAAGCCTCAGGCACAGAACAGAAGATGCTGAGATGGCTCAGGTGCCTGCACATTGGTGTCTTTTAGTCTATGCCTAATCCCTGACTTGAGCTCAAGGGTAACTCAGTGGCTGTAACTCAGTGGCAGCAGGTACTTCACATGCTGCAGGAAAAGATTCTTTTTTGTTTCTTTTTTGCAAATGTGGCCACTCATCTCTTGTCTTGCTTTTTTTTTTTTTTTTCTCCTTTGGCAGCTTTGACCCAAAGAGAGCAGTGCAGCAACTCAGAGCCTGCGGGGTGTTGGAGACGATTCGAATCAGTGCAGCTGGCTACCCATCCAGGTAACTAACGTGCCCGCCAGCTGCCTCCTGGGGCTGCCCTAGAGCAGCCAGAGTTTGGTTCCCCAGGGAGCCCTCTGTGTACCGTCGGCCAGAAACAGATCCTTCAAAACGGTTCCCAAACATTGAGGCCCAAGCAGGATGCTGATGGAAATGAGACTCTCACATTAGCCTGAAAAATTGGGAAGGTTAGCAGTCACATCCTCTTGGCTGCTTTTCTCTAAAGTCCTTTTCAGATTTCAGATTTTTGGTGTTGGTCTAAGTGATGAGCTAGCTAGAGTTGCAAAGAGGATTTCCCCTTCTCTCAATTCCTACCTTGTCCCCTTTACCATTCCCCCACCCTTTCTAACAGAAGGAAAATATATGTATTTACCATCTTAACTACTTTTTAAATTTTTTCAGTAGGTTTTTTGGGGGAACAAGTGGTGTTTGGTTACATGAATAAGTTCTTCAGTGGTGATTTCTGAGATTTCGGTGCACCCATCACCCAAGCAGTATACACTGTACCTAATGTATAGTCTTTTATCCCTCACCATCACCCCCCTTTCCCCCAAGTCCTCAAAGTTCATTGTATCGTTCTTATGCCTTTGCGTCCTCATAGCTTAGCTCCCACTTATGAGTGAGAATGTACCATCTTTTGTTTTCCATTCCTGAGTTACTTCACTTAGAATAATGGTCTCTAACTCCATCCAGGTTGCTGTGAATGCCATTATTTTGTTCCTTTTTATGGCTGAGTAGTACTTCATATATACGTACCACATTTTCTTTATCCACTCATTGACTGGGCGTGTGGGCTGGTTCCATATTTTTGCAATTGCAAATTCTGCTACTATTAACATGCCTGTGCCAGTGTCTTTTTCATATAACGACTTCTTTTCCTCTGGGTAGATACCCAATAGTGGGAGTGCAGTGGCATGATCTGGGCTCACTGCAACCTCTGCCTCCTGTGTTCAAGAGATTCTTCTGCCTTAGTCTCCTGTGTAGCTGGGACTACAGGTGTGCACCACCACATCTGGCTAATTTTTGTATTTTTAGTAAAGATGGAGTTTTACCATGCTAGCCAGGCTAGCCTCAAACTCCTGACCTCAGGTGATCCACCTGCCTCAGCTTCCCAAAGTGCTAGGATGACAGGCGTGAGCCACCATGCCTGGCCCAAATGGTAGATCTACTCTTAGTTCTTTAAGGAATATCCACACTGTTTTCCATAGCAGTTGTTCTAGTTTACATTCCCACCAGCAGTGTAAAAACATTCCCTTTTCACCACATCCATGCCAACATCTATTTTTTGATTTTTCAGTTATGGCCATTCTTGCAGGAGTAAGGTGGTATCCCCTTGTGGTTTTGATTTGCATTTCCCTGATAATTAGTGATGTTGAGCATTTTTTCACATGTTTGTTGGCCATTTGTATATCTTCTTTTGGGAATTATTTTCTCATGTCCTTAGCCCACTTTTTGACGGGATGGTTTTTTTTCTGTGCTACTTTGAGTTCCTTGTAGATTCTGGACATTAGTCCTTTGTTGGATGTATAGATTGCAAAGATTTTCTCCCACTCCGTGGGTTGTCTGTTTACTCTGGTGATTATTTCTTTTGCTGTGCAGAAGTTTTTTAGTTTAAGTCCCGTCTACTTATCTTTGTTTTCATTGTGTTTGCTTTTGGGTTCTTGGTCATGAAGTCGTTGCCCAAGCCAATGTCTAGAAGGGTTTTCCCAATGTTACCTTCTAGAGTTTTTATGGTTTCAGGTCTTAGATTTAAGTCTTTGATCCATCTTGAGTTGATTTTTGTAGAGAGTAAGAGATGAGGATCCAGTTTCATTCTTCTACATGTGGCTAGCCAATTATCCCAGCCCCATTTATCGAATAGAGTGTCCTTTACCCACTTTTTGTTTTTGCTTTGTCAAAGATCAGTTGACTGTCAGTATTTGGTCTTATTTCTGGGTTCTCAGTTCTGTTCCATTGGTCTATACACCCGTTTTTATACCAATATCATGCTGTTTTGGTGACTGTGGCCTTACAGTACAGTTTGAAGTTGGGTAATGTATTGTGTCCAGATTTGGGTTTTGTTTTGTTTTGTTTTGTTTTTTTGTTTTTGCTAGTCTTGCTTTGGCAATGCAGGCTCTTTTTTGGTTCCATATGATTTTAGGATTTTTTTTTTTTTAGTTCTGTGAAGAAATATGGTAGTATTTTGATGGGAATTGCATTGAATTTGTAGATGGCTTTTGGCAGTATGGTCATTTTCACAATATTGATTCTACCCGTCCATGAGCATGGGATGTGTTTCCATTTGTTTGTGTCATCTATGATTTCTTTCAGCAATGTTTTGTTGTTTTCCTTGTAGAGGTCTTTCACCTCCTTGGTTACCATCTTAGCCACTTCTAAGTGTACAGTTTAGTGGTATTAAGTACATTCCTTATTTTGTGCTACCATCACCATCATCCATCTCTAGAACTCTTTTCATCTTGCAAAACTGAAACTGCGGCATTAACAATATTTCCCTATTCTCTCTCCCCCAGTCCCTAGCAGCCACCTTTCTACTTTCTGTAAATCTGGTGATCCCAGGAACCTCATATAATTGGATTAATACAGTATTTGTCCTTTTGTGAGTGGCTTATTTCAGTTAGTATACCTTCAAGCTTCATCCATGTTGAAGCGTGTGTCAAAACTTTCTTCCTTGTTAAGGCTGAGTAATATTCCATTGTGTGGTTATACCCCATTTTGCTTATCCATTCATTCCTCAATAGACTCCTTTAACTTTTGAATATAGAATGAAATCTGTGGTGGGAAAATAAAGTTTCTTTGAGTTAAAAAATAACTATCATGCTCTGATTTGCCTTGCGGATAAGCCACTGAACCAGTCCAGAGCTTGTTGGAGCTATGCCAACATTGGATCCCCTCTGGACACTTGCCTGAAATAGGGGTGAAGGGTGGCTGGTGACCCCACTAGCTCTTGTGAAATCACACTGCCTACCAGCATCATGTAGACCAAACATCTGCCATTAATTGGAGCTGAGCTGAACAGTGTAGCAGCCCAGAGCCTGTCCCACTGGGACCCTCTGTCCTAACAACTCGCTCATATCAGAAGGTGGAAGGAACCAGAAGTGGGAATGGAGGGATGTGATATGGGCCTCCCCTCCTCCCTGTCTTCTCTCCACCTGGCACTTTCCCACTGTAGTGGAGGAACCATTTCGTATGCAGTGATTAATTACCCATAAACAACTTAACCACAAACAATTCCTAAATGTTTGGCCTGAGAAGGAAGCTGCAGATGGAATTAGGAATTTACATTTGACCTGGAAAGTACAAGAGCTGTCAGTAATCTGCAACACCCGGGCAGCTTTTCAAAACCCAGCGGGTCCCAGCATTGTTCAGGATGAACTGCTCTAGCTAGGTTGAAGGCTGTTGTTATTTTCTTTTCAACCACATCTGTCCCTGCTTAGAAAAAAGGACAGAGAGTGTCCTGGGCCTGCCTCTCATTTTTTGACCTTAGGGTCTGAACACAAATAGCTAACAACTCTGTTAATGAGGTGGGCCAAGCTTGTCACCTCAGATGAAGGCCTGGCACTCCTTTTCCCAGTCTACCCTGCAGTCTCCTACATTGGCCTTTTGATGGAGGGGATGGGGCTCAGGCAATGGGTGCAGTAGTTCAGTTTTGAGTTCAAACCACTAGTCTGACAAATTAGACTGCCTTTCATTGCCTGCTTACAAGCCCAGGGTTCAGATCAGACATATCTTCATCCAATTTAAGAACTAGAAGAGGACCTTAGGGAGCTGCGGAGCTACTTGTTTTCAAACCATCTTCCACGGGCAGCTGGCTGCACTCCTGCTCCTGGCTGCACTCCTGCTTCTGGCTCTTGTATCTGCCAGTCTTCCAGGAGAGGACATACCTACAGAAAACATTTCCTTATCCACTGTTTCTCAGAACTGTGCACTGCAACCCATTTATGGGTTAGGATATCAATTCAATGGGTTGTGTCAATGAAAAGAGTCAAACTATAGAATATTTGAAGAGATTTCTTCTGAGCCAAATATGAATGACCATTGGCCCATGACGCAGCCCTCAGGAGATCCTTAGAACATGTGTCCAAGGTGGTCAGGCCACAACTTGGTTTGATACATTTTAGAGAGACATAAAACATCACTCAACACATGTAAGATATACAATGGTTTGGTTCAGACAAGTGGGACAACCGGAAGGCGGGAGCTTCCAGGTCACAGGCATATTCAAAGATTTTCTGATTGGCAATTGGTGGGGATATTATCAATAGAAAGGACTGTCTGGGTTATGATAAAGGGTGGTGGAGACCAGGGTTTTATCATGCAGATGAACTCTCCAGGTATCAGGCTTCAGAGAGAATAGATTATAAATGTTTCTTATCAGATATAGAGTCTGTTCTATTAGTAATTCCAAAGGGAGGAGGGTATAATGAGGCATGTGCAGCTCCCCATTCCCAGCATGGCCTGAACTAGTGTTTCAGGTTAACTTTGGAATGCCCCTGGCTGCAAGGAGGGATCCATTCAGATAGTTGGGGCTTTAGAATTTTATTTTTGTTTTACGGTTGTGACCAATATACTGTTTTTGTTTTTTTCATGAAATAACTTGGGGTGGAAAATGGGAGAGGGCAATTTGTGGGAGAAAGGACATTGTGGCATGGTCATAGTTCAGTGTTATCTATAGGGATGGGTGCATCAGGATGTAAAGCACATGTTTACAAGTGAGACACAGACAAGGAAGTGAGCTGGTTAAGATTACCAGCCTGGTTGGTGGTTGAGTTAGGCCTAGACCTGCCATTCCTCTGCCCCAAGTTATGCTGTTGCTGCTGCCAAGCATCTTACTGCTCGTGTGCAGGAAGTGTTACCATCCCAGCAAAGGTTTATCAGAGGAGGAAGGGGTGAAGCAGGATCCTAAGAGACTGCCCTCTGGGGCCAGCTCCAAACCTGAGACAGTGCAAAACTCCCTCCTCTTTCCAGCTTGTGGGAGTCCAGACTGCAGAGCTGTGGCCTGCCAGAAAGCTGAAAGAGCCTGGTAGTTGAATTCTTGGACTTTGGAGTCAGGCCTGGATTCAAGTATTGACTCCCACACTTCTTGGCTGGGTGATCTTGGAGAAGTAAATTAATCTCAATGAGCCTAGGTTTCCCTATCCTTAAAAAGAATGATCATACTCACTTGGTAGGTTGTTGTAAGGAATTAGATAATGTATCTAGAGTTCTCAGCCAGCACTGGACACTTGAGCATTTAGTAAGATATTTATTACTTATTGGGATATGAGCAAGAAGCTACCTCCCTATGGGTGTAACTATCTGGGTAGAATGTGTCTATCTCAGAACTTTCTGGTGGTATTTTTGTGAAATCCCAACATGTGCGGCCACCTGAAAAGAGCATTCTGAAATTCCCAGACCTCTTCAAGCAATTAGAAAGCTCAGTTTAAAAAACATGTAAAGAAGTCTGTCAAAACAGACTGGAGCTGAATGTCCCATGTTAAACTGTTGAGGATCACTGTACAAGAAACTGTGGGATTGCAGGTCCTCACAACCATCCTGTGCTGTACAGTGCAGAGGTCTGGAGGTGAGCAGAGAGACCCAAGGTGCTCATGGAGGACTTGTCAGGTAGGAGGTGTGAACATTAGGACCATGTCAAGCAGGGGAGAAGAAACAAGGGAAGCATGTGACAATGAGATATTCTAAGGCAGGTGGAACCTCTGGGACCCCCCTCAGTATATAAGGGGCCACCGATTTCACAAAGAACTTTTTAACAGAATGAATTGTTCAATAATAGAACAACAGACTACACAGGATGTTGCTTCAAGGGTTTCTCCTTGGAGAACGTTAGGGAGGAGCTAGAAGTCCATGGATCTGACGTGGTTAACCATAGACCATGCTCAGGCAGAGGTCTATACACATCTCTGCCACCTCTGATTCACTGGCTGAGCTAGCTTGAAGCCTCGCTGTGTGAAATCAGAGTGACAGTGTGTGTCGCCCACACTTCTACTGGTCTTGCTGTCTCCATGCAAAATGGTCGGTTTTAGAGGGGGAAGCCAGTGGGGAGAGGATTTTGCTTCTAGGGGCTCACATGGGTTCTATGTAGAATGAGAACAGTTTCTGGCCTTTGTGGTGTCCTTCTCTCCTGGGAATCTTTCTCTTCCACATCTCATCCTGCACCGAGCATCTAGCCCTGTGTTGCTTCCTGGGAGGGAATGAAAGATTCAAGTCATGGGCCCTGCCCAGCAGGGAAGTGATATGAGATTGAAACAGAACAACATATAACCAGATGCAAGGTTGTAGTGCAAGTGCAGGAGGAGCTGCAACTTCACTGAGGAGTTGAGACTTGAGCTGGACTTTGAAGGGTGTAGAGACTGCCTGCCAGGAAGCAACATGATGTCTGGTGCTAGGAGGCACAGTAAGTTGCAGAGGGCTTTTCTGGCCGCTCACTGCCCTGTTCCTACTGCTTACTCCCCTAGTTGTAGCATGCTGAGAGACCAGGTGTGATTTTGCCTCATCCAGGCAACCTCATTTTTAGCAGCTAAAAGAATGCATTTCCCCAAAGTCTTTAGACCCACGTGGAAAATGGATTCTCCTACTGTTCATTCCACCTTGCTGCGAATCCGAGCTGCCAGCAGAGTCAAGATGCCCACAACCCCTGGCCTCTTAAGGGGCAGCTGATAGCTGTCTTTTACTGCTATTCTGATTGTTTTGGACTTTTTTCTAGCAGATACTTACATGTGTATTTGTACCACTTCTTTTTGTAATTACAGGTATTGTGGAAATTGTAAGGAAGGAATGACTGTATTTCTGGTATCACAGGAACTGTTCTCTAATTCTGTGAATTAAATGTGTGGAATTAGATCTAGAATGCTGCCTTCCTTATCCTCCTGGCATTTGCCATCTTAGCAAGTTTTGCTAAAGGGTCAAAGAGAGGATTCCCTCCCCAAACTGCTATTTGAAATGTTAACTTTTGGAAAGAGGCACTGTGTTTTGTGTCACTTTTGTTAGTACTGTATTGAGCTGCAGTCGAATCATCCTCACCATTTAATCCAGAGCCTAATCCTTTTCCTCTCACCACAACCAAGCCACAGCATGTAGGATGGCATTTACTTTGAGGATGAGCGGTGAGAGGGCAGGAAGCTCTTATACCTGTAATATTTTGACTCAGCACCATTGCTTAATCTTTTCCATCTGCCAACCATGGTAACCATTTGGAGTGATGTCACTGATTAAAATAATAATGCTACCTAACTGCTTAATCCAGGAGATTGGTATATGCCTACTGTGTCTGGGGATAAAGCAAGTGAGGTTTAGTGGATACTGTCTGCCCAACAAGGTGTTAGCTACTGAAGGAAATATACAAGTGTAATGTGTGCTAGCTTCAGTGTGGAGTTGAGCAGTTATTTTGTTGATGTGACTTTAGGAGACCTTCATAGGACCAGAGGGACCTGAGTTGGGTGCTGGATAAATTGGGAGTTTTCTACAAAAATTCTGCTCTTTGGCTGCTGAAAACTCAACACAGCGAAGTGATTCAGCTCATATTAGCTTGTCAAGTAACCATACAACTTTGCACAGCTGTTTCCAAAAGAAACTTCAATGGCCCTCTTTGATTAAGGGAATTACAATTTATGCCATCTCCAACAGTTCCCGTGTGGAAGCAGCCAAAGTGAAGGAGATGGCAAAGGAAAAGAAAATGCGTCATCCCAGGACTGCAGAAGCCTGTGATGAATTATCCACAGGGCTGCTCCCAAGAGCCCGAGCAGAGGGCTTTTTCGGCAGAGTTCCTGCATCCAGCCTACCGATGCCCTGGAAGAGGAATTCTTACCCCCCTTCCCCAAATTAATAAAATCCACCAAGCCAGAGAGCAGGAATGCAGCATTGCAGGACAGCAGTAGCTGCCGGGTGTTCCCTCAGCCTGCCCTCGGGCTTCCCTATACCGGTCTATTTTTATCCTCCCTGAGAATTATGGCTCTCTGTGAGTCTGATTTAAAATGAAAATGTGTCACTCAATTTGAAATGCTGTGCAGCGGCTAAGAAATATGTCCATTGTTATGCACATAAAGCCCTGTGATAAATGCACTGCCCAGGAAGAGAGGCTTTTCCACCCGTCACCCAGCTCCTAGGTCTCGTGCCTGTGCAGTCATCTGTCTCCCTCTCCAGAGAGTCAGCAGCTTTGTGTCCTGGAGAAATTGTGAAGCAAATACTGCTTACCCCGAAAAGTGTGTGTGTGGTGGGGGGAATGTACAAATGTTGATATTATAAAAAAAAAAAAAAAAAAAAAACTCTGCTTGAACTTGAGTTCTCCTCCACATCCTCCCACCTTCACTTCATAAAAGTGGCACTTTCTGAAAAGACTTCCACTTCTTCCTCAACTTTCTTCTCCCCAGTCCTGTGAAGAGTAAATAGCATAAGATTGGAGAACTAAAGGGAAGCTTTAGAAGCGGCCTGCTTCCTCTCCCTATTTAATCATGGTTGAGTTTAAAACAGACGCACAGTTACTTCCCTTGCTATTAAACATCCCACAGAGGAAGAATAATAGAGAACTGATTTTGGAATGATATGAGTCATTATCTCAGGATCTCACAGCCTTTGGGTCTGGCTCTTTTGTGTGAGATCTGTCTTCGTTCCTTTGGACTGGAGCCTGACCCACGGGTTTTCACGCATGGCTGCACGTCAGTCATGGGGACATACTCAGCAGTCTCAGAAGCTGGGCCCCCTCAGACCTATTAAGTCAGAGCCTGAGACTGAGTCCTGAACATCTGCATTTTGACAAGTTTCCCCAGGTGATTTAAAAATGCATCCTGCCTTAAAATCATTACCCTGAAGGCATGTGTTGCCCCCTGGGTAAACTACAAGCCACTTCGTCACATCCAAGCAGTGATAGGATGGAGTGGGTTTTCCTGTGTCCTCACTTTGTGTCTCAGCTCCAACTCGGAGCCAGTGGGGAGGAATTGTGTTTCCTTCCCTCTGCAACAAAGTTCTGCAGGCTTCAGATCTAGGGCCACTAATGGGGCTGAGTCTGTGTTCCCCTAGGAGGCCCAGGACATAGTTGGGGGATAAAAGGAAAGGCAAACATGGAGTGTTTCTGATGGTGTGAGTGCTGGGTGAGCATGTGACAACCTTTGCACTGGAACCCCTCCGTGAGTTTCAGAGCTGAAAACTTGTATGTATTACTTTATAAAGGCCACCCACAAACCTCTTATGTTTTCATCATCTTTTCAAAATTTAGATATAATTTATCTACTATAAAATTCACCCCTTTAAAGTATGCAATTTCAGTTATTTTCATTATATACAGAGTTATACAACCATCACCACTGTCTAATTTCAGAATGTTTTTATCACCCCAAAAGGAAACCCTGTGTCCATTAATAGTCCCCACTCCCAGCCCCTGGCAAGCGCTAACCTACTTTCTATTTCTATAGATTTGCCTAGTTTGGATTTTTCATATAAATGGAATCACATAATATGTGTCCTTTTGTGTCTGGCTCTTTTCACTCAGGGCTGTTTTCAAGATGTATCCATGCGCAGCAACCGTCAGTAGTTTATTCCTTTATATTGCTGAATATTATTTCATCAGATAGATACAGCACATTTTATATTATCTGTTCATCAGTGGATGGATGTTTGGTTGTTTCTACTTTTGGGGAAGTAAGAATGCTGCTATGAACACTTGTGTACATGTTTTTGTGTAGACACATTTTTTCTCTTGAGGGTATACCTTGGAGTGGAATTGTTGTGTCATATGGTAACACTCTCCTCTTCTGAGGACCTTCCATATTGTTTTCCACAGTAGCTGTACCATTTTGCATTCTTACCAGCAGCGTACATGAGGGTTCCCGTTTCTATGCATTCTCATCAACATTTGTTCTTGTCTGTCCTTTTCATTATAGCTATTCTGGTGGGTGTGAAGAGGTATCTTGTGATTTTGATTGGCGTTTTCCTGATGACTAATGATGTTGAGCATCTTTCATGTGCTTGGCCATTTGTACATCTTCTTTGGAGAAATGTCTGTTGATCTCCTTTGCCCATTTTTTTTATTGGATTACTTGTCTTCTTGTTGAGTTATAGGAGTTATAGGAGTTCTTTATATATTAAGAATATGAGAACCTTATAAGACATACGACTTGCAAATATTTTCTTCCATTCTGTGAACCATCTTTTCACTTCCTTAGTAGTGTTCTTTGAAGCACAAAAGCTTTTAATTTTGAAGAAATCTGTTTATTTCTTTGGTTGTGCATTAGGTGTCATTGCATTAGGTTGTGCATTGCCTAACCCAAGGTCACAAAGACTAACTAACATCTGTGTTTTCTTCCAAGAGTTTTACTGTTTTAGGACTTTGATCCATTTTGAGTGAGTTTACATGTAAGAGCCCAGTCTCATTCTTTTGTATGCATTTATCCATTTGTCCCAGGACCATTTGTTGAAAGGATCACATTGACCATTGAGGAAGGCAAGGTAGACAGTGACAATTTCATTTAAGGGATAAAGAAATATACCCGAGAAAAGTTAAGTAATCAGGTCAAGTCCTCCAGATAGAAAAGGGTAGAGCCACCATACCGCATGTCCACAGGTTAAGGATGCCTGTTCCTGTGAGCCTTTGAGAAGGTGTCCCTCTCTTCTCTGATTCTGGCCTCTTATGTCCCTTTAGAAATTTTGTCCATCCCTAGTACACTTCCAAGGGAAACTCTTGTATCCAGAATCATCTATTTCTCTGCTGATTTGTTCCTTCAAAAAGGAAAAGAAGTGTATGTTGCTTGGTGGCATAATGAAGATGATCCATGTCTCAATATCCAGAGACAGCCTGTTGGTCCTGGTAGGTATGCCTCACAGCATGGCCAAACAATTCTGCCCCACAAATTGCTGCTGGTTTCCATGTGAGACCTTGTAGGGAACAAAGTCCCACTGAGGCTCATAGGTTCCTGTAAGGCTCTTTAACTAGAAAAGAAGCATATACCTCTTGCATTCCACCTCCATGTGACCAGGAATCCTCCAGCTAGGTTGCATGATGGTATAATGGAGTACCTGAAAGGATGGGTTGACCCACCTAATTCTGACCGGAAGAGCTCTGAGGGATTCTTTACCATTTTCTAAGGGAACCTTAGGTTACCCATCAGGACATCTTTAGGGATTCTTTTTGTGGACTGATGTCATAGAATTTGTGTGACTTAGGGCCTTATGCCGTGGTCTTACTGGAGGGACTCTAGGGTTTGTCTGATCCAGCCAGTCCCCTCATGAGGAAACATGCCCGAGGGAGAAGAAGCACAAAGTGCTGTAACTCTGCAGCTCCATACCATCTGTCCATATTGGTCCATTGGGGCCCTTGCAAGCAGGCATGTTGTTCTGCAGAATATTTGCACGTGCAGATGGTTAAACCCGGTGTTAGGCTCTGTATGGGACCTCCGTTAGCCAAACAACATCCCAAAGCTACTGCGCTTCCTGCACCATTCTTAGCAGCCGTGTTACCACTCCCTGCCTTGAGCCTGAGGAGCTCATTACAAGGAAACATCTTTCCAGACTGGTGGGTTCTGCTGAATGCCTGTCCTGGCCCATCCCATATTGGCCTTTGTTACTGTCTCTGATCTCTCCCTCTTCCTACCAGGAAGCAGTCACGGGTCCTGAGCTTCTCCCATACACCCAGTTGTGACTCCTTGACCCTGTCAGGGCGCCTGCTCCCCAGCAAGCTAGAGGCACTCCAGGTGAAGAAGCCCTTGATTCTGGAGGAAGCACACCACTGAAGTCCAGAATGCTCAGCCAGGCCCCTGACAAGCAAGTCAGAATCCAGGGAGAGCAGGGCTGAGTAAGAATTACATTCCTGGAGTCACTAGACTTGGGATGAGGGCTCTTCTCCCACCATTAATGTGGAATGGAATGGAAGAGAAGCCAAGCCAGGATTGGGTGATTAGGTTAAAAGACGCCTCCTGGCCAGTGAACCAGAGTCACACCGAGTGGGGAAAGGCGTCTCGATGGCCATCTAATGAGGATGGGGGTCGTGCTGTGGAGGTGATGGAAGTCGAGAAGGTGTCCTGTTCTTCTGGAGTAAACGTTTACAAACCATGGTCTGGAGTAAACGTTTTACAAACATTTGGGAGCATTTTTGATGTCTCAGTGAATGGGGTCGGGGATAATGATCCAAAGATGCTGCATGGTGTTAGGACTGTCCCACACCCAACGGTGCTGCCCCAAAGCCAGTAGCACCCTCTGTGAGAAACACTGGTAGGAAAGGTTTAACGTGTTGAATGGTCAGGAGAATACCCATTTTTAAAACTGTAATTGGCAACTGAGTATAAGGACACCATGACAATAGGTGCTGTAAGGGTTAAACGTGGATCAGAGACAGACTTGAAGGAGGTGCAAGTCTTGCAGAGGAGCTACCCCTGCATGAACATATCCACAACACGAGGTGGAATGCTCTCTGTCCCACAGTGGACTCGGAAATAGCTAAAATGCTGTGAGAGGGGGAGATTCCGTCATGGCAGCCTCAAGAAACCCTGGACAGCCTGTGGTCTTCATGAGTGGGCTGTTCCAGCTTTAGGTGATTGCAGTGAACACACACCCAAAGGTCCCCACCAAATCAGAAAGCCCCTTTAAAAAGTTCTATTTTTGGAAAAAGAATCACAAATTCTCTTGAGCTTCACTTTGAAGATTTTCCTCTTAAAGGTGAGGGAGCCTTTCTTGGGAGAGTTTTATCTCTGAGGGTTTGTTTTCTCACAGAAATCCACCGAAAGGAGAATTCACATTTGATGCTGGGTCCTTCGGGGAGCGACATCTTTACAGCCCTTTTCCCAGACCCCATAGTGGGTACTGAACTCTCTTGGTCCCTCCTGAGGGTGTCCCCACCCTCACGGCCACGAAGCGATGGTGGTGCTTCTCAGTGGACGGTTTGCCTTCACACAGGAGCTGGCATCTCCTCTCCCCTCAGCCTCTCTGCACACCCTGTCTGTGGTACAGCTGTGTGTGAAGGACACCTTTGTGAGAAAAGGGGAAGGGAGTGGCTTAGGCAGGAAACAAGAGAATTCCGGTCTTTGGAAGCTTTGGAGCTCTCCATACGCCCCATCTCCTGAACTCCCTGGCTACTAAAGCCCTGTGGTGCTTGTATGAGGTGGGTGATGTTCTCTCCACTGTACAGGTAGCGGAGGGGCGGCATCCAGGCTGGGACTGGCCCCAGTCGCACTGCCGGCCGGCATCAGAGCCAGGCTTCTGTCCTCCTGTTCTCCAGGTTCATCCTGTACTGGCCTTGATGTCTTTGCAGCCACAGCTCCTCACTCTAGTAATTTCCTTGAGTATGGATCTGTCAGCAGTAAGAGGTTTTCAAATTAGAAGCATTTAAGGTTTTTAGCCCAGCTAAATGATGCTTCAATTATTTCCCCAGTGAAATTGCAAACTCTTAAGGAGAACTAAAGCAAGTGTGTATGCAAATAACCATGGTGTATAATGTGGGCAGTGCCCTCAGACACACGGAAGGAAAGGGCAGGGCAGCTTTAAAGGGGGAGCCCGCACCTGAGCGGGTGGGTCAGCAAAGCCGAAAGAGTCAAAGATGGATGGTGAGCACAGGGACCAAGGGGACTCGGACTCTGTGAGGCCCTTTTTCATATGGTTTCTTCCACCTGATTCTTACCCAAATCCATCTTACCCCAAGATAAGTGTCTATATTTAAAACTTGGGGGCCGAGACAGGAAGAGCCTGGGAGAAATTCAGCCATGCTGGCGTGTGTTAAAACACACATCTGATGGGCAGTTTGTCAGCTCTGGCTCTCTCTTCCCCAGGGTTCCGGCATTAAGTTGTTCAAGTATGGGTCAGGGCTTAGGAGTGTTCTGAATATTTATTGTACATGATCAAATAATTAAAACAATATGTAGCTAGGCAAATAACCTTAAATGTTTCCATTGTTAAAGCCTCCTGTCAGAGATAATCAGCAACTCAATGGGTTTGGTTCACAGTCTTTCCACTACTAGAGGGACAGGAAATAGTTTCTGCTCGGTGAGTAAAGGGCAAAGGGCAGAGCAACCCTTTCCCAGGCCATAAGACAGAGGCCTCGGTGCTCTAAGCGCCCTGCGCCCTTCCTTCTGAAGGGAATCCACATGGACCTGATGAGCAGGGCCTTGTAAAGACTCATGAGCTCTGAGCTGAATACGGGCTCTTGTTCCCTTGTGCCACTACGTGCGTGACACATGGGACCAATTAAAGAGGGAATGGGCATAGAGACAAAGTAGGTTAGTAGTTGCCAGGATCTGTGAAGAGGGGAGAATAGGGCAGAATAGGGTGTGATAGTTGCACAACTTCGCAAATATACTAACAATTATTGTACACTCTAAAGGGGTATATTTTACATTATGTGAGTTATAGCTCAAACTTAATTTTATAACGGTAAGGAGCCATTTTACATAGAGGAAAAAAAAAGGAAAAGGGAGAGATGTCATTTTGGTATTTGCTCTTATACTCACCCCTTCTCTGAGACCCATGGCTGTGTTAGACATCTTCCACCAGACCAGGAAAAGCGTTTGCAAAGGAGCAATGAGGAGGGGGAAAGACAAGGAGCTCAGCCTCCATTTTCCTTCTCATCCCAGGCTGCTGGGAGGAACAAGTCCTCCTAGGAACCCAAGGGCCGCAATGCTGGAAGATCTGGAGCTCTAAGAGAACCTGCTCCAGAGCACGGTGTGCCCGTACTGCCCACCATGCTGCAGCTGAATCCAAAGCTGTATGTGATACTCCACAGCACTCGTTTCTTTTTCTTTCTTTCTTTTCTTTTTTTTTTTTTTTTTTGAGACAAGGTCTCTGTTACTCAGGCTGGAGTGCAGTGGCATGATCTCGGCTCACTGCAGCCTCCACCTCCTGGTTTCAAGTGATTCTCCTGCCTCAGCCTCCTGAGTAGCTGGTACTACAGGCATCCACCACCATGCCCAGCTAATTTTTGTACTTTTAGTAGAGACAGGGTTTCACTATGTTGGCCAGGCTGGTCTTGAACTCCTGACCTCAAGTGATCCACCCGCCTCAGTCTCCCAAAGTGCTGGGATTACAGGTGTGAGCCACCACACCTGGCCAGACTTTTACCTTGTTTCTTTGGACAACATTTTTAAAGGGCCCTCTTAAAAGGCAGAAGTGCTCCAGGAGAAGGGATACAATCCACTTACTCTCTTTTAATATCTCGAAATGAGTGAGTTTACCTGAGTATGAGACGGGAGAGTTCCCTGGCCCCCCATCACAGGGTGTGCTATGGGGGTGTGGCTCTCTGTTTGCTGCTGTAAGCTCAAACCCCTTATGGAATGGGGAGCAGGCAGAAGGGCAGGTGCAGGAACCGGCACAAGCCCTTTTGGGCTCTAGCCCCACAGCAGCATCTAGGGGTGGGAGCCTGCGACTCCTGAAGCCCCAGTGTCACAGTGTGGTTTTAGCTCTGCCGTCGGTGGATGGCTTAAGTGTTAACCAGCTCAGTGCCCACTTGGTACCCAGGCCCTTGTACAGGGTCCTGGAAGAATCAGGTCACACATGGACCTGAAGGATGGTTGCTGGGGGGTGGTTATTGAGTGGTGGAGGTGGCTCTTAGCGGGATGGATGGGGAGCTGGAAGCAGGGGTTAGAGTGGGAAGATGATCTTCCCCTGGAGTTTGGCCATCCAGTGGCCAAACTTCTCTCCCACCACCCCCAGGTGAACTCCTCTCAGTGTTCAGATGCTCTTTCTCTTCTCTCTTTCTGTCGTGCTGTTCTGCCACTGATCTGCTTGTCTCTTTGTCTCCTTGTCTGCCTTTGGAGCCTGGGGTTTGGAGTTTATATGGGTATAGGATAGGGGGTGTGGTGGGCCAAAAGGCAACTTTTTGGTTGCAAAAACAGGAATGCCCATCCTCATTTAGGGCCATGGGTATCCAGGCTTGAGGGTAGGGCCTTTGCCAGGGAACTGTCCTCTTCTGTCCAGTATTTCCCTGTCTCCTGTCCATATCAGGTAGTTGGACAGTCACATAAATTACTTCCACGTGAGGGGTATGGACAGCACATGCCTCGGAAGATGAGAGTGGGTGGGGGGCTGCCTGTACACCTCCACTGAGGACACAGAGAAAGTGGGGATAGGCTGGACTGACTTTCAGAGGGATGTAGAGTGAAAATTCAAAGTCTCCTTAGAGTAGGGATTGTGCTGAGTCACTACATGACTATATGAAGAAGTTGTTGAATACCTCCCAAAAATTGAAAGAAAAATCAGTTTCAGGAGAATGAGCATATGTATGAATCGAGACCACCTTAATGAGAAAGGGACAGACCCTACCTGGAAATAGCAGATTTGCTCATTGGAAAGACTGCATTTGTTTAAGTAGAGATCATTTCAGAGGCCAAGGGGAAAACTTAAGGCTTTCTTTAAAGATTCCCCTCCCACACAGACCAAAACAGCACTCACCTACATAGGTAGGGGTGTTGTAAATGCTCTTAATTATGTGAATTGCTGGACATTTTCTTTACAGTGGGCCTGTATTACTCTAATAATCAGAAGAAAAAAATCATAAGCAAAATCTACTTTGGGGAGAAAAATGGTTCCTTCTATACTGATTAAAACATAAACCATGTTATCTCTCCAGGGGTTAGGATACGGCCACTTGTTATTTGTTAATGTACATATTTCTGCATTTAAAAAGCTGTTTACAATGAGCAGTATTCTATAAGAAAACCAACATTTGAAAATAAAGCTGTGCTCTAGGTAAGGCTCCTGCTTCTGAGGAGTGGAGCACTGCATGCTTGGGCAATATATTAGACTGTTCTCATGCTGCTAATAAAGACATAATCGAGACTGGGTAATTTATAAAGAAAAGGAGCTTTAATGGACTCACAGTTCCACATGGCTGGGGAGGACTCACAGTCATGGCGGAAGACAAAGGAGGAGCAAAGGAACATCTTACATGGCGGCAGGCAAGAGAATGAGAACCAAGTGAAAAGGGAAACCCCTTGTAAAACCACCAGATCTCATGAGACTTATTCACTACCACCAGAACAGTATGGGGGAAACCACACCCATGATTCAGTTATCTCCCACTGGGTACCTCCCTCGACATGTGAGAATTATGGGAGGTACAATTCACGATGAGATTTGGGTGGGGACACAGCCAAACCATATCAGGCATAAACTTCCTGTTTAGTCCTCTAAGAAGTACCTTCAAAACTCACCTTTTTTCCAGCCCTCCAGCCACAATTCCAAGAATCACATTCACAGTGAAATTCTTGGAGGGCACTGGGGAGGACAAAACTCCCCTGGGACTGTTCTTTGCTGCTCTGAGAATGACTTTGTGCCACAGTGTTGACCCCATAGGGAACTGTCTGAGGTCACGCCTGGCTTTTGTGTGGCCAAGAGGCAGGATGTGTCACCTGATGCCCCTTTGCTTTCCCTCCAGGTGGGCCTACCATGACTTTTTCAACCGGTATCGGGTGCTGGTCAAGAAGAGAGAGCTCGCCAACACAGACAAAAAGGCCATCTGCAGGTCTGTCCTGGAGAACCTCATCAAGGTGAGCCACACAGCCCAGCTCCAGGAGAGGCCTGACCAGGTCCCCTAAAGATTGAGGGGGTGGCGTCGTTATCTACATTTTTTTTTTGGTCTTCATCCTTCTTACTGAATCTATTTCTGGGATATTAATCCATTTTCCTACATCAGTGACTAGAAAAAAAAGCAACCCATTCTCCTTATCTAGAGCACTTCCCAACCTTTTTTACAGCTCAGCAGGCATAGAAAATGGAATTCTGTGGCAGCGCTCCTCTCGAGGGCACCAGCTGCAGGGAGTCTGTCCCTTGCAGACCCCTGACCCAGCAATGGATGAATAAAGTATACTGACACACAGATATTCTGCTCTGCCAGTTCAGCTGAGGGTCTGAGCCACTTACAGGCTCCCTGCTGAGTCCTGTAAACAGTTGTGACTGGGCCCTGATCAGACTTGCATTTATTCAGTAAGATTAGTTAACAAAAGCTTGAGTCAACACCACTAGAGGATAATTGACATTGTGGACTTCCCAAGTAAAAACGCACTTACACAACCGTGGTACATCAAAGGTTAGTCTTAAGATTATATGAGTAAACAAGCTATCTAGGTAAACTACTCTGCCTTTCTTTATTACTATTTTCATTTGTTTATCTAGAGGTAAAGGGATCAGGCCACCTTCAGCCAGATCTGTTACCAAAGTTATGCAAACTTCTAGGCCTTCCAAGAAGATTTGTTTCTATAACTATCTCTAACATTTTTCCCACCAGCCTGACTGAACTCCAGCAGAATTCTTTGTACAGCTTGCTTGGGTTTATGATGAGGCTACTGCTAACTGCAAGCTGCCGGCTCAGGATCTCTGGCTTCTCTAGTTCTCAGGGGCTACATAGCACGGCCCATCTGGTACACCTGGGTAAGGGCTCTGATGTGGAGCCCAGGCCTAGCCCTGAAGCCAGCAGAGGGGAAGGTAGCTGCTGCATCTAGCTGGTTGCATCACCAGCCTCAGGCCCTCCCCCAGATACTTGTTTTAAGTAAGGCAATAGATTTTATGTTTTAATTGAAACAATTTGAACTCACACCTGACAGCTGAGACTGGAGAACTATAGAAGCGGAGCTATTGGGGCCTTTTGTGAGGGGCAAATCCTTAAACATTTCCATGGTGCCAGACATTTTGGGGATTACAGCAGAGTATGATCATTAATGGCTCGATAAAGGTTAAATTATATCAAAAATCACTTGAACAAGGTAATAAAAATAATTACCTCAGAAATTTTAATTTTTCAGGTTTTCTGTTCGGAAAATCTATCCATCTGGAGTAGCTCATTGCCAGATGATCAGGATCTAAGGTCATGTTTTATTTTGTAAATGTGTCGCAGCCATCTTCCCAGCATCATCTTAGCTGCTCAAGTCTAGCTATAGACACTGCAGAATATTATAGTAAATGTATGCATAGCTTTAAATTTGCCTTTTTAAAAAGAGAGCCTAAATACTAGCCCACCTTGCCATGCCATCTTTTTTTTTTTTTTAAACAGGGTAAGGGGGTAACAGGCTGGTTAATCAAGGGCTATAGTTAGCTGGACTCCAGTTGATTGAGGTTTTTGCTGTGGTCCACCTATCAGTGTCCACATTTTAACATCTTACTTTTTATGGACAAGAAAAATCTCTGTTAAAGGTCAGCTGATTTCAGGGCCTGCAAGTAGCCCACTCTGCCATGTGGCTGCCTTCTCATTTGTCTAGGATCATAGTTTCCCTCTTCTGTTCCTTCGCTGGATTTCTCCAGGATTACCACCAAGACCTCTGATTCCCAAAGAGGGAACTCTGGAGGGGACCCGGATCAGACTGGCTGAGTCGGCCCCCACACTGGGCTCTCCTCCAGTTAATGGGACCACATGCCACTGCCTGGGGCTGCTGCTGTGATGTGCTCAGGACACTGGGCCTTTCCTGGCACAGCTGCCTCTTCTCTTCACTGACGGGGAGCCTGCCTGCTTCTCAGTGCTCGGCTTCAGTGCAGCTTCTCCCTCCTGCTTCCCATGGTCTAGCATGTGGCACTTCATGTCACTCTTAGAGCCCATAGCATGCTGACCTATGTTCCAGATGTGTTTGTCCTTTTTCGTAGAGGACAGTGTCTTTATGTTTACACCACCTCCTTAGTTATGAGTGCTGAGCCTAATACGCAGGGGGAGCCTACCTAATATTTATGGAACAAATGAAAAAACAAGTGACTTGCCTAAAGAAAAAGTATAGGAATACATGCTGTTTCCTCTGCCTGCAATGCTTTTTCCCCTCTTTTGCCTGCCTGACAAAGTGGTATTCTTCCAAACTGAGCTCTGAAATACCTCCTAGCCTCCCAGATGTTGTTAGCTACTCCATCTTCTATGGGCCAGCAGCACTCACCTCCTCCCTTCCTTTATTGTGTTCATCCCCTTATGTTGTAATTGAGGGCTTGTCATTTCACCAGACTGTGAACACATAAATGACAAGGGTCCTGTTGTGGCTGTGTTCCTAGCACAATTCCTGGTTGTCACAGGAATACATGAGTTGGTGCAGCTGGCTGGGGAACTAGCCAAGAGCTGCTCATGACTAGAAACCTGCCAGTAATGGCTCATCCTATGAGGAATATACAGAAATCACCCTCATTTTACAGATGAGGAAACTGAGGCACAGAAAGCTGATATAAATTGCCCAAGGTTGCCTAGGTGGACTGATTCTAACTCCCGCTGTCTAAACTACATTGCCCTCTGATCCAGTCTGATTGAGTAATGTCACTGAGTGCAGTTATCCTTCCTGGAGACTGAATAGAGACACTAATGCTAAAGATTTCCCTGGGGTCTTCTATTTCCTCCTTTTTATTTTTCTCCTCTTCTTGGGCCACATCTGGACACCCATACTTCTCATGCTGAGTGACCTGGGACTTTGTATCGAGAAACTAAGACTTGACAGAGCTGCGTGTTAACTTAGAGGGGCACATGCCAGTTCCCCACCCTGTCCCAAGCAAGTTCTAAGTACGTTTTAGAACAGAACGATGAGAAGTGGGGACAAAGGTGGCCTGCAGGGCAGGCACCAGGCACTTAAAGACCACCTTCCTGGAGGGGCAGCCTGGGGCTGGGGGCTGCTTCGTTAGGCTGTCAGTGAGGTTTTAATAAATTGTTGTGGTTGTTTAGGGGAGAAAAGTGGATTCTGGTGGCCTCTCCCCTGCAAGGATTTTAGGAATAGCCCCTATCATTCTTAACCTGAATTTGTTTATTCTTTAACTCCACAGATACATACTGAATTCTTTGTACTCTAATCTGGAGGGGTTAGTGTGAGGGTTATAAAAAGAGTGCATTACATGGACCCTACTCTCCAGAATTAATAATAGTCTAATGTAACGATGGCCATAACTGTAGAGGACCACATCACGGAGACTGGCTGTCGTGCAAGCCTGAATCTTCATCACAGTGGCGAAGGAGTGTATTAACAAACATCTGCAGGGAGCCAACGGAGCACAAGGATGTGTGTGAGCACTGTGTAGAGGAGACAGTGTCACGAAAGGGGATGCTGCAGTTGGAGACTTGGGGCCTGGGAGACCCAGATCTGGGGTTATCCTTTGATATTTGCTCAAGTCACCTTGAGCAAGTCACTTCACTACTCTAGGCTTCAGTTTTATCATCTGTGAAGTAAAAGGAGTGGCTTGGAATGGATTGCTAAGTTTGCTTTCAGCCCCTGCAGTCTGACTCTTGGAGAAAGGTTCTCAAAAGATGATTGATCGACTGATCAGTCAACAGTCAGTTCTAAGGGTTAGAGGAAGCAGATCTGGGTGGGAGATGTTCTGGAGACACACAGGGTGAGGACAGTATGGAGATGAGGCTGATGGGTGTCTCAGTGGAGCAGGTGAGACCCTCAGAGAAATCCTTGTTCAGAAAAAGTGGCCTTGCAGAGCATATCATCCCTTCCTGTTTTTTTTCCGAAATAGGGAATGAAGCGCAGGTACTGTTGTTGCTTGGATGCGGTAGACAGCCCCCAGCCTCTGGCTCTGCTTAAGCTGGAGGACCCAGGCTTGTTCCCTGACTCAGGGGCTTAGCTACCGTGCTTTGGCTTCCTAACCCCTCCTGGCTGAGCCATGGAGCCTCCCCAAGCAGGGCAGAGATCAAAGCAGGGCCGTGGCTGCCTCAAAGCTCCCAAGTCCCATCCAGCCCCTGTTCCTCTCAGCATGAGCTGAAGGCCCAGTGGGTGCATGGCTCTGAGCAGACACAGGGAGGAGAGCCAGGCCCAGAGCCCACTCTTGCCAGCTTCACGAGCAGCCTGGCCCAGGCCGGGGACTCAGTCAGTGACACTCAAGCTGGAAGCTCTGCTGCAAGCTCAGCCTTAGCTCAGGCAGGACAGCCTTCCCTGTGTGTGGAACCCGACTCCTAGTAACCCAATAGGGCTTAACCTATGAAGAATGATGATTCAGCATTTTTCAGGGCCATTTGCCAACATGAAATGCAATGTTGTGTGTGTATTTTCCTTGGACTTGGCTCATTCCTTCCTTTCTCATTATGGTCTTCATGCCAGTGAGCAAAATGAGATGGCAGTTGATTTACAAAGAGCTCTGTCATCATGGGTTACTCTCCCAGTGCTCTGTCCCAGGCTTGTCCACAGGAACCCTGCTGGGTTGTCTTTCCTCATCCAAAGGGGTGAGCCCAGGGAAGGGCAACTAATTTTAACCTAATGGATGTAATTAAGACAGTAATTACAGGTCCAAAACAATCTCATAGTTTTATTTGGGGGTTATTTGCATCCTGTAATTATGCATACAACTGTGTGGCCATTTGAGGATAATCTTTTTAAAATGTTGATCAGATCAGGTCATTTCCTTGCTCAAAGCTTGCCTGTGGCTCTCACCCCAATTTTATGCTGCAACCTACGAGGCCTTTGGTGATTGGCTCCTCCCACCAATCACCTTCAGTTCCCCCAGCTAGCCATCCTGGCTCTCCTGATCCTCAGATATACCCAGCAGTTGCACCACTGGACATAGGCATCCACTCTGCCCTTCTCCTGGAACTTTCCTCCTTCCTTCTTTTCTGTGGTTGCCTCCTTCAGCTCATTTAGGTCTTTGCTCAGCTGTCACCTCCACAGAGCTGCCTTCCTTGAGCATCCTTTTTGAACATCCCCATCCCACGCTCACCAGCCACCAGTTTGTTTTCTTCATAATCCTCACCATTCTCTGAAAACGGAAAGCATCTTTATTTGCTTGTCTGTCTGCCCTCACCATGATGTCAGTTCCTTGAGGGCAGGCGTCTTGTTCACTGCCATGTTCTAGAGTCTGGCCCGTAGTAGGGTCTTGGGGTCTGTTAAGCAAATGCTGAGACTTTGTGTCCATCTACAGAGAGGGGTGCATGAAGTCTGGCCAGGGGATTCTGCATGGGAAGAACAAGGGTGGTATGGGCCATGTTATTTCTCTGCTCACTGGTGACCAACCAGATCCCCTCCCTACCTTGTAAAGGACCCCGACAAGTTCCAGTTTGGCCGCACCAAGATCTTCTTTCGAGCAGGCCAGGTGGCCTACCTGGAGAAGCTGCGGGCTGACAAGTTCCGGACAGCCACCATCATGATCCAGAAAACTGTCCGGGGATGGCTGCAGAAGGTGAAATATCACAGGCTGAAGGGGGCTACCTTAACCCTGCAGAGGTACTGCCGGGGACACCTGGCCCGCAGGTGAGCCAGACTGTGGCAGCTCAGGGCAGCAGATCATGGTGGGGAAGATGGGGGTCTGCCTTTCTCAGCTACTTGGCTTCTCTCTTCCTCTGTGCTGAGAGTGGTTCCTGTTGGGGCCATGTCTGCATCTTGGCTTTTCCTCGGCAGCTGGGCCTATCCCTATAATCAATGCCTTCTCACCTCAGGGGGTAGGTCTAGTTTCCACATCTCCTGGTTTCCCCAGGCTCCCTCCATCCTACCAGCATTAGAACCAGCTGGTTTTGCCACAAACCAACCATTTCCCCTTTGCCTGAACCCCAAAGTAAAAAACTAACTCCTTTTAGGAAAAGAGACCAATACAGCCTGGCACAGTTAACCTGTGCTTGGCCTCATTACTTATTCCACAGATTTCATAATGCCTCGGAGTCAGGTGATTAGGGCTGCAAAGGTCCTGGGAGGCCCCTTTTGCGAGTTACTGCACAAGCCAGGATGGAGAGAGAGTGGCTTGTCTAAGCAGGAGTGTTGACCTAGGGGTTGAGTCAGGATGCCAATCAGCCTCCCCTGCCTGCCCCCAGCTCGACCCCGAGCAGAAGAAACTACTGCAGGGTTCCTTCCTCACGGACACTGGGCTGATGAGGCACTACAGCAGCAGGAGTGTGTCAGCCAAGACAGGCTGAAGACAGCCTGCCCTCTGACCCTACCCTCGGTTGTTAGGTTTTGAGCCCAGGCCTGGTTCAAGTCCAGTGCCCTCTCCAGAAAGGAATTTCCTTAGAGAAGTGACAATAATCGCCACAAAGTCTTGTGTTTGGAGGCCAAACAGAGAGCTAGACTAGGGAATCAGATGCATTTCAGCAAACAGGTGACACATGGGCTGAGTGGGTCACTTTCTCCTTTGAGGCTTTGCTGAATGATTTCCAAGGTCTTTTTTAGCATTTCACACTGAGTCTCTAATTGAGCACTTGTTATAGGCCTGGCAGCAAACAAGACCCTTCAGAAGGGGAGGAAGTGTTAGACTGGCTTTATCTGGGAGGTGAGATGGGAAGGCAGAAAGGCAAGAGAGGAGAGGAAATGGCCACATTCCATGCATCCCGAGCAGAAAGGGTTGAGGAGATAAAGGAAACAGAGATTGGTCTGGGCCTGAGAAGGTTTAGTCATTCAGCAAACACTTACCCAGTGCCTACAGTGGGTCCAGGATGATGGAGACACAGCCCCTGGGATCTCCAAGCCTGGGGAGGTACAGAGGACAGGCAGCAATGTGAACACATGATGTAGAATGCTACTGGTGAAGTAGTTGAGGACTGCCCAGGCACAGTGAGGTAGAAGAGTGCTCAGATAAGGATCATAGAGGAAGTCAGACTCTGACTGAGT
The DNA here is from genome assembly GCF_000001405.40 of Homo sapiens. Lineage (NCBI taxonomy): Eukaryota > Metazoa > Chordata > Mammalia > Primates > Hominidae > Homo > Homo sapiens. The sequence continues at coordinate 49,905,071 of NC_000018.10, read as the reverse complement.
TTGAAGCTTGTGGGAAGCCTTTCGAGACCATAAGGAAAGAACTAACACTGCTTTTCTAGCCACAACGTCAAATGCCTAAGGCATTGCTACATTTGTTAGGGGTGAAGAGAGTTGGTTTCCCCTGGGTGTGTCCAGGTAGGGCCACAGAGGGAGAGGTTTGCATTTGCAGATGTCTCAGGGTTCTCTGCATCAGGGCGGTCAATACTCTCTCCCTGACACTGCCTGTTTCCTCTTGCTCCCCAGGCTGGCTGAGCACCTGCGGAGGATCAGAGCGGCTGTGGTGCTCCAGAAACATTACCGCATGCAGAGGGCCCGCCAGGCCTACCAGAGGGTCCGCAGAGCTGCCGTTGTTATCCAGGCCTTCACCCGGGCCATGTTTGTGCGGAGAACCTACCGCCAGGTGAGTAGCCACTCTGAGGGCCTCAGGGCTGCAGATTCAGAACTAAAGTGGCAACAGATGAATTACTGCCAACGTGAACCTCTGTCAAGCACTCCCAACTTTTTTCTAAATGCTTTCACATCTCTGCTCTCACCAAATCCTTTCTGAAGTCCCACAAGGTAGGAAGGGTGTGCATACTGTTGTCTTAGTCCATTAAATGTTGCTATAACAATATCTGAGGCTGGGTGATTTATGAAGAAAAGAGGTTTATTTGGCTCACAATTCTGGTGGCCAGAAAGTTCACAATTGAACATCTGCTTCTGGAGAGGGCCTCAGGCTGCTTCCACTCATGGTGGGAGGTGGAAGCCGGTGTGTGCAGAGGTCGCATGGTGAGAGAGGAAGCACAAGAGTGGCTCTTTTAACAAGCAGCTCTAATGAGAACTAACAGTGAGAAATCACCCTTGAAGAAGGGCATTTATTTGTTCATGAGGGATCTGCCTCTATGACTCAAACATCTCCTGTTAGACTCCATCTCCAACATAGGGGATCAGATTTCAACATGAGTTTTGAAGGGGCCCAGCATCCAATCATGGCAGTTTTCACACCCCTTCTGATACCTGAGTTGCTCAGAGAAGCCAGGTCACCTGCCTGAGGGCCCAGGCCAGCCAACAGCAGGGCCAGGTGACCCACCTAGGGCTCATTCACACTTGAGGGCAGGCGGTGGTATTGGGCATCATCAGGTCTAACTCCTCCACTTAACGGATCAGGAGCTTGAAGCCCAACATGGTGAGGTCAGGAGGGAGGCCCCGACCTCTTCCCTGCCAGGTTCTTGCTCTTTGTGTTGTTCCAGTGAAGCCAAAACCCTTGGGTTCAGGAGCCCCACATCAGGACACATCTGTTCAACCAGGTAACACCAACACATCTGAAGCACAGAGCTGACTTGAAACACGAATTGGAAGGAAATGTCTAAAATGGTTTTCTTTTTCATTAAATGAACATCTGTCTCTTCTATGATCACAGAAGGTGTGATTTTCTAAATAATAAAAGTAAAGCACGAAATTGATAATAATAAAAATGTGGTCAGGGTGGAGCACACCCTGGTGTAGTATGTAGAGAAACCCAGGCCATTGGGAGAAGGTTCTGTGAGTGTTCTTGGGTGATGGGTGGCGTTGGTGTGCTGCTCCCATGGAAGGGGCAGGTGATGTTTGGGAGTTTCTCAGCAGGGGCAGCATGTGCAAAGAGTGAGCACTGATGTGGCTCCCAGCTCTGTCACTCATGGCTGTGGCACTGTTCATTGCTCAGCCTGTTTGCTTGTTTACTCATTTATTCCACAAACATTTATTTTACCAGGTATTAGGGCGAGCACACTGATGATGCTTTCATATCCTGAGTGGTTTTTTAACTTGGTAGAAAAAAAAAAACAGTGAATTACACACCAAGTTTGTAATTATAAGCCATTAGCCTGCTGTGGACACTCACTGAAGTATCTCACTTCCAGCTCAGTGCCACCAGGAGGGGACCTCCACCTGGTAAATGGGTAGAGAGCAAGTGGATGATCATTAGGCCCCTACAACCTTGAGGTTTTCAGACTGTGGTTTCCTAACCCATAAAACAAAAAGTAAAACAAAGCTGAAAAGAGTTTGACAGCTGATTCCCTGTGGATATGTAGGCGCAGAACCTCGCTGAAATGTGTTATAAAACAACCACCAAAGCCTTAGATCTTAGGGGGCACATTGTCTGTGTAACTCCTAGAACCAAGGCTGCCCTGGCCTCTTCCCTCCACAGGCAGTGATGTATGCTTCCTTCACTCCTGTCCTGCAGTGCAAACCCACAAGATGTGTATCCTTGTTTCCCGCCAGGTCCTCATGGAGCACAAGGCCACCACCATCCAGAAGCACGTGCGGGGCTGGATGGCACGCAGGCACTTCCAGCGGCTGCGGGATGCAGCCATTGTCATCCAGTGTGCCTTCCGGATGCTCAAGGCCAGGCGGGAGCTGAAGGCCCTCAGGATTGAGGCCCGCTCAGCAGAGCATCTGAAACGTCTCAACGTGGGCATGGAGAACAAGGTGGTCCAGCTGCAGCGGAAGATCGATGAGCAGGTCAGTGTCTGCAGCTCCCTACCTGGGTGTCGGGGGCTTGGGTACTGGAGCATTTTGAGAGAGCCCACAGCTTCCTTGAGGAACTGCACATGCCGAAGACCCGAGGGAGCACAGACGTCCTCAGACCACAGCAGATACTAACTGTGGCAGGCAGATCAGTGACCCCTAAAGATACCCTCAGCCCTGGGATCTGTGAGTGTGTTACCTTATATGGCAAAAGGGACTTTGCAGATGCAATTAAATTAAGAACTGTAGGATGGGAAGAGTATCCTGGGTGAGCCAGGTGAGCTTGATATAACAGGGGTCCTCCTAAGAGGGAGGCTGGAGGATCAAGTTCAGAGAAGAAGTGATGACAGAATCAGAGGTGGGAGGGATGCAGGCAGCCTTGAGAAGCCAGAGAAGACGAAGACATGGACTCTCCCCTAGAGCGTCCAGAAAGAATGCAGCCGTGCCAACCCCTTCAGACTCCTGACCTCCAGAGCTGTAAGATAATGATTTATGCTATCTTGAGTCATAACTTGGTGGTAACTTGTTGCAGCAGCAATAGGAAACTGACACACTAGCCCAAGGTGCTGGTGTTTTGCCCTTGCAGGGGTGACATAGGGTAATGCAGCAGCAGCTGGTGTGCATGGAGGGCTTGCTGTGTGGGGTATGGGGCTGGCGCTTTGACTGGAGTAGCTTGTCTAATATAGCGGCCCTCCTACGGCAAGTATTACCATCCCCCTTTTTGTACAATTGAAGACACTGGAAGGGCACATGGCATCCTAAAGTCACACAGGTGGCAGTGGCAGGGCCGAGGTTTGAACCCCAGCTGTCTGGCTCCAGAGCCCATGCTCTGCATCACTTTGCCCTTCTGTCTCTCTGTCTGCCTATCTGTCTGTCTGCCTCTTTTGGAAAGAGTGTTTGCTTTGGAAATCAGAATTCAGTTCTTCTGCTTAAAAGTTGAGTGGCTGATGTGACTACTCTGAACCTCTTTTCTTATCCATAAAATGGGGCTGACAGGGCTGAAAGAAGAATAAATGGTCTAATGCATATGCAGGGCCTGGTATGCAGTAGGAGAAACTTGAAAAATGGTTAGCACTCTTATTTTTAAGCTTTGTCCTCTTTCTACCCTGGCCACCTTCCCATGTCAGCCAATCAAAGGGGTAACAAGCCATTGATTAAATATCCCTGTAGGGGGTTGGGTACCGTACAACGTAGTACAAGAGATTCGAGACAAGCACAGAACACTCAGCTTTGTCTAATGGAATAGACGAGGCTCACATGTATGCATGCACAAACCTGGACCCCCACTTTTTGGTGGCCCACATGGCCAGTCCTCCTTCCCTTCAGAAGACCTTTATTGGATGCCTGGCTGTTTCAGGTGCTTTGCTGGCCTTGCTGGACAGAGGATGGCTGTGACGTATGTCGCATGCTGTATCATAAGGGAGGAAATCGCATGCCAACAGGCTGAACAGCATTGATCCTAAGGATTTTCCAAGCACCTGCCATGTGCCAAGCTCTGCGATATGTGTTTTGTGTTCACTCTTATTTGATCTTCATACAATTTTGTGAGATCATTTTGTATATGAGGAAATGGTGGGCCAGGGACATCAAGTCCCTTGCCAAAGTCACATAAATAGAAAGTGCTGGGACCAGGATCCTACCCGAGCTCTGATCCCACAGCCATAATGGGGGCATTGCGGGTTTTTTAACCCCAAACATTACTGAAGGGTTTCAGTCCTTTCCCGTGCATGCCTACTGCTGCGTTTGGCTCCCAGAGTTGAATGGAGGCCCACTGTTACTTTGTCCATGCAGGGTGTAGAGGTGGCCACAGAACCAGGCTTCTGAGGTGCCCCAGAGGGTGCCTCCTAGGGAAGGAAAGGACATGAAGAGTGTGTGTGGCATGGAGAAACAGAATTTTAGAGTGGGTATGGCTTTGTAAGTCATTGGGATTTAATGTATCTATTCTATACTGGGCATTTTTAAAGCTTCTCATGACCCAGTAGGGCAGGAAAAAAGCATTTTACACCTAAGCCAGCTGCCCTGAACAGGAGCCCAAAAGTGGTGCAGAGATAGCAATAGAATGCCTCTGTTTCCGTGCTCTTGCAAAAGACAAGGCTTTCTGAGAAGAGACTGTCACTGGGTGTTTCTCTGTGTTAGTTCTACAGGGTGCCTTGTTTGGCTTGGCTCCTTACTGGGGAAGCAAAGCAGAGAGCCCAGGCACAGGGTGGGCACAGGGCTTGTGCCTGCCCCTGGTCAGCCTGCTGTGATACACCAGGTCAGGGAGGAGGGCACATCCACTCAGAGGGAAAAGAGTGCAAAGGAAAAGGTCTGCTGTCTGGCACTGGCCCTTTGAAAAACACAAGCACAAAGCATGCCAAGGTGGCAGTGGCTATTGTGGCTGTTGACAGGAAGAAAAGACTTGCTTAGTCAAATGTTGTGAGTTAACCTTCCAGCCAGAGTGCAGTCTCAGGGATGAGTAGGCATTGACCGCTGCACCCTGCTGGGAGCCCTGTGTACATGCTGGCTCCCCCAGGCCTTGCTTTCCAGCCTTGGGGCTCTGCATTGGCATTGCTGATTTCTAAAGTTAACTTGAGAGGATAAAAATAAATCTAGCATTTTACAATCCACGTGCTTGAAAAATCAAAGAAAAGCAGATTTAAATGGCCTATTTAAAAAAAAAATAAAAAAAGCTTTTTGCCTTAAGCTTCCTGCTTGGCAAACATCTGTGAGTGGTGGCAGGTGTTAGCTACCCTGGGCAGGATGCCCTGTGTGTAGAGGGTGATCAGAAAAGACGGGAGGAGTGGATAAGCTCTTGCTTTCTTGTGCCCTTGCCTGCACTACCTGACTAGGCACGCTGTGCTCTTCTCACGTATTAACTCATTTAATCCCCACCAGAACCCTAGGAGATAAACATTAATATTATTCCCATTTTAAGGATGAAGAAACTGAGGCACACAGAGGTTAAGTAGCTTGACTGAGGTCACACAGCTAGTAAGTAGCATGGCTGGGATTGAAACCTGTCAGGCTGGTTTCAGGGTATGTTCTGCCACCTCTGACCAAGCTATAAGATATTTAGCTATTGGGAGACTCTTGGAACATGTCAGGAGAACTCCTCAGTCCAAGGGAGACTCTTAGCCTTAGTTTGGGTTCATGCTCATACAGATAGCATTGTCCTTGCTTGGGACCGGCTGGCATTTAAAGTGGGGAGTGTGACCCAGTGTCAAATAACATGCTTGACACTCTGTTACAAGAGGAAGCATTGACATAATCTCCATTAGAGCTCTATATAGGGGCTTGTTTCATTGCAATCTCTTAGCAGATGGGGCCAGCTGTTTGCAAGTGAATTTTTTTTTTCCTATAATTCCTGGAGACAACTTAGGCAGTGGTCCTCTGGTCACACAAGGTTTCTAAGCCAGAAGGGGAGGATCTGCGAACACCAAGGACACCACAGGTGAAGGTGTCCCAAGGTATTTGTGAGAACAGCATAGGGAGTAGACAGAGTGCCCACTGGACAGAGGCCTGGGTTCTGTCTCAGTTGTATTCACAACCAGAGCTGATAGCTTGGAAATGATTGGGGCTTTAGTTCTTCCAAGGGGATTCGCCTGAGATCTCTAAGGTAACATCTAGCTCAAAAATTCACTGATAACCATGATCTGGCTAGAGTAGGGTTCCTATCCCCAGACTGTGCTCTAGAATCCCCTGGGGAGCTTTTTTCTAAAAATGTATCCTCACTGCCAAGAAGTCAGTAAGGGAGGAAACAAAGATAAAACCAGGGTAAGGCTAGCACCCAACATTCATATCCTAAGGCCTTGTACACCCACCTGGAAAGAAAAGATGCAAATTTGGCACCAAGTTTCTATGCAAACAGTAACAGGAAGAAAACTGAGTGGCTTGAGAGTTCTTAATAGAAAAGAACCATGCAGTTCAAGAGGATTTGGAGCTGTCCGTGGTGCTGACTTGTTTTTCCTGTGGGCTTTCATAATCTGTGACGTGACAAGCCACATCCTTCACCATATCCTACGGTGATATATACAATGCTGGTTCTTGAGACCATTTCTTGCAGTGTCCCTGGGATAGGCTGTGGTATGACGTCATTCAGTAAAACGATGTAGTCCGTGAACTCGGCTCTCTGCCAGCCTAACTTTAGTCAAGCACACATTTAGAGTTGGCCAGTTTAACTTACAATTTATTTATAATGAGAGTAAAGTTCCTTAGACACTTATGAATATAAGGTTATCCTTAAATATATTTTATATGAGAAATATGACACAAATATATGGAGTCAGTAGCCTTTTAAATCAATTTGATTCCATATACTTAGTAGTCACTTTGTAAATATGTTAAATTCGTTATATGTAATCATGCATATATGTCATATACAGTCATGCATCTGTTAATGACAGGGGTACCTTATGAGAAATGCATCGTTAGGTGAGTTTGTAGTTGTGTGAACATCATAGATTTCGCTTACACAAACCTAGATGGTGTAGCCTGCTACACACCTAGGCTATGTGGCATAGCCTATTGTTCCTAGGCTACAAACCTGTACAGCATGTTACTGTACTGAATATCATAGGCAGGTGTAACACAATGATATTTGTGTATCTAAACGTATCTAAACATAGAGAAGGGATAATAAAAATATGGTGTAAAAGATGGCACACCCGTATAGGGCACTTACCATGAATGGGGCTTGCAGGCCTGGAAGATGTGTAGGGTGAGTGAATGTGAAGGTCCAGGACATTACTTTCCACTCCTGTAGACTTTATAAACTGTCCACTCCTATCGACTTTATAAACTGTCCACTCCTGTAGACTTTATAAGCCGTACACTTAGGCTACACTAAGCTTACTAGAAAATTGCTTTTCTTCAATAATTAACCTTGGAGTACTGTAATATTTTTACTTTATAAATAATACTTTTAACTTGTGGCTTCTTTGTAATAAGGCTTAGCTTAAAACACAAACATGTACAACTCTACAAAAATTTTTTATTTCTTGATATCCTTATTCTGTAAGCTTTTTTCTATTTTTAAAATTTATTTTTGGGGTATCCCATTCTTCATGATGTGCTTATTTCACATTGCATATCTATCAAAACATTTTATATACCCCATACATATACACACCTACTATGTACCCAGGAAAATTAAAAATTAAGTTTAAAAATTTTTTTTTACTTTTTTTTGTTAAAAACTAAGACACGGATACATTCATTAGCCTAGACACACACAAGGTCAGGATCGTCAGTATCACTGCCTTCCACCTCCATATCTTGTTCCACTGGAAGGTCTTCAGGGCAGTAACATGGCAGGGAGGGTTTCTGGGGTCTCCGAGGGTGTGGGCACCCCATGCCCTGCCCTCTGCCAGGCTTGGCTGCATGGCTGTGACACCTGCAGGTGCAAGGACGAGCCTTCTGGGGCCTGTCCTTCTGAAGTCAGATGTCCAGAACAGAAAATGCACCGCCTCCACAAGCCCCCAGTGACAATATCTGGATGCCCATGAAAAGACATAGGAGCTCCCCACCCACACCCCAGACAGCCAGAGACTCGGGCAACTCTCCAGGGTTCTCCATAGAGAACTTGAACAAGGAAGATAGCTGATGTTTACTGAGCCCCTAGCAAAGTACTTTATCTCCCTAATCTTGATAACCACCCTCTGAGGCAGGAGTTACTATTATATTCCTGTTTTACACATGAGGACACTGGGGCACAGAAAGGTTGGTTGATTAGGTTGGATGTACACAGCTGATCAAGGATAGAGCTGGGATCTGAGCACATGTCTGTCCAGCTCCAGCCACTCAACTCCCTGACATCCCTGAGCCAGGTCTCAGGCGGTGTCAAGATCAATGCAGCTGGGCCTCCTGGATACATCATACTTCGCATTAGAGTCCTGAGGTGCCATCTTTGTCAATAGCAGGATAGGATGTGCCTCCTGTTACCATGCGTGCCTCTCTTCATACTCCAACAAGCTCTACCTAGAGACCTCCTGCCTAGTTATCCTTCCACTCCTAGTGATTTGACCCAGGCTGTGCCATCTAGAGAGAGCAGCTGGGCCAAACCTCATGTCCAGCCCAGAGCAGAGATGAAGTCAGAGGGTGGCTACTCCAGCATGTGTTCCCTCCCTGTGCCCTACTCCTCTGTGCAGAGACCCTCAGCCTCCAGTGGAGACCCAGACTGGAGTGGATAATACAGACGTGCATTCGGTGTTCAAATAGAATCTGCTTGATTGGATTTCTTCTTTGTGATGCCTTAGATCAAGGCTGCAGGCAGACCAGGCTTGAAGGTGTGTCAGGTTGTAACTGGGAGGTTCCCACAGAGTGCTGGGGAGCGGGTAGCATGTCTCATTCTGTTGTGTTGGTGCAGGAAATGGACTGGTGGCTTGTGCATTGCCGTACTGGTCACAACCACAAGGCCCCACAGCATCTGTGGCATTTTACAGGGTCCAAGGGCTTTTCTTTTGCTGCTCTTCACTGTTTTCTGTGAAGTTTAATTTCTTATGTGAATTAGTCATTGATTCCTGATGCTCCAGCTTATCGGTGATTTGGCCGCTAGCTCTGTTCTGCCTGGCGCTCCTACAGACCAGAGCAATGAAGAATAATCAATGACCATTGTTGCCTGCTTGATGATTTGGAGAGCCCTATTTCTTCCTCTCCACTTTCCTCACTGACCACTCTTAGCTAATGCCCTCAACTCTTGCGGTGCTGATTTCTTCCCATAATTTGCAGTAGCACTTGATACCAGCAATAGCTTCTTAGGGCTCTGGGCCCATGGGGGCTGTTTCACACCTGTGTGTTGCCTGAGTGGGCTGGGATTGAGTATCCCATCTGCAGGAGCATGGTTTGGGCAGGGTGGGTCAGGGCATCAGTTCCCTGAGTCTTAGAGTCTTATGGGGCAAGCCATGGCTGACAGGGGTGAGAGAGATTCCAAGACCCCATGGAGGGCCTCCTTGGAAGAGAGGATGCTGAAGGGGTCCTTTGTCTCAAAGCCAGCGATTAGATTGCAACTCTTTGTGCTGGCAAGTCCACAGGCAGGAGGGCTCTGTATGAAAGAGCAAAGAAACCTAAAAAGTGAAGGCTGCAAACCCAGAGAGCCAGCTTCTTTGTTTCTGCAACTTAAAAATAAGGTATAGGATCCACCCAGCCATAAAGCCACCTGCTACCAGGCAGCTTCCAGCTCTGCACATGCTCACGAAAGCTCCTTGAGCTCTTTGAATGTCAGTGTTGCTGTTCTTTGTTTTCCTCTATTTCTGTAAGTTTACATTAGTGTTTTGTTAGGGAGATGCCAGGCAAGCACTTGAGCATGCAATGATTGTGAGACTTAATCCTACCTTGGAAGTTCCTTTTTTGATTGCCTTCATGCTTTTTCCCTGGTAAAATAACCTTTTCTTCCCCCACTTCTTCTCCCTTCTCCTTGTTTGCTGATGTTCTCCACAGAACAAAGAGTTCAAGACACTTTCAGAGCAGTTGTCCGTGACCACCTCAACATACACCATGGAGGTAGAGCGGCTGAAGAAGGAGCTGGTGCACTACCAGCAGAGCCCAGGTGAGGACACCAGCCTCAGGCTGCAGGAGGAGGTGGAGAGCCTGCGCACAGAGCTGCAGAGGGCCCACTCGGAGCGCAAGATCTTGGAGGACGCCCACAGCAGGGAGAAAGATGAGCTGAGGAAGGTATGCTCAGGCCAGAGGGGCAGGCGCTGGCAAGCAGAGTGGGTGGGCACACGGAGCCACCTCTCAGAGAGCACTGCTGCTTCAAGTGGTAAAATTGCCATGGTCTTGGGCTCATGTGCACAGACTGACCATTCATCTGTGTCTAGACAGAAAGTGGCATGCTTTGGGGAAACCCACACAAGCATGACTGCGCTTCTGCTGTTAGCTGGACACTATGGCATCCCCTGGGAGGGGCACATGGTGTCTGCCTGTGAGCATTGTTTTTATGGTCTAGAATTAGGCCCAGGGCTGGCTCTGTGGCCCGCATCCTTGTTGGCAAGAAAGCCGTGACAGAGGCTGGGGCTGATCTTGATGCTGCCTGCAGGGGAGGGCAGCTTCTGGGCACCCTTGCCCATGATGCAGCACTGTGCTTTGGTGGAGGTGCCTCACCTTTGAACACTTAAAGTCTCAGCCTGTCACACCCACCCTGGTGGGCTTATTTCTTACACCATGAAATAGAACTTCCTGAGCTTTGCCCCAAACCTGAGCATCAGGGCATAGAGATTCCCTGCTCCACTGCCAAGATAACTGTTCCAGCCAGGGAAGTCCCAAGGGCCCCTGGAGACCCCCCCACAGACTTGGGTCATTGCTGTTCTGCCTCCCACCACCGCCCCCCCTCCCACCACCATCTCTACAAGCCACAAGGGAAATAGCATGTTGCCCGCTTTTTCAGTGTTTGTCCATCAATGGGGAGTTGCAGTGGATGGGGATCTAAGAGGGAGAGATCCAGTGTTCAGGGTGTTGGAGTAACAACTTCAAAATTGGGGCAGGCTGGATGCTGCTGCAGGAAGGGCCCTGCGGTAGACCTTGGAGTCCCCAGATTCCCATCCCCACTCTGCCATTCCCAAGCATGTGCAGAAAGCCTCACTGGCCTTAGTTCCCTCATCTGTGTGTATATTTATAAAAGTTGGTTCAGATCATCTCCAAGGCCCCTTCTAGACTTGCACCTGGCTGCCACCATGAGATTGTGTTTGGCTTCTGGAAGGAGCAGAGGCCCTTGGCCCTACGTGGGAGTCCTTCTCTCTTCTATTTCCCACTGCCTTTTCCTGGCCTGAGCCTTCACATGCAGCTGAGGAACACACAGACATCCGTGGAGGTTATAGAGCCTACAGTGCCAGCATGTGCTGGGCTTGCATAGATCTTCTTCCCACCTCGGGCCTCAGCACCATCAGCTCCTGCCTTCACCCAGACCCCAGGGATCTCCAGGGGCCAGAGGTGGGATCCAGGTGTGGAGATTAAGGGAAGAAGAAAGTAAGACGCAGGCTTCCCATAAAAGGCCACACTCCTGATGTGCTGCTTTGAGGGCCCTCTGCCCACAGGACCCTCTGCCCAGATAAGTCACCTGCCAGCCTGCCCACCATGAGACATGAAGTGGATTCATTCTTTGGGAGAAAGCACGTGGTGCTTGGAAACTCCTGTTAAATGTGTCTACAAGTCTTGTAACCTACAAATCATGGAATACCACACTTGTGGTTTGTCTACCCTTGGGAGCAGATGAATGGGATGGTGACCTTTCTACATGAATAAAAACCAGAAGGTGAGGTCCAAAGCCAGAAAGGATCAAGAATAGAACTGGAAACTCCTGAGACTAGTGACCCTGGGAGAAAAAACATTCCCTGCATGTGTGTCCCAGTCAGATGAGACATCTGCAAAGTCTGTTTACCCAGCAGATCCACAAAATCAGGTCTCACCTATCTCTGTCCCAACAGATAGCACTTGACTCATCAGCTTCCCAGCCCCGCGTCCCTGCTTCCTGCTAAATGCTACAACTTGGGGACTTCAGCACTCTAAACACCCAAGTCTCCATCAAAGGGAGTGCATAAGAGTTTATAATATGAAAATCTTCATTGGAGGAGCAAAACAGAGAAGCAGACTCCCTCCTCCTCTCCTTAAGAAATGTTGCTACTCTTCCCTAGCAATGATATGCTGACCTAGGTCTTAAAGAAAATTAGAGCTTGGAATTGGTAACAAAAAATTAAGGACGCTGCAAGGAGGGGAACGCTAGGAGCAGAGTAGTGCAAAAGCCCCTTCCCTACCCCAAATGTAAGCAAATTCCAACTTAGAAACACTCAGAAACCAACAGGAGATGACTCATGAAGTGGCATGTCCACCTCTTTCCTGGAAAAGAAAAAGTGGAAGCAAACATTCTTTAGAATCTTCAGAATCTTTTTGTTGTGGTGGTTGGAGGTAGGTAGATGAGCTGGCTGGCTTTTTTTTGTTTTGTCTTCTGTGCCTCCTCAGGGTATAATATTTATCAAAGGCACTGTGTCAATTTCAATAAATGCTGAGTAATCAGACAATTGGTTTCCTCCAAGGCTTGAGCAGGGGCCTGCTCTGCTTTGAGCGAGATTGATGAGACCAGCCAAGCACAGTGAGGGGGCCGACTGCTAGTAGATGTTTAATGAGTTTGATATTTCCATCAGCAAAGGCAGCGAGTGTCGTATTGGAACTGCTATGCTGGAAAACTCTGGGCTTGCCATCTCTGACGATATTAATTGGTGGGCCACGTGGCTGCCCTGCCTTGGCCTGTGGGAGGCCAAGTCTCCCCGAGGGCAGGAATTCATCTCTCTGTCCACAGAGTCCAGAGCAGCTCTGTCGCATAGGTTAGATGACATCCTTTTCTACTAAAGGTATCTGTTGTTTTGGCGCTTCCACGGGGTAGTCCACACCCAGGCCCTTAGCCTCCTTCCCTTTTAGCCTGTGCATTGTGTACATTTCGTTCTTTTTGAAAGCTTCAGCGATCCCTATGCCGGCTGCTTTTGTACAGCTGTGCTGTTTTGCATGGCTGCTCTGTTTGGTGAAAGAGAGGTGGCCCCCAGGGCTGCCCTAGGCACAGAGGTGACAGCTCATTATTCAGAATCTGCTCTGAAGGCTGCTCAATGGGACCAGAGCAAGGCTTACTTGGTGCAGGGCTGTGGTGGGTGAGGAGGAACCACCCACAGCCAGGTGCCTGGCTCTCAGAGGGGGTCCCTGGTCCTTGTGAGAGATGACTAGCAGGCCCCCAGGCACTGAACATTCGGACTAGTGGGGCTGGGTTGTGCATTGTATCAAGACATCAGTCATAGAACCACTAGCCACTAGTTGATTGCCTTGGGTAGTTCAAGTTATAAAGGTTTTGATTTCTCCAAATAGAGGTAGAGAGATCTGGCTTGGGGAATGGGGGCTCTCATAGCAGAGTGTGTTGAGCCTTCTCCCCAAAGGTGTGGAGCAGAGCTACTTTGACCAGCCAAGAGGGGGTTGTGCTCTCAGCAGCACCAGGACTCATGGTTCATGTGGAGGCTGAGGATTATTAGGAAGGGGACACTGACCCATCTCTGGAAGGACGTTGTCTTGCTGCAGAAAGCACAGAAGCTCATGGTCCTTCATTCAGCAGGTGTTTGAATGCCTGTATGTGTTAGACCCTGTTCTACACACTGGGGCAAAAGGTGAATGGTGTTTGAAAAAACCCTTCTCGTTCTTAAGGAGCTTAAATGTGTGGGGATGGGGGAAGAAAGTACAGAGAGGAATCTAACGTGAATTACCCCCCAAGGGCTACAAACAACAATGAAGCAGAGTAAAGGGGATGGAGGGTGACCTGTGGGGGCCTGAGGGGTATGATTTCACTTTTGATGGCCACAGAAGGTCTTTCTGAGAAGACATCTGAGTAAGGGGAGAAGATAAGCCAAGGCGATTTGGGGATAACAGGTGACAGGTGTGGCACACGTGCACAGGCCTTGGGGCATGAGTAGGCTGGGTGGGTGTGAGGACCAATGAGGTGCTCACTGGGCTCAGGTGGAGTAAGTGAGGAGGCAAACAGCAGGAGCACAGTGCGGCCAGGTCAGGAAGGATCTTCTGACTTCAAGCGCGGCCTTGACCCATGAAACCTCCAGAGAGATGAGCAACTCTGTCCTAGGCACTTCAGCTTCTGTGAGCTTAGGGGTGAGAGAGGAATTAAAACACATCTGCAGGACCATTTTGAAGATATTTTAGCCATTGTTTCAAAGTTGTCTTACTATCCAAGGGATGTTGATTTTCAACTTTTGCTTTAATCACTACTTTAAAAAACAAATTTATACTATGCTTACTTAGAAGAACATTCTCAGAAAATGGTCAAATAAACACTTCAAGATTTTGCAGAATTAAAGGTATTGTCCCTACCTAGGGCTGTGCCTGTAAATGTGGTAACTGCACAGCATCAAGGACAGATGGCAGAGGAACCTTTTCTGATTGGCATTGTCCAACCAGTTTTCCCATGTTTGCTACTAGAAACCTTGCGCTGGGTCTTCTTATAGTACTAATATCCCTCTTGAAAACATAAGACAAAACAAAGCCCCTAGCTACATTTGTATCCCCAAAGACAAACTAGTAAAGACAGTTCTTTAGCATGTTGCTGGGGCATTTACTTAACTTAATATAGGTACTGTATTAGCCTCATAGATACAGGATTTTCCTCCAGTGTTGATTCTGATAAGCTGTCCCAAATAAGCTTTTAGAAGAAACACTGAGTAATGTTGCCTGCAAGAGTTAAGACTAACCACTCCCCCAGTCCAAAAAAAGGAGCTGCTGAATGGTGTTGAATGAGTCCTGAAACCTAAGGTGTTATTTATCATGCTCAGGGGATGCAGCCACCTGTTTTATGTTGTTAAAGCATCTCCCACTGCACCCTGCAGCCCTGACACCACAAAGTGGGGGCCATTTGGCTGCAGAAGTTTGTTACCTGCTGTGTCTGCCAACAGCTGTGTTAGCTGGCTGGGAAGACTGGGGTTGGCTGGTACCTGGAGAAATATGATCAAGGAAGCATTCTCTCACCCACCTGGGGTGTGGAGCTGAGTGTGGGATTGGTCCTTTCCTGCTGTTCATGAAAGATCAGGAACATGGGCCTACCTCCAAAATTGTTTAGGCAAGCAAGAAAAGTAAATCCCCCTGAGGCCACTTTAATGTATGGCTTAGAATAATAAAGCCAAGTCAGAGACCTGCATTCATGAATCAAAGAGGGAGACAGAGGGAAGCAACAAGCCTCAAAACAATAGGAGGTGTAGGTGGCATACATGCTGTTAACCATGGCACTCCCAGACTGTAGCCTTGGCTCAGGTTTTAGATCATAGGTTGTTGCAATGAAGTCACATGTTCTTAGGTGGCATTCATAGGACTGGAGATTTCAGGACCCACTTGGTGATGATGTCATGCGCTCTGTGCTGGTCAGATGGCATGTTCCATTTCAGAGGGATATTGACTGTGTGTAGGATGCTCAAAGGATGGCGAGGGGTCTTGGTCTTCTCAGGTGACCTACTGCTCTGTGAGCCATCTAGATATTAGGAGAATGTTAAGGAGAAGCAAAGTTTTGCTCCATGGTAAGGTCTGGTTACTTCACAGCCTGCTGTAAAACCTACCAGTAGTTGACTGATTCAGAGGGTACAGCCTTGTTCCTGGCAGGATGGGGCAAGACCCCTGCCTTCCTAACTGTGACATAGATCATGCTTCATTGCACCACCCTAGGCTTTATTCTGTAGAAGTACATACCATGTGGTTTCTCCTGTTGGGTTGTTTTCAGTTTGATTTTACTTGTATGTCTAGAAAAGTGAAATCTATTTTGATAATTTGCCAACCTAATTTAAAGGTGCTCCTGAAGTCATTGAGTGAACTGCCTCCAGCAATAGCAAATTAGATGCATTTGAAGAGTGTTTTCCTACATTGTATGTGCTGCCTAAATTGAATTATTTGATTAAACAAGCTCATGTATTCTAGATATTTTGGTCAACTATAAACACATTTATTTAAAAAAACAATTTTAAAGGGAGCCCTTAGTTGTGACTGAGGGAATGCAGGCTCCTTAACTTGGTCTGCAGGGCCCTTCTATTCATTTGATAAGCTTTCAGGTGCTGGCGGTGGCCTGGGTTCTGAGGGTGTGATAGTCTGGCGATATAATCCCTAGGTCCACGTTGAGGACTCTGGTCCAGGCTGAGCAGGCAGGTGTATGAGGAAGCATTGCTGTCCCACAGGCTCTGGAGGGATGTGCAGGCCCTGTCAGAGCAGGACACCAAGCGTGGGGGCAACCCCACCACCCCGTGTGGTACAGGAATGTTTCCCAGGAGAGTGCCGGTCAAGAGCTAATAATGAGAAGAAAGTAACCAGTAAAGAATGGGAACGACAGAGCCTGTCAGAAGGAACAGTGAAACATTCAGGCAGATCCTGGAGGGCGGGAAGAGGCTGGGGAGAGGAGCTGGGCCCACCCAGGTCGAGTTAGGAGAATAAGAGGAGTTCAGTGTTTCCTGAGGACAAAGGAAGAGAAGCCATTCACAAGCTGATTCTTCCTCCCTCTACCTACCCAGCCTTGACTTTTCTCAGTGCCCGTGCTGCAACCACACGTTTTGGCAACGTAGAACTCTTCACATTCCCAAACCCGTGCCCTTCCTCCTCCCAGACCTTTAGGCACTTGTTCTTCCCACCTAGAATGGCCCTCAGCTGCCTGAGACATCCCACTTGCAGGCCTAATCCAGATGACCCCCACCTCTTGTGAAGCCTTCATGGACCCTGAGGCTACCTTCTTTTCCTTCTGAATCACCTTATTGTAGTGATTCTCAATCGGGGTGATTTTGCCATTAGGGGACGTATGGCAGTGCCTGGAGACATTCTGGTTTTCACAAATTGAAGGTGAGAGGAGGGTGTGTTGTATTAGCATCTAGTGGGTAGAAGCCAGGGATGCTGCTGAACACCCAGTAATGCACAGGAGAGTCCCTTACTCCCCCAAGAAAGAATTGTCCAGCCCAGAATGTTGACAGTGTCAAGGCTGAAAAACTTTGCTTTATAGGAAGCTGCTACAGCCCTTATTGATATCATTACTATGTATGCACCTGTCCCTCATCCCTGCCAGGCTGGACACTCTCTGAGGGCAACTACTATATTAGACTGTTCTTGCGTTACTATAAAGAAACACCTGGGCTGGGTGTGGTGGCTCATGTCTGTAATCCCAGCACTTTGGGAGGCTGAGGTGGGTGGATCACAAGGTCAGGAGTTCCAGACTAGCTTGGCCAATATGATGAAACACGTCTCTACTAAAAATACAACAAAAAAAAAATTAGCCGGGCTTGGTGGTGCATGCCTGTAATCGCAGCTACTCAGGAGGCTGAGGCAGGAGAATTGCTTGAACTCGGGAGGCAGAGGTTGCTGTGAGCTGAGATCGCGCCACTGCAATCCAGTCTGGGTGACAGAGGGAGACTCCATCTCAAAAAACAAAAGAAACACCTGTGGCTGCATAATTTATAAGTAAAAATGTCTAATTGACTCACAGTTCTATAGTCTGTACAGGAAGTGTAGTGCTGGCATCTGTCCTGATGAGGGCCTCAGGGAGCTTCCAGCCATGGCAAAAGTTGAAGGGGGAGCAGGCATCACATGGCGATAGTGGGAGCAAGAGAGAGCGGGGAGGTGCCACATGTTTTTAAACAACCAGATCTCACGTGAACTCAGTGAGAACTTATCCCTCACTGAGTTCACGCTAGGGCAATGAAAACGTTGCTTCCCCTTAACATCCTCCTAATATCTAGATGGCTCACAGAGCAGTAGGTCACCTGAGAAGATCAAGACCCCTTGCCATCCTTTGAGCATCCTACACACAGTCAATATCCCTCTGAAATGGAACGTGCCATCTGACCAGCACAGAGTGCATGACATCATCACCAAGTGGGTCCTGAAATCTCCAGTCCTATGAATGCCACCTAAGAACATGTGACTTCATTGCAACAACCTATGATCTAAAACCTGAGCCAAGACTACAGTCTGAGAGTGCTGTGGTTAACAGCATGTATGCCACCTACACCTTCTATTGTGAACTCAGTGAGGGATGAGTTCACCAAGGGGATGGTGCTACAGCATTCATGAGGGATCCACCCCCATGACCCAGTCACCTCTCACCAGGCCCCACCTCCAACATTAGGAATCACATTTCAACACGAGATTTGGAGGAAATGAACGTCCAAACCATATCAACTACCATGAGTCAGTCTATCTCATTTGGTATCCCCCAGCCCTGGCAAGGCTCCTGGTATAGAGGTGTATCAGGAAATGTGTGATGGATGAGTGACAGCCTTGCCCTGTGTCATACTAGGGGCCAGAACTAGGCTTGGTGAGTGGGTGCCTCTACGGATAAAACGTCGTCACTCTCGGTCGGTGCTTCTTCTTCTGTACCTTGCCCTCAACACCAGGTCACATTTTAGCCTCTGAAGACATACAACATCTGTTGCATTAATTATTATAGGCAATAAATATTATAGGCAATAAATGTTATTTGGCAAAATAAATTGCCAAAGAATAATAACTTGGTATAATTAGTTTGATGCATGTATATTTTTATCACCTTTATCTGATTTGACCTCCTGTTGGGCAGAAAGCCAACCCCTTTGCCTGACTCTCCATACCGAGAGTCCCTGACTGTGCTTATCATTTACTTGTGGGGTGAGGAGTTCTGCTGGATATAAAGACATAAGACCAGCAGCTCTCAACCTCTAGAGCCTCAGAATTACCTGGACAACTTTTGAAAACATGCTTGTCAGAGCCTCCTTCTTGTAACTCATGGAAGCCCATCTACAGATAAACGGATGAGACAAACTGAGTCTGCTTGAATTGAAGGGAAAGAAAGATTGAAAAACTCCTTAAATTTGAAGGGGTTCTAGACTGTTAAAAGTGTTGGTCAGGTGCCGGTGGCTCATATCTGTAAACCCAGCTACTTTGGGAGGCCAAGGTGGGCAAATCACTTGAGCCCAAGAGTTCAAGACCAACCTGGCCAACATGGCAAAACCCCGTCTATACTAAAAATACAAAAATTAGCCGGGCATGTTGGCAGGCACCTGTAGTCCTAGCTACTCAGGAGGCTGAGGTGGGAGGATCACCAGAGCCTGGGGAGGTCGAGGCTGCAGTGAACCGAGATCTCACCACAGCACTCCAGCTTGGGTAACAGGGTGAGACCTTGTCTCAAAAAAAAGGGTGTTAACAAAGTGCTTGGATCTTTTTGCAAGCCCTTAATAGTATTGTATTGTGTATCCTACTTTTCTCTATGGGCCCTTAAAGGACAAACCTAATGTAAGGCCACTACAGACCCATCAGCAGCTCCCCAGAGTAGCTGAGGCACCTTTAAGTGAGAGTCGCTGCCTTCTGAGTTCCTGGGGTGGGGAGAGCCAGTGACCCCAATCCTTAGCTCCAGTGTGTTGCCATTTTTTCCTGCCCCTTTCTACCTGATGCCGAGGGTGGGGCAGCTCCTCCCTTATTAACTCACCTCTTGGTGCCTTGAGCTTAATTTACAGCCAGGAGAGGAAGGAAAGTTGGCATTTAAGCATTGTAACCAGTTGAAATTCAAACCTCATGCATTTGGAGGAAATGAACGTCCAAACCATATCAATTTAGGCTTCTGCTGGTTTAGTCCATATCCCTAGGGCCACCTCTCTGGGTTTTAATGCCATGAAGTCTAGAAGAGTTTGAAAGGTGCCTGTCTGATGGGGGTGCAGGTGGGTACTCAGGGGTCTGTATGGTCATCTCTCCTCTGCTCCACGTGGTCATCTCCTAGGTTGCAATCCCAGTAGTCACCAATTAGTCCCTCTGCCATTGCACACTTGCTAGTCATTATGTGTTGTGGTGCTGTCCTGAGGAGGTCATTTTTGAGACTCTTTCTACACAGGTTGAGACGAGTCCTCTGGAAGATGACTGCATCCTGTGACTTAAGCTAGAAAGGGTGAGGTTGTTCTTTGTGTCAGTCAGCGTACAAGTTTTTGTGTGGACTAGGTTTTCATTTATCTTGGGTATCTGCCCAGGAGTAGCAATCCTGGGTCACATGGCAACTCTATGTTAAACCTTTTGAGGAATTGCCAGAGTGTTTTCCAGAGCTGCTGCACCATTTTATATTCCCACCAGCAGCATATGAGGGTTCTGATTTCTTCATATTCTCACCAACACTTGTTATTGTCTGTCTGTATTATAGCCATCCTGGTGAGTGTGAACTGTTATCTCAGTGTGGCTTTGATTTGTATTTCCCTAATAAGATACTGAGTGTCTTTTCTGTGTTTATCGGCCATTTGTATATCTTCTTTGGAGAAATGTCTATTTCAGTTCTTTGCCCGTTTTTAAAATTGGGTTGTCTTTTTATTGTTGAGTTGCAAGTGATTTTTATATACTCATGCTATGAGTCATGTATCACAGGAGTCCCCAACCCCTAGGCCATGGACCAGTAGTGGTCCAGGAACCAGGCCGCACAGCAGGAGGTGAGTGGTGGGCAAGTGAGCAAGGCTTCATCTGTATTTACAGCCGCTCCCCACTGCTCAAATTACTGCCTAAGCTCTGCCTCCTGTCAAATCAGCAGTGGCATTAGATTCTCATAGGAGCACAAATCTTACTGTGAACTGCACATGCGACACTTTCCTTATAAGACTCTAATGCCTGATGATCTGTCACTGTCTCCCATCACCCCCAGATAGGACCATCTAGTTGCAGGAAAACAAGCTCAGGGCTCCCACTGATTCTACATTATGGTGAGTTGTATAATGATTTAATTGTATATTACAATGTAATAATAATAGAAATAAAGTATATAATAAATATAAAGTGCTTGAATCATGCTGAAACCATTCCCCCGTCACCCTGGTCCGTGGAAAAATTGTCTTCCATCAAACTGATCTCTGGTGCCAAAAAGTTTGGAGACTGCTGATGTATCAGATAGGTGATTTGAAAATATTTTTTCCCATTCTGTGGGTTGCCCTTTCACTTTCTTGATGGTTTGAAGCATAAAAACTTTAAATTTTAATGAAGTTCAATTTATTTTTAACTTGGTGGCTTGTGCTTTTGGCATTGTATTTGGTGGCTTGTGCTTTTGGCATTGTATTTGGCTTGTGCCTAATCCAAAGGTCACAAAGATTTGTTGCCATGTTTTCTTCTGAGAGTTTTATAGTTTTAGCCCTTACATTTAAGTCTTTAATGCATTTTGAGTTAATTTTTGTATATTATGAGGTAGTGGTCCAGCTTCATTTTTTTCCATGTAGATATCCATTTGTCCCAGCACCTTTGATTATAAGACTATTCTTTTCCTCATTGAATTGTTTTGGCACGGTTGTCAAAAATCAATTGACTGTCAATGTGAAAGTCAGTTTTGTTTCATTGATCAGTATGTCTGTCTTTATGCCAGTATCACGCTGTCTGTATTACTTTATCTTCTAGTAAGTTTTAAAATTTAGAAGTGTGATTATTCC
Organism: Homo sapiens; assembly: GCF_000001405.40. Lineage (NCBI taxonomy): Eukaryota > Metazoa > Chordata > Mammalia > Primates > Hominidae > Homo > Homo sapiens. The sequence continues at coordinate 49,883,697 of NC_000018.10, read as the reverse complement.
AGCTTTGTTCATCTTCTTCAAGATCGTTTGGGTATTCTGGATCCCTAGATATTATATATGAATTTAAGGAACAGCTCATGAATTTCTGCAGAGAAGCCATGCAGGATCTTCATAATGATTACATTGAATCTGTAGATGAATTTGAGGAGTGTTGCCATCTTAAAAAGTGTTTTGATCCATTATCTCAAGATGTCTTTCCATTTATTAAGATCTTTAATTTCTTTCAATAATGTTTTTTCATTTACCGAGTATGAATTTTATACTTCTCTTGTTAAATTTATTCCTAAATATTTTATGCCATTATAGTGGAATCGTTTTCTTAATTTATTTTTCAGATTGTTCATTGCAAATATATACAAATACAATTGAGTTTTGTATATTGAAATTGGACCCTGCAACCTGAACTCATTTATTCTAATAGTTTTTAAGTGAATTTCTTAGGATTTTCTGTATACAAGATTGTGTCATCTGCAGATAGCATTCATTCTGGATGCTTTTATCTTTCTTGCCTATTGCCCTGGCTAGAACCTTCAGTACAATGCTGAATAGAAGTGGCAAGAGCAGACACCCTTGTCTTCCTGATCTTAGGGGAAACGCATTCAGTCTTTCACCATAAAGTGTGGTATGAGCTATGGAATTTTTATCAGGTTGAGGATGTTCACTTCTATTTGTAGTTTGAGTGTTTTTATCATAACCACTTGCTAGTATTTAGTTGAGGATTTTTGAATCTATGTTCATAAGAGATACTGGGCTGTAGTTTGGTTTTTAGTGATTTCTTTGGTTTTGGTATCAGAGTAACACTGGCCTCATAGAATGGAATTGGGAAGTGTTCCTTCTAATTTTTGGAAGAATTTGTAAAGAGTAGATACTGTTTAAATTTTTGGTAAGCGGTGGAGTGGTTTTAAAGTGTGTATTTCCATTTCATGCCCAGTAAGAGTAATGTAGAACCATCTACATATATTGATCAACTGCTCTATGCAGTGACTTCTGCTTGGTACTTCACATGCGTCATCTCATTCAATGATGAGAAACTCTGTGAAGTGGGTTTCCTCTTTCTTTTTTTTTTTTTTTGAGATGATTTCTTGATCTGTTGCCAGGCTGGAGTGCTGTGGCACGATCTCAGCTCGCTGCAACCTCTGACTCCCTGGTTCAAGTGATTCACCTGCTTCGGCCTCCCAAGTAGCTGGGATTACAGGCACGCACCACCACGCCCAACTAATTTTTGTATTTTTAGTAGAGACGGGGTGTCAGCATGTTGGCCAGGATCATCTCGATCTCCTGACCTCGTTATCTGCCCACCTCAGTCTCTCAAAATGCTGGGATTGCAGGTGTGAGCCACGCACGGTACCTGGCCGGGTTTCCATTTTATAGAGGGGGAAACAGGTTTATAGAGCCCAGGATCTGTGTGGCTGTGAAACTTGTTGTCTTTGCCATATACCACACTTAGGATGTGATCACAAGAGATTATTCTGTGGGGAATGGTGACGGATCAGCCAGCCGTGGGGGAAGGGAGATCTCAGGTCTGGAAGCCTGAATTTTGAGGGGCCACTGGCATGTGTTCCTCATTCTCTCCCTGCCTGTTTTTTGCAATGCTCAGCTATGTCCTCATCCATGTCACAAAGGCAGGGATGTGATTTTAGTAGGGAAAATTACTTGACAGCCTCCTGCAGAATGAATCTGTAGGGGATCCAAGCGCAAAGGTGAATCAATTGCAATTTAGCCCCCATGTTATAAAAGACCCTTTCCCATCCTCCTCTATACCAACTAATGATTTCAAATTCTCTTAGAACACAGCTGAATTGTTACTTTTTAAAAACCCATACAAATAGTTGCTCTAATAATAAATAGCAAAAACATTTTTTAAGAACTTTCTTCGCACTTTTTTTTTTTTTTTTTTGAGACGGAGTCTCACTGTCTCCCAGGCTGGAGTACAGTGGCGCGATCTCGGCTCACTGCAAGCTCTTCTTCCTGGAGTTCACGCCATTCTCCTGCCTCAGCCTCCCGAGTAGCTGGGACTACAGGCACCCAACACCATGCCTGGCTAATTTTTTGTATTTTTAGTAGAGATGGGATTTCACCGTGTTAGCCAGGATGGTCTCGATCACTTGACCTCATGATCTGCCTGCCTCAGCCTCCCAAAGTGCTGGGATTACAGGTGTGAGCCACTGCGCCTGGCCTCTTCACACTTTTAATTCTTACTCCTCTTTGAGTAGACTACAATTTTTGTTTAATTAGTATTTTTTCTTTTATACCTTTTTTTTCTGGTAATAGTCACCTTATTTTGGTTTTGTCAACATCATCAGAAGTCCAGCACTAGATTAGACAGTTGAGTGTCAATAGCAAGTTATCTCTTTTCCAGAATTTGAACTGTGCTGGTCCAATAAGACAGGTAAAGCAAGTGGGTTGAAGACCAGAGATCATTTGTTCATTGTGAGATTTTGGCCTTCCTAAGACCAGGTTTGAGAGCCCAAAATTTAGCAAGACAGGCAAACAAATACAAAAACATGAAAGCTGATGTGGACCCAATCCCTGTTGGACTGAACAAAAGGGGATGAATGTGGGAATAAAGACAAAGACAAAAGAGTATATTTGGAAGAAGGGGTTGGGGGCTCCTTGCTTCCAGTAAACAAGGGCCCTGAGCTTTTAGCTCCCTTCGTATTTATTGAGTAAAAGAGATAGGGAGAAGGGTGTGGTTGTCAGTCAGCAACTTGACTCGGTGCAGGCTTGCACAGCTGCATTCTCTGAACAGTAGTCTCCAGATGTGCCAGTAGATAACCTTAAGGAGCATGGTGCCAGGGAGTGATTGCACTCAGCAAACCTTCTGGTGGCAGGTGCAGATGTGAGTTTGCCCACATCCTGCATTCATGATAAACAGTTTGCTATTGGATCATGTAGCCTCAGTGGAATGCTGACTTGGTCACGATCCACAGGCCTTCAGCTCTCTACAGAAAGCCTGTTATCTTTGCAAGTTCCTCAACAAGGCATGTGAGCTTGTGATAGACTTTTCATGATGTGTTTGTGGACATTAGATGACCATAAATAGTGCTGAGCTCATCTGTCTTGTTTTAATGGGATTTTTCTTTCAGTACACAATTTTTCCTTGAAAACAAAAGAAGCTTTAACCAAATCAATTTTCTTAAAAAGAGCATTTACATGTATCCAGTTAAAATTCAAATCCCACAAGAGGAGCCTCTCCTCTTCCCAGCATCATGAGACATTTTTCCCCTATTGCTCTCTTCCAGCGAGTTGCAGACCTGGAGCAAGAAAATGCTCTCTTGAAAGATGAGAAAGAACAGCTCAACAACCAAATCCTGTGCCAGTCTAAAGGTAAGTACCAAAGCACTTGAGTTTTATTTGGGGTTTTAATCTCTTTTCCTCACTGACTTCTCCCAAAGACTCCTAGCAAGCATGCAGTTAGACTAGAGGCTACAGTGGGGAAAGGATTTTAATAGAAGAAGATGAAGAATAATGACCTTTAAGATCCCACTAGGACATTTGGCCTCAAGAGTGTAAAGAGGTGAGACACGTATAATGGGCAACATTGTACATGAGACTTGGAGTCAGGGAGGCCCGCACTTGAAGCATGATTCTGCCGTGTGCTTCTGTATGGCCTTGAATAGGCTTTCAGTTTGTTCATCTACTACATGGACATAAAGGTCCAGACATCGGGGGGCTCATGGGAGGAATGAGGAAGAGGCTGCACGTGAAGTGCTTAGGAGGGTGCATGACACTCAGCGAGCGCTCAGGAGCTGTCGTCATTGCTGGGTTTCACATTTGTCTTTCATGTCCATCCACGCATCATGGTTTCTTCTACCCAGTGGGTCATCTGTTAATGTTTACTGAAGAAACAGTCTTGAATCAGATCCCAGGTCAGCCTCTCTCAAGTGCCCACCAGCTCCTGGGCTGCCATCAGTCCCCATGTGCCACTCGGCTGTGGAGGAGCAGGGAGAGTCCACAGACCCCAGTTTCTGCTTCAACTCACTGTGATTTTGAGCAAATCCCCTTCTCCCATACTCAGGTTCCTCATTCATGTCACAAGAGGATGGAACCACATGACCTCACAGTCCCACCCAATATCACATCTTTTTGAAAATGTGAACTGTTTTCAAATGTCCTTTTAAAACACTTTTCTGTCCGTTAATGTGAATAAGTTTTGGCAGGGAAGTAGCCCATCCTTCTCTATTTGCCTTCTTTCCTTTTACCCCAGTCGCCTTTAATCTCCCTGCACTCCTAAGAACTGAAAGATCAGGACTAGGAAAGGAGTGTGGAATAAGCCTTCATTCTTCCAGGAATGCTGCCAGCAGTTGCTGTGACAGTTGGCAGAAGAGAGGCTGGGGCATCAACTGAGGGAATTCTCACCTACGCTGCCAACTTCTCTCTCCCCATTCCCTGAGAGCAGGGTCTTTCTCTCCCTCTCTGAAGACTAAGCCAGAGTAATGAGACTCACCTTTGCTCTGCAGTAGGTGAGGAGCGTAATAGATTCATCAAGAGCCTCTGATGAGCTCGTCATGGGCAGCCTCTTAACAAGAGATTAATCGGAAAACATGAGTCAATACATGTGAGGGAATCCATCCAGAAAAACTGCAGCTTAGCGTGTTGCTTTCCAGATGAATTTGCCCAGAACTCTGTGAAGGAAAATCTCATGAAGAAAGAACTGGAGGAGGAGCGATCCCGGTACCAGAACCTTGTGAAGGAATATTCACAGTTGGAGCAGAGATACGACAACCTTCGGGATGAAATGACCATCATAAAGGCAAGGGGGGTGCTTCTGCTGTGCCATGGCACAGGTCCCTGGCTCCTGTCCAGCTTCTGACCACGTGATCTCAGGCACTGCTTTCTGATATGTGATGCTCAGTCCATGTGTCATATGTGCAGCACTTGCCATTACTGCAGAGAGGCAAAGGTAGCTGGACTGGGTGATTCATTCCTACTGACAGCTCCTTTTCCAACTTTGGGGTCATGAAGATCTCAGTTATGAGTTTAAGGAACATTCTACCCAAGTGTGTTATCTTTCCTGTTTCCTGTTACGGGAACATTCCTGTGTTGAGTCAGTAATGGGGTGTGGGAGTTCTCAGCTTCATTAGTGTGTGTGTGGCAGAGAGACCCACAAGGGCCTGATTGTGTCTCCTAATCTGATGAGATGCAGTATACATAGAGACAATTTTATGATATTTTAGGATCTGTCATTCTTTTTTACCCCATGTAAACATTTCCTCCAGAAATGAGTATTCAAACAAGATGGAGTAAGTTAATTGCATAGAAGCCAGGAAAGAAAAGCTGAATAGGAACATCCAGAGAAGTCTAAAATTGTCCTACCAAGCTCAATTTTCACACTGACAGCCAAATCAGATGCAGGAAAAAAAAAAGTATTTTTAAATGAACAGTATAAATGGTAAACTATTTTTAATATGCTACTATTTTCATAAAATTTGAGGAGTGCAGGTTGAAGGGAGGGGCCATTCTGGGCAGGTGTGGAACATTCCTTTCAAGGGAGAAGTGGGTAATGTGACTGCCTTTGTGCATTTCAAGAGCAAGACTGGGAGGGAAAGGTTTTTCCAGGACTTCTCGGAGAAATTGACCCAAGTGTTAGGAATTTGCGTTTCATTAAGAGATGAAAAGTGGATGACTACAGTAAGAACTGTAGGTGAAATGTTTCATAGGGCTAGCTTTATTTAGCCATCATTCCAAGAAGCAATGATACCTATTCTTGTTGACAAATTAGGCAGAAGGATAACTCTAGGGCCTGCCACCATGGGAGGTAAATTCTCATGAACATTAGTTCCTAATGAGCTATCACGTTTTTCTTGTTGAACAGCAAACTCCAGGTCATAGGCGGAACCCATCAAACCAAAGTAGCTTAGAATCTGACTCCAATTACCCCTCCATCTCCACATCTGAGATCGGAGACACTGAGGATGCCCTCCAGCAGGTGGAGGTGAGTGATGCAGGCTCTTGGGTACTGTCCTCCTCCAGAGGGAGTGTGTGTTTTTTTCTGTGTGGAACTGTCCAAGAGAAATTTACTCTTCTGCTGATGGTGACCAGAGTGCCCAGGGGCTAATTCTCAAGAGCAGGATCACTTGGACTACAGTGGATTTAGAGACAGTTCTCTGGAGTTAACACTTACTGTGTAAAGCAATACATTATTGTTCACCTTACACCCTATCCAGAAAGGAAAGAAGAAGGTGGATCTCTGATTCCTCTTGAAAAACCAAGAAGCTGATGCAGAGAGGTGAAATAGGTGGTTTAGGAAGGAACAGCTAAGTCATTAAAATAGATACAACTTATCCCCACTTAATATCATAGTGCATATAGTAATATCAATAAACAAACAAGAAAATTGCCCCCTCACTTAGAAGCTGGATAAAACTCAGAACAACAAAAAATATTTGGAATGAAAGTATGCTGGGTGACTGTATCTTTGTTGGTAATAGCCTCTTAGTCAGTCACTAAATATACCACACAGTGGACTGTGTGGTCTTTGTATAATTTTGTCAAAGGTACAAAAGATACAATTTTTCCTCTGGCATTTGAAAAGAAAATCACAGGCACATGCGCGCGTGTGTGTGCGCGCACGTACACACAGAACCTTGTAAAGTATGTGGAAATAACATGGAGGAGAGACAGAATAAAAACAAATGGGTTTGGAGCAGTTCTTTGTGCAGGATCTGCTGGTCAGTGCTAGAGAAACAGTGGTGACTGAGCCGGAGAAGTCCTTGCCCTCATCTGACAGAGAGCTAGTCAGTGAGCAGTTAGGGAAGAAACATGTGATATGATTGCAGGTCCTGCTAAGTGCTATAAAGAAAAATAAGAGACCATCAGCAATAGAGAATGCTGGAGCAGAGGGTGGAGGGAGAGAAGGAGGTCCCCAGAACTGAAGGTCTCCTCTCTGTTGTGCGGTTCTGCGTGGCTTGCTGCCTGCCAGACGCACTTAGTAAGCCTTGCATAACTGCTGGCTTGAGATGCTTGGCTTTGCATTGCGGTCTTTTAAGTCTAGGCCCTTGGAGGTTTCAGTCAGCCTCAACTCCAGGCTTATCACCCTGGTGTTTGTATGTGTGACTATCTACATGTAGACATAAGCATTGTCATCACTGGTTTTATGTTCTTTAAGGAAGCCAAGACTGGTCCAGTGCTGGTTAAACATGAAGCCTTGGTGGAACCAGTGCTTATTAAATCCTGGTGGAACCAAATTATATTGTCTCACATGTACATACATGTGCTTAAAAATCCACATGGATGTGCTCATACACATTACCCATTCACAGGCAGATAGACGTGTTTGTACACCCCTATCCCCACGCATTGGAGTCCTGGAGGGCAAACTCAGGCATGAATCCAAAAGGAACAAAATCTGGGAAATAGATGCTTTAAGATCTGTTGGATAAATAGGTTCCGGGGCAGAGCAAGCATTGATTCCATTTCAAGATGCAATCAAGTGATGGCTGACAGCACATTGCAGTGATTGGTAACCATGTTGATTCCTCATCAGGAAGTGCTATGTCCCAAGTTCTATAGTTTCTCTGGTGTGAGACCATTTTCCAGAAGTGAGCTCTTTTAACTTCCAAAGAAAGTGCCTGTGTTTTTATCCATTTGTTCTTGGAATATATGGTTGGTCATTTTAAGTGGCTCACACAGGAGGAATATAAATGGCTGAGACTCAGATGTTATCTGGACAGAAAATGAGCCTGGAGCACCAACTGTGATATGAGAAATGTTAGTTGGTTGTCATTGGCTTTGTATTTGAGATGCAAATTGATGTTTGGGAGGAGAGAGGAGACAGATGGCTGATATAGAGGGAGGCAGTGAAGTGCTGTGTGTTCCCTAAGGCATGTATTTAGGAAAACCTTTTTTCTGTGCCTGTCTTCCTTTGAAGGAAATTGGCCTGGAGAAGGCAGCCATGGACATGACGGTCTTCCTGAAGCTGCAGAAGAGAGTACGGGAGCTGGAGCAGGAGAGGAAAAAGCTGCAAGTGCAGCTGGAGAAGAGAGAACAGCAGGACAGCAAGAAAGTCCAGGTACGTGAAGGGGCTGCAGTGCTCTTATGGTGCTTGGATGAGAGAACAATCTAGCTCTTGTGTCCAGGGCTCATGTGGCATGTGTGACCACATGGGATTGTGCTCCTGCTAAGTCTCAGAGGGCTCCTACTTAGTGCATTGGAGTCATGCTGAGTCTTCTCTGAGTGCCCCTACACCGCCCAGCTGAACAGGAGTAAGCTCCCTCATGCCCCGGGTTTCTGTTGGTGAAGCTAGGGGGAAGTCTGTGGCATCATCACCTACTTGCAAAGAGGGGAGCTCCCTGCCAGGAGGACCAGGGTGTGTAATAAGAGTGTAAATACAGCAGAAGTCAAATGTACACAGAGATGACCTATCGCCCTTTCATACCTGGGATCTTGCATGGGCTTGGGTTCAGCCTTTTTGGGTCAGAGGCAGACCAAGTGTGTGTCACTCACTTTCCTCTCTCATGGCTGCACCCTTGCCTCAGTCCAGATTATCAGCAGCCTCTTGGGTCTAGAAAGGATATTGTTTGAAATCTTAGTAGCCCCAAAAGTAATCATTCCATCTCAAGGAACTACTGGGCACCCATGCTGCATTCAGAACTATGCCAGTGCCAGGCACGTAGTAGGTACACAAAATGTTCATTAAAGGACAGCAGATAACAATATAAGAGAAATTCCCAGCCATTGAGGAATTTAAATGTTATGAGGAATTTAGATGTTACGTCTGGGAGAACCAGACATAACACAGGTGAAAAGTAAAAAATAACATTGGTAGCACTTAAATAAATGCAAGTTGAGTGCAAACAGGTTGGTGCCATAGGAGTAGAGAATCCATTGACTATAGCAGTGCTAAGGAGGAAAGAACCATTTATTTCTTTGGAGATAGAAGGACCACTTCTAAAGGGTACAAGGCCAATTCTGCCATGGGTTATATCATCAGCTGAACTCATAGTGGGTTTGAAAAAGGCCTTTGGTATGTTCTCAGGCCTGAATTATTAATTGTGGAGTTTGACACCTACCCCATGTTCTCAATCCCTACCCCTTCCCTCACTTCTGTGTCCAGTCATTTTTTGCAACACCTGTATTCCCTTTGCAATCAATTGTGATACAGATTCTGATCTATATTGCTGGCAAATTCTTGTTTTTTTTCCCCCTGAGCAGTAAGTGGGGAGGTAAATCTTGCCGATGGGTTTAAATCTCTCAGGTGGACTTGATTCAGAATGGAAAGTGAAAAGATTAGGTTTCTAAATGACTCATTGAATTAGAAGGAAAGCTGCCCTGACAGGCAAGTGCAAATCAAATCTATGAAAAGCTACACAGATGACATCAGACGGTGCCTGATGTACAAGTTCTTGGCCTATCCAGCTGTACCTAAAGATTCATTCTCCAGGCTCCCCATTGCAGACATGCCAGCTAATTTTGGAATCTTGGCTTTAGAACTTCTCTGGATACCAAATAAAAAAGGGTATCTTTTTCCTCCAAAATAACCACTGAACAATAGTTAGAACTCTAGGCCTGGGCCATAGCTCTGTCATGTATATTAAGGATCTCTCTTTAGGGAGAATGGCCTTGTTTCTGACAGTTTAAGGAAGGAAAGGCAGGTGTGGGTTGGGAGAGGGTATGGGATCCCTCTACAGCACCCTGAAATGGAGCTTTTGGAGGTCAAGTTCTTGGATTCGCTTTTGGTCCAAAGAGGGATCCTGAACTACCTGGGTCTTCATTCTGGAGAGAGATGGCTCAGGTCTCAACTGCAGAGAGAGGCCATGCACTGAGTGAGGAATGGCAGGGAAGCCCATGGGATGTACCATCAGTATGGAAGTGACTGAGGCGCTGTGAGGGTGGGGCCTCTATGACAGTCTACAGTCAGTGCATTTGACCTCCCACCCAGCCACCTCCCTTTCTCAAGCCTGGCAAAGTCACCTTGGCCAATAGGGTGATTCCTATGGGCTTCCCACTTACGAACGTGACTGCCAGCCCATCTTAATAGAGCCCCTTGAGTCTGAGTAGGTGACCTCCACTTTCTGAGAATGTAATGTACTCAATATCATCCACGGACACATGGCAAATCCATGCTACATAGAACACAAGTACAGAACTCTCACCGGAGCAGCAGGTTGAATGCAGACCCTGGACAGCCACAGCCTCCTATACCACTGGTGGTGGTGGAGGCAAAACAGACACTGGTACCTTGGAGGGGTTTTAAGCCCAGATTGCAGGGCTGGAAACAGTGCGGTAACTGTAGGCATCCTTCAGCTGGGAGGAGTACAGGAGATGCTCAGATCCTGTTCCTGTCTCCAAGCCTGGGGCACGCTAGTGCATCCACAGTGGGAGGACTTAACACTGCTAGCTAGCACGTAGGTAATCTCATTAAGTGATCTGTCCATTTTTACCTCCAAAAATCCATCTTAATCAGGGACTAACACCCACTACTTGAAATTACTCCAAGTAGTTAACCATTTATGAAGCTGTTTCTACCCCTTCTCATTGGCCATTTAAGTCAAATAGCAGCTAAATAACTGAGGAATTATTTGCTCAGCTGAATCCTAGTGAGTTGTTATTCCAGAAATTGCCATAGACAAGCACTAGCTTTGGAGTTCTGATGTCAGACAGCATTACAGAGTGTTGTGGGCCATCTCTACTACCTGCGGTAGTGTCATGGAGGAAGCAGCTCTCTGCAAGGTGCTTAGAGTTTAGTTGGGAAACAACACACTGGGGAGCTTTCCTCCCTCATAAATTGGAACGTAACTTGTTAGCCTTGTTACTAGAGACGTAGTTTTACAGTGTGTGTTAGCTTCCTAGGGCTGCTGAAACAAAACACCACAAACTGGATGACAAAACAACAAAAATTCATTCTCTCAGAGTTCTGGAGGCCAGAAGTCAGAAATCAAGGTGTTGACAGCCCGTCTTCTCTTGAAGGCTTTAAGGGAGAATTTGCTTCATGCCTTTCTCTCAACTTCCCATGTTTTTGGCCATCGTGGTGTTCCCTGCCTGGCAGCTGCGTGACTTTAGCTTCTGCCTCCATCTTCACATGGTCATCTTCCCTGTGTCGTCTTCCGACTGGATTAGTGTCCACCCAAATGACCCCAGCTTAACTTGATTACATCTGCAAAGACCCTATTTGCAAATAAGGTCACATTCACAGTTTCTAGGGGTGAGGACTTCAGAATATCATTTGGGGGGGCAAAATTCAAGCCATAACACAGTGCTATACATATTCAACCTATAAGTGCCTGTGGGGACCATGTGAGTGAAAGTGGGGGTGGGGACAGGAGGGAGGTGTTGATGGAACACTTCATGGTAGGCTGGAGTGTTGAGCTGCACTTTGAAGGTGGGAAGGAAGTGGACTTGTGGAGGGTGGGGGTGTTGGGTATTCACGCACAGGCAGGATGAGCAAGTTTGACCACAGTTGGAAACACCTCTGTGGAATATCTTGCTCGAGGTCTGCACTTATCTTTGTGTCTCTATCCATGCAGGCGGAACCACCACAGACTGACATAGATTTGGACCCGAATGCAGATCTGGCCTACAATAGTCTGAAGGTAAGATTCTTGGGGGACAGGCTTCCTGGAACACTCCCCTGGCAGAGGGCAGATGACAAATCTGGGCATCAGGAAATCAGGCCCTGAGCCCCAGTCTGCTAACAAGGAGAGCAGTAAGCAGGTAGCTTCCCTTTTCCATGCTGTAGTTTCTTAACCTTTGGAATGAAGAAAAATTTGTATCTACTACAGGAATGATAATAAATACATAACCTACCCAATATAATTTCAGTTAAAATATGGCCACTAAAAATCACTTAGGAAAAAAATCAAGGCTTGCATGGGTAGACATAGGGCAGAGGGATCTGCCAGTGTGTCCTCTGCTGGCATGCAGGGAGACAGGGCGGTAGAACAGTGGGAGGTGAGTGGGTCCCATGGCAGGGAGGAATGCACAGAAAAGGGGCTTCCGAACAGGCCCACCCCATTCCCATCCTCAAAGACGTGGTAATGTGGGAATTTAGCCTATCTGCCAGTCACTTACAGGACTACAAATAACTCTGGCTGGTTGGTCTGAAGGTAGTGAGTTATTTCAATGGACTGTTCACAGTCTGTTACAGATCGAACTCCTTGTTCTATTCCTTCCCCTGTCTTACTGCTGCACTTGACTTGTCAAAAAATAAATAACTTGTCAAAAAATAAATAACTCTGGTAACAGCTACATTGCCCAGGAGAACAGTCTTGAATCATTCCCATGGCTTATTTCTAATTTTTTAAAGTGTGGTAAAATACACAAAAAATTTACCATCATAATTAACCCTTTTTAAGTGTATAGTTCAATGGTATTAAATACACTCATAATGTTATGCTAGCATCTCACCAGCACTTATCTCCATAACTCTTTTCATCTTTTAAAACTGAAGCCCGTACCCATTAACAACTTCCCAGTTCCTCCTCCCCCAACCTCTGGCAACCACAATTGTACTTTCTGTCTTTCTGCATTAGACAATTCTAGGTTCCTCATGTAAGTAGAATCGTATAGTATTTGTTTTTTGTAATTGGCTTATTTCACTTAACATTTGTGTCCTGATGGTTGATCTCTATTGTAGTATGTGTCCATCTTCTTTTAAAACTGTGTCCCATTGTGTGTATAGGGATCACACTTTGCTTATCCATTTGTTAGACATCTAGGTTGCTTCTCTGTTTTGGCTATTGTGAATAATGCTGTACTGAACATGGATATACAAGTATCTCTTTGAGACCCTGCTTTCAGTTCTTTTAGGTATATACCCCAAAGTGGAGTTGCTGAATCATGTGGCCATCCTATTATTAATTTTTGGAGGAACTGCTATACTGTTTTCCATAGCAGCTGCACCATTTTACATTCCCACCAGCAGTGCACAAGGATTCCAGTTTCTCCACATCCTTGCCAACACGTAGTATTTTCTTTTCTTTTATTTATTTATTTATTTTTTTGATAGTAGCTATTCTGATAGGTGTAAGGTGATATCTCATTGTAGTTTTGACTTGCATTTTCCTGATAGTAATACTGAGCATCTTCTCATGTGTTGATTGGCCATTTCTATGTAGTCTTTGAAGAATGTCTTTTCAGTCTTCTGACCATTTCTGAATTATGCTGTTTGGGGTTTTGTGTTGAGTTTTAGGAGTTCTCTACATATTCTAGATATTAATCCCTTATCAGATACATGATTGGCAAATAGTTTCTCCCATTCTGTGGGTCATCTTTTTATTCTGATAGTGTCTTTTGGTGTACAAAATGTTTAAATTTTCATGAAGTCCAATTTGTCTATATTGTTGCCTGTGCCTTTGGTGTCATGTTTAAGAAATCATCAAATCTGATGTCATAAGGCTTTTGCCCTATGTTTTCTTCTGAGAGTTTTACAATTTTAGGTCTTACATTTAGGCCTTTGATCCACTTTGAGTTAATCTTTGTTGAAGATGTGAGGTAAGGGCCCAACTTAATTCTTTTGCTGTGGATGTCCGGTTTCCCAGCACCATTTGACTTTTTAAACAACCAGGGCCACACAGATGGCATAGGAGGGTGTGTCATAGAGATCTCCTTCTGGAGTTATTGATTAGACTTACTTTCCTCATGTGATATTCTAAAGATTCAAAACCCTCCAAGGAGCCTGGGAGTCTTTCAGTGGGATAAATGCCTGCAGCAAGGGGACTTCTGCATGCTAACCTTCACCCGCCTTTCCCAAGGGAGGCTTAGTGCCTGGGGATGAAAATGAGCATGTGAACTATTATAGGTAGCACTTTCGGGGCATCAATCCTACCCACCCTTTTAGAAGTAATGAGAGGGGCCCAGTAGCTCCCCAGCAGTAGATGTGGGACTGATGGCATCAGCATCACTGAGCTTGCTGGAAATGTAGATTCTCAGGTACCCCACCCCCGAGACCTGCTGAATCAGAAGGCTGGGATAGGGCCCACCCATCTGTCTTTTAACAAGCCCTGCAAGGGATTCTGTTGCCCACTCAAGTCTGAGAACCACTGTACTACCCTACGCATGAAACTGCCTCCCGGACTCCTGCATTAAAATCAGCGCAAAAACTCCTCCTCTCATTTAGCTGTCCTTGAGGAAGATGCCCCTTCTTGATTTTACAGGCCTCGTCTCCACTGCCAAGCATGGGGCCTGGCACAGAGAGGGCGCAATAAACATTTGTCTTAAACTGCCATAAGTCTAAATAGCTGCTCCACTCTGCTGCTGTTGACTTAGGCCAGGATTCTGAGGATGTGAGACCTGGTTTTCCCAGCATTGTCTCTGATGAAATGATTTTACTTGTGGGCCTTGTCACAGAGGCTGGTCCCGGGGACCCCTGGGGTTAAAATTACCCATGTAAGGAAGCACTCATGTTGAAGAGGCTGGCTTGGGTGCTTCTCAACCAGGCCCAGCCCAGACATTCAGGGGACTTTATTACCACTTACTAGTATTTTTTATAATAATGGAAATTGGGCTTTTAGGCAGAACACGGTCAGCTTATATTTAGTGAGCTCCCGCTGTGCACATCCCTCCTGAATGCTCTGAAGTGTGCAAAGGGATGGGAAGTGTACTGTGCCCTCCAAAATTATAGACTCTACCTGAGCAGGTAAGTCAAAGCACTAAGATGATGAGTCGATACACCTGGCCACTCAGCTGCCTCTTGCAACCTGATCCTTAGCCAGTTGGATTTGAAAAAGCTGCCCACAGGTACATGCACAAGATGAGGCTACTCTAGGAAGACACCTTGACAAGTAGTGATTTTTTGCTTAAACCCTTTTACCAGAATTTTAGAAATTTCTGCTGATCCTTCTGGAATGCAAAAATTAACTGCAGCTCTCGGCAGAAGCACATTGACTACGTACCCTGCACAAGGCTTAGGTGCCCCCATTTGGGGTAAGGTCATGTAGAAGGGTTCTCAGGGCCAGTCACTCCTGCAGAGCATTGTCTCCGGAGGCCTGAGTAGGGTGGATGGAAGATGGGTCTCCCTGCAGTGACTGTTAGCCCCGGCCAGTGTGCAAAAGCAGAGGAGAATGAGTGGTAGGGATGGTGAGGGCAGGAAGGGTGGCTCTAGGGGAAGCTCACCATTCCCTGGTGCCTGAGACAGGCCTGGTAGCCAAAAGGAGCCATGACTGTGCTGACCTGGAAGCTGGCTGGGCAGACAGACCCTGCTTACGGCCAGCAGCAGTGTTGGTTTTTCTTTATCGACCTGCTATCAGCCAGAGCTGGATTCAAATCAGGAGATGGTACCCACTGACTCAGAGTTTGTGCAAGAATGATAGAGAACTAAGAGTCCAGCTTGGCACTTAAACACTTTTCACCTCAACTGACTATCCAGCCATTGGCTTATCCAATGTTGAACGTGCATCAGAAAAGACTCAGTTGAGAAGATCCTTCGAGTGTTTTTTTTTCTCCTTAATGTGTCCTTTTTATAGACATTTTTCATTTTATTTGTAAATTTATTAAAGTAATTCTGTTCATCTTAGAAAAATTTTAAAATACAAGAAAATCTAGAGAATTTTTAAAAAATCCATATTCCTGCCACTTAAAGGCAGTCTCTGATATTATTTGGATATTTATTTCTAATGCTTTTTATATGCATATTTATATAGTTGTTATATATATAATTTTTCTGCTTTTTTTCTCACTATAACGAGCATTTTTCTACATGTCTTTGTAAACATGATTTCCATGGTTGATTAAAATTTTATGACATGATTATCACAATTATCCATTCTCTAACTGATGAATATACTCTCATGTTTTACTTTTATAAATAATCCTGTGATGAAACTAGGCTTTTTCTGAGAGAGAACTGGACTGTCCATTTTATTAAAATTCCTCATAATTTTAAAACAAGCTGTATCCATTACTGTTTACTGTGGCTAGATTTGTGAGAGCCATTTTCACAACTTTAGCTTGTTTTATGGAACACGGATCAGTTTTACTGGCTTAAAATCTTACAGAGTTATAGAATGGTGGTATAGTGTTGACTATATATAGAATTTCAATGAACCCTTATTCAAAATTGTGCCGCCTCCAGTGGTAACGCTCATCCCGTGTGAAATATCTACTTTGTAGTGGTCATCCTCATAGAGTGCTTTCCAGGGATGGACTGACGTTTAAGAAATAGACACCCAAACTCTCTACAGAAAGGTTTCCTGCCCAGTCCAATGTCCAGCTAACCTAGGGCTACCCAGGGACAGGAAATCGGAAGCATGCGGTGTGCAGGGCCCAGCCTCAGCACACTCTCCCGGGGCGGTTTCACCCCCACCCACCCACACATCCTCCCAAGACTTCAGTCCTCACCAACATACTGATCCATCTCTAGCCCATAATTCCAACTGCTCACTGCGCCGTGGGGACTACAGCTGCACACATCTGAACCCTGAAACCCCATCTTGTCTCAATAGATGACACACGTCACCCAAGCATCTAGACTTTCTTCCCACTCACTTCCCACATCCAAGCAGTCTCCAGGTCTTGACAGTTCCACCTCCTAAATCTCTGTATCTCATTCACATCTCCCTCTGCTCCCTGCCATGGGCCATGCCACGTTATACTCCAGCCAGGTGGCCCATCTCCCCATGCAAACCAGGGAAACCCTTCTGAAGCTCTGCGATGACCAGCTCACTGCTTTTTCCTGGATCCAGCTTCCTTCCCTGGATTTTGGAATCTCTTGACCCCCACCAGCTCTGCTCTGTCTTCTGCATGACAGCATTTCCCCGGCAAGTCCTGCTTGTTCTTCTCTGAGGCCTTTGTACCTGGAGGCCTCTTGTCTGCCTTTTTCACATAGCTAGCTGCTCCTGTCCTTTAGCTGTCAGACCTGTTCCCTCCCCTTACCCTCTGGCCCTACCCCTCTGAGTCAGTGGATGGCATTCTTCTGTGTTCCCCAGTCACTCTGGATTCACTCATGTCATAGTGTGTTCCAGGCTGCAGTGCCATGATCTGTACTTTAGTGTAATTGATAGGTTCTAAGCAGGTGTTGTGCCTGCAGCACCTAGCACAGTGCCTGGCCTGAAGAAGGCAGATGATGAAGATTGGTGGGAGGCAGGGCCGGGGAATGGGACTCCCTTATTCTCCAACTGGAATGGCATAGCATTTGGGTGCACAAAAATATGTCTTTCACACAAATTCGTCTGTTTCCATTTATATGAGGTACCTAGAAGGTTCAAACTCAGAGACAGAAAGTAGAATGATGGTTGCAGCAGATGAGGAGCGGGGATGGGGAGTTAGTGTTTCATAGGGACAGAGTTTCAGCTGGAAAAGGTGAAAAAGTTCTCGAGATGGATGGTGGGGATGGTTGCACAACATAAATGGACTTAATGTCACTGAACTGTGCACGTAAAAATAGGTAAGATGAGGTCGGGCGTGGCGGCTCATGCCTGTAATCCCAGCACTTTGGGAGGCCGAGGTGGGCGGATCACGAGGTCAGGAGATCGAGACCATCCTGACTAACATGGTGAAACCCCATCTCTACTAGAAAAAAAAAAAAATTAGCCAGGCGTGGTGGTGGGCGCCTGTAGTCCCAGCTACTCGGGAGGCTGAAGCAGGAGAATGGCGTGAACCTGGGAGGCGGAGCTTGCAGTGAGCCGAGATCACGCCAATGCACTCCAGCCTGGGCGACAGAGCGAAACTACATCTCAAAAAATAAAAATAGGTTAGATGGCTAATTTTGTGTTTTATATTTTTTACCACAATAAAGCATGCATATTCTTTTGGCACTGTTGACCAGAAAGGATGATGAGGGAATGGTAGTGAACCTGTGGGGGAGGAGAGGGGAGTGGAGAGGAGAGGTTATGTGTGGGGGACCAGTGAGGTATGGTTAGGGGAGATGGTGTCCAGGAATGGTTAGAGAATGGGATAAATAGAAATGTCACAGATGTGCCCTGGGTAGAAATCCTTGAAAAACAGCCAGAGCTTTCAACCAACCTGGCTCTGTCTTGAGGCACAATCTCACAGCTGAGTAGGGCCTGGCGTGGCTGTCAGCACAGGCACACAGCCAACAGCTGTCACCGAGCTCAGTTCTGGCCTGTCACAGCTGGAGGAAACCTTAGCCACCAGCTGTTCTCACTCCCTTAAGCCACACCTGAGGAGGCTAAGGTTCCAGGACTGTGCAGTGTGCACCTTGAGCCAGGAGGGGACCCAGGGCTGCCTCCACACCCAGTGCTCCTCTAGCATGTGACACTGGCTCTCCTGAGGATGGCCTTGGCTGCCAGAAGATCACCCAGGCACTGAGGGGATCCTTAACTCCTGAACTTAGTAAATAGACTCACCATAGGCTTGGTGACTCATCAATGATCATTATTAATCACCTTATTTTGGGGCCCTCATCATGTCTGCAGAGTTACTATCTCTATGCATGGTTCTAAATCTTCTGGAAATCACCACATATATGGTGGAGTCACAGGGGCGCCCTGGACCAGGAGTCAGGAGCCCTGGCCCTCTGTCCTGGGTCAGTCTCTAAACTTGCTGTGAGCCTTCCCCTCCCTGGGCTCAGCTTCCTCACTCAGCAAATCAAGAGATTCATTCTCCCCAGCGGTCCCCTGGTTCCATCATGCTATGGCTCTGTAACAAACATGCAACCAATGCATACTCATCCACATCTTTGGGTTTCCTTTGGGAAATTTTGAATCTCATGTATCCCAGGGTCCTGCCGGCAGTTTGTGTGTGATCATCAGACTTCATCTCAAACACAAAGTTAAATGTACTATCCAGAAAATATGAAGTATGTTCCAAAGTTGAGTTCCTATAGCACATTCAATTCTGTATGTAGGTATTTTTCCTCTGCTGACAGGGACAGTTGGTGGCTTTCTATATGACCAAAACAACAAAACTGTGTCCCTGGTGTATCTTCCAAGTCTAATTAGTCCGGGACAAAAATGATGCTTCCTGAAAAATAGGGAGCAACGGGTTCTCTGGGCAAATAAGTTTAGGAAATCCTGCATTCTTGTATCTTTTCTTGGAAAGTCACAAAGCGTGTGAACATATTTAGATTGTAGGAATTCTTATGTTTACTATATGTCATTTAAAATTGTGAGCCCAGCATTTCCACAAGGAGGAGTTTCACAGCCAAACATGTTTAGCAACACGAACACTGTTGAATCACTTTGGAGACTGCCGCTCTGGAGGCATTGTGCAGGTGCTTCACACTTGTGACTTGAAGTCATGAGTTCACATCCAGGCCCCAGCTTTGACTGCTTGCTGATGGCAGTCAGAACTTTCCATGTGTGTCAACGTTTAAAGAGCGAAGTTTCCCAGTGGACAAAAGAAGGGGAGGAGGGGAGGCCCACACAGGGAGAGAGCCCTAGGGCAGGGAGTAATGGCAGCGGCCCTTGGGCTGTCTTCCAGAGGCAAGAGCTGGAGTCAGAGAACAAAAAGCTGAAGAATGACCTGAATGAGCTGAGGAAAGCCGTGGCCGACCAAGCCACGCAGAATAACTCCAGCCACGGCTCCCCAGATAGCTACAGCCTCCTGCTGAACCAGCTCAAGCTGGCCCACGAGGAGCTCGAGGTGCGCAAGGAGGAGGTGCTCATCCTCAGGACCCAGATCGTGAGCGCCGACCAGCGGCGACTCGCCGGCAGGAACGCGGTAACAAGATGGCGGCCCGCGGTGGGGCTGCCGAGGGGTGACCCTAGGTGGTAGATTAGTGTTTTTTTAATTATCTTTACCCACGAGGGTCTAAAACCTGAAAGAGCAGAGTCTCTCGCTGTGGGGTCTCCTCCAAAAAGGCAGAGCAAAAGCCTTGCTGCCCTGTCAGCATGACCTTCCCTGGGGGATGCAGCTACAAGCTTCTGGACTCTTCTGAAGTTAATATGAAGATGTTTAATAGGTAACCTCAGGGTGGCCTTTTCACCTTATACCCCTTGCTGTTTGCTTTCTGAAGTGGAGAGAGTCATTGGTCCTCCTCAGTCCCCCAGGGTGGCAAGTCCTATTCACTGTATTTTCCTAATGTTCTCACTTTCTGGGGCAGACTAGAGCCAGAGGGTGGGGACAGAGGCCACGTGGGTCACTCCATGGGCTCTAAAAACCTGAGCCACTTCTGGGCATGAGCCTCGGGACAGCTGGGGTAAGCAGGTGCTGAGGAGTGTGGAGGATTCCAGCTGAACCAGGGTCTACCTGTGTGCTCTGGACTTGGGTGCTCTCTCCTCCCAGGGGCACCTCCTGGCCATCTTCCCCCACCGCCCCACATGCAGCTCTGTCTCAGCCTGGCCTCGTTGTTCTGTGTCTCTTCCAAGATGACCTTTTGGAGTCATGTTCCTGGCGTGGGTTTGATTGTGGTTATCTCTGTTCTTTCCAGGCCTTTGTCTTTTCCCAAAGGCATGTTTTTATACCTGTTTGTATATAAAGCCATTTTGTGGCAATTGTTTAACCAGAGTTATTTTTTTATCTGGGGCTTTCTAGGAGCCGAACATTAATGCCAGATCAAGTTGGCCTAACAGTGAAAAGCATGTTGACCAGGAGGATGCCATTGAGGCCTATCACGGGGTCTGCCAGACAAACAGGTAAGGCCGCCGCGGTCAAATGTGCTGGACGAGGCCGCGGAGAAGGGCCCTGCCCAAACGAGTCTGTTTGGGGTTTTCCTCAGGTGATGACCATGTGCTCAGCATCAGAGAATTATTTATTAGAGGACACAGAAAGACTGACTCAGAACCCCTGCCCTACTGTTAGCTCAGCAAGGCTCGAGCAACACGCTCTCAGCATCTAGAGCCCAGGTCCCCTGAAAAGGATTAGGAAAAAGGAGCTTCCCTGGGAGGATGACAGGAGTGGAATAGGAAGGTCTGGCTGAGAACAGCTTTTCTTCTTGAGAGGATGCTGGCTGGGGAGGGGGGTGGGGGGTGGCTAACTGGCAGCAGAGGGCTGCTTAGCCATCTGCTGCAATGCCCTTCTCATGCATGCAGTGTGTGTCACACAGTGGGGGCCCACCCTCTGTCATTCAGAACAGATGGAACCCAAGCTGGGCACTTGGGGGTGGAATGGAAGCATTTCACCTCCACCGTCTTAGCCAAAATGAGATCTCCCTGGATGTGAGTTTAGCAACCACTGTCCCCTCGAAAATAAGCTGAGCCAGGGTTAAGGCAAGCAAGAGTGATTGTCTGAGGGCAGCAGCAGGGCCAAGCGTTGTCAGCAGACAGAACGCAGACCCCCAAGGCAGAGTGTCTGAGAAGGTGCACTGCAGAGTCCACTCCTCACGGTTTAGTAGCGGTCACATGACCGATAGGTGCCTCAGTTGCCTCATCTGTGAACTGGGGACAGCCATAGCGGCATCCTTCCTGTGGCTTTGGGAAGATGGGGTGAGCTCCTATCACCTGTGTAAGGGACTTAGGACAGTGCCTGCCTGTGGTGCGCACATGATGAGTGTTACTGCCGTGATACTGTTGTTATCATCTGCTTCCTCATGCCCCTGTGGGCACCTATAAAAACGGAGCTGTCTGGCCGAGCATAGTGGCTCACACCTGTAATCTAAGCACTTTGGGAGGCTGAGATGGGCAGATCACCTGAGGTCAGGAGTTTGAGACCAGCCTGGCCAATGTGGTGAAACCCTGTCTCTACTAAAAATACAAAAATTAGCCGGGCGTAGTGGCGGGTGCCTGTAATCCCAGCTACTCAGGAGGCTGAGGCAGGAGAATTGCTTGAACCCAGGAGGCGGAGGTTGCAATGAGCCGAGATCATGCCATTGCACTCCACCCTGGGCAATGAGAGCAAAACTGTGTCTCCAAAAAAAAAAAAAAAAAACATGGAGCTGGCCTCTTCCCTGGCTACCTTTCTCTCTTACCTCAACTAATAGAATGTTGATCAAGTATTTGTTCAAAATTGGTGAAAATAGCAAACATTTCCCAAAAATGTCATTAGGTGGCACTGTGAGTGCCACTTTAAGTTTTTTTGCAAGAATGTCACAGAGTCACTGAAGACTTCTGGTACTTTGATTCCCAGATCTTTTCATCCAGTCCCTCTTTCTGCAGAGAAGGAGACTGAGGCCCGGGGGGGTGGAACAGCTTAGGCCCACGGGTGGCCTGTGCCTGAGTCAAGGTAGAATCCGGAAGGCCTGACTCAGGCTGGGGCAGTTTCCAGCCACTGAGTAGGTAATCAGAAGTTGAAGGTGGTGTCACAGGCTCCAGGAGGAAATTAAATTTATTTCAAGAGAGGTATAATTCTTTTCCCTAAAGGAGGGAGAAAAGGAATGAAGGTGACTCTCTCAGTGCTAAAACTGGAGTCAAGATTTAGTCATTTTAAATTATCTTGGGTTGAAGATAAGAAATGAGATGAATAAGAAAAAGCCCAGGTGATACTAAAGTAGAAGGGAAGAAGCAGCTGTGTGCTTGGTCTGACAAGCGGTGTGCGTATCTCCCCGATCTTCAGAGCCGTCACCATTGGCAGCCTCTTTTATTCATGCAGCGGTTGTCAGGGATCCAGACCCCAGTTTAGGTTTTCCCAGGGGCTGCTTAATACCCTGGATTTGTCTTCCTTTACAGCAATAATAATGATGGTGATAAAATAAAAATAGCTTTTATTATATCTTAAAATAATTCTGTTCCCAGCAAGCCTGGTGTACAATAGGAAATTAATAGCCTGTGAAACTGAGTTAAGTACAGAAAAGGAGCTGGCTGCCCTGGGGAGTGGAGGCCTGAAGAGCCAGCTTCGCAGTGTGTGCTGCACCAGGTGCTGTGGAAGTGGCCATGGTGGGCCTGCCTCTCTCCCAGTCTGGCCTTTAGCTTTGGGAAGTGTTCATGATTGCTGCAAATCCCAGCATTGAGGGAGGAGAGGCAGGGAACAGGGACCCAACTGGGATTCTGTGGAGCCCATGACAAGGGGATTCCCATTACCATGAGGGCCACCCTGGCAACTGGGGTGCTTTGGAGATAGACAGCTGCTCTGCGTTTCCTACAGTTTTCCTGTAATGGAGAGTTCTACTGTTTAAATATAAATTATATCTACACATGTGTGATTTGTGAAAGACCATTTAGAATTTTGATGACATCTATCCTCTCCCTAGAGGAAGTTACACTCATATGCTGAATTTTGCTTAGATTTCTGGGGGCTTCCATCACATTCCCAGTCATAGCCTCTTTAAGCATTCATGATCCTCAAGTTCAGAACTTTTATCACTTGCTAACCTTCATAAGTTTGTAGAGTTTTGTTTTGGTCCCTATAACTGTGTCTTTTCCCTTGTTTTGAACTCTGGGGAGAGAAGCTATTATTGAGGAGCTGCTCTGAGAGGAGCTGCAGGAATGCGGGTGGCACTTCTGCTTCCACAAAGCTTTCTCCTTTTTTACCTCTGGGAACTAAGAGACACCAGCATCATTATCACCATTTTATATATAGGAAAATGAAGGGGGAAGAGGGCTGTGAACATGAGCTGGGTGCTGGGCAGTTTGTCTTCTTTTCAGGGCTGTATATGGGAGAAGGATGGGGAAGTGGTTTAGGAGGGCACAAGTTGCCACTGCCCTCAGCCCAACCTCACCTCGGGGTGAGCACTTAAAGTCAGAGTTAGGTAGGGGCAGGAGTGTGGCCAGGGCTCTGGTCTGGCTCTTTGACAGTGCTCCTTTGATTCCTGTCCACTTCTACCCAAGCCTTATCAAGAGTGTAAAACTCCAAAGTGAGACTGGTGCATTCCCGAGGTCCCAGAAAACCTCCTAGCAGCTCCTCTCCATCCAGCAGGTCCCCGGCAAGACAGGAGGCCTCCAGGCATTGGCACCTGGGCTTGGTCGGGCGCACCTGGGGTTATTATTCACACCCGCCGCCCCCCGCCAATACACACACCAGGGGCCTGTCCGGGACAGCGGAGACTGTGTTTGACAAGGAACTGTGTGCAGTCTCAAGATTTGCTCGGAGCTGTTGGCTCATTTGACCTTGAGCCTCGGCTGCTGTGGGCTGCCTTGCTCAGAATGGCAAAGAAGGCGGGAAGAGCTAGCTTCTGCCCAGCCCCTCCCCAGAGGGCCCAGCTTTAACCAGTCCTGACTAAGAGCTCTTGGCTTTTTTCAAGGAGGTGATCATTTCCTTATGTTCCCCAAAGTTCTGCTGGTCCTGAGTTGGCAGCACAGTTTGGGTCTGCTGTAATTTCATGGCTAGGTCATATTAATCCACAAACTGTTCACCCTCATATGGCCAGGCCTAGGGCCTCAGATGTTTCTCTGTTGTTCCTGGTGTTTGGAGTGTGCCTTCCATTTCCCAGAGGTCCCAGGGAATATGCTAGGAGGTTGAATAGAAAGCTTGGGTATGAACTAAAGAAGTTAGGCTGTCTGTGGAGCACACAGTGGGCTTTTTAGAACCGGGAAACTGACCATCTCTGAGCTGGCAGGAATCTTGTCTGTTTCCCCAGGAAGGCAGGTTCTTAACTGTGGCGGGGCCATGGTTGATAGATCCTGTTTTTCCAATATCTTCACAGAGGCCAAGTAAATATTATCCTAGGCCTTGTCTGGCTTTTTATAAGATCTGGAAGAAACCTTTGCAATAAGGTTAGTAATTAAAGATCTGGAAGAAACCTTTGCGATAATTCAGTAGGCTACTTTCACTTTACCCGTAAAGAAAGAGAGGCCCAGGGCGTGGAGGTGATTAGCCCGGGCCACGGGCTCATTACAGGTGGGGCTGGGAGTTGCCCCAATGCTAGGTTCTCCAGCCAGTTTCCTGGATGCCGAGCCTCACTGCCCCCTGTGGCTGGAGACTGACTGCAGTGAGTTAACTTATCTCTGTGTGTCACAGTGGTCTCTCTGGAAATATTTGTAGATTTATTAATTGATATCAAGCACTTACATTTTCAACAAAAAATCCTGAGCCAAGTAGTTTGGGCTTTTTCTTTTCCCACCAGGAGGTGGCGCTCCCTCCCTGGCCTTGGCCCATAATGGCCTAAGTGGAGCTGGAGGAGCTCCTCCAGGGGTTCTTTCCTCTGGGAACCAACGGCTGAAGCAAGTTGGTTGACTGGTTTTTAGTTTACTCGTGTGTCTGATTTCCTGAGCACTGTGGGCTGCCTGGGCTGCACAGTTCTCTACTTTTATCTTTGTCAATAGTGCCTGGCTTGTTACAGAATTAAGAATTCTGGGAGTATGGCCCTGTGAGGCTGGTGGCCTGGGCATTCATTAATCCTAACTTCCTTGTGTGAGTCAGCTTCGCGTGCCCCACCCTAGAGAGCTCTGCAGTCTGTAGGTTTACGGGGACGACAGAGGTGAGGTGAACCTCTGAGACAGAGCCCCAGCAGCCCCTCCCTGGGGGGTGGGGGGCTGGAGGCTGGAAAGGAGCTTTAGTTCAAGGTCTGGAGACCCTGGGTCCTGGCGCAGGAGTCAGTGTCTCTCTGGTGTGGGAAAGGAGGTGGGTGGAGCCCAGGATCCCTGCACTTGTTCCCTTTCAGCGCTGATGCGCTCTACTTCCGGCCCTCCCCAAGAATCACTGCAGTGGTGCCTACAGTCCTCCAGTGAGCTGTGCCTTTGGGTTAAAGCACCAGCCATGAAAGGCCGTAGTAAAATGCAGGCACTAACATCTGAGACGGGATGATGCTGAGTTATGAGTTTGGGATTTGTTAAAGTCTATGTTGATGTTAATGATGGAGAGGTATAATGAGGCACATCGGACCCCCACTTCCTATCGTGGCCTGAAACAGTCTCTCAGGTTAAACATTAAAAGAGCCCTGGCTGAGGAGGAAGTCCCTTCAGATGGTGGGGGGCCTTAGGATTTTATTTTTGGTTTACAGATGGTTTGCACCCTGGGAATGAGGACGAGGGCATTACAGGTCCTCATTTAGGGCTGTTTGGATGCAGTTCTTGCTCCATTATTCCTGCCTGGAAAGCTGGAATCTGGCCTGCAGGAGGAGTACTCCAGGAACAGAGGCTGTTAGGAGCAGGGAGGTGCGGCAGAGTCCTGCTGGGGGCAGCAGGCCCCTACCTGCCCTCCTCCACCCAACTCTGCTGGCCCTTGAGTATCTCTGTGTGCCCAGGGCTGCGCAGGTTGAGGACCTAGGTGGAGGTGGAACATTGGACACACCTGACCTCCAGGAGCTGCCCTTGCTGGCATGGGGCAGACACTGGGTGACTTGGACACAGCAAAAGAGTTTGCATGTAGAGGGGTAAAGAGTTCTGCTTTCCCAAATTGAGTAAAAAGTGGTAACGCACCCCAGTCCCAAGGTCAAGGGGAGACATCATTCAGTTCTCATCTAGGGCATCACAAAACTTGTTTTAGCTATTGGAGAAAGACCCTGCAAGGAGAGCTGAAGTTAAGATTAGTTAATATTTTTGTGCCTTTAAGGAGTCCCAGAAAGATCTGCATTGAAAAGCAGGTAGTGTCTGCAGTCTCCTTCCTTACCCTGGGTGGGCCTGACGTCCCCCAGGGGCTTCCCATGCTGCTCTGCAGATGCAATGTGTTCCCCACCATGAGCCTGCTCACTGCCTCCCGCTTCCTCCATGCACACTTAGGGTTCTCTCCTCCCAGCCCCTTTTGCATCTCTCCCTGTGCTTGTCTGAATCAATCTGATTGAGGGAAGCACCATGTGTGAGGCTATGTGAATGCTTCCACACTACCCACACTGCTGCCTTGCTGCCATTTACAGAGTTACCAGAACAAGCTGGCCCTCTGCTGTCTCTGGGGCAGCATGCTTTCCCACCTGGGGTTATTAGCAGGCCCCACATGAGACCACATGAACCCACTTCCAGGACAGTACCTGAAACTGGAGGACTTATGGGAGAGATGCTGTTTGCAGGTGACAGGAGAGGAGGAAGGGAAAATGGGAGTTCTTGAGCCTTGCCTTTTTTTCGTTTCCAAACCTTGGCTAGAATCTCCTCACTTTCCAGGACTCCCTGCCTGCCTGTCTCTTCCGTCTACACTGGACACCCTGTTTTTCTGTCCTTTGTTTCTAGCAAGACTGAGGATTGGGGATATTTAAATGAAGATGGAGAACTCGGCTTGGCCTACCAAGGCCTAAAGCAAGTTGCCAGGTGGAACATATTCCTTTCTTCCTGTGTCTGCTTTGTCCGTTGGGCCTGCTCATGTCTATGCTTAACCGTTTTTCAGCTACAGTGGGTGCGAGAGCACGGGGAACAGTTGGCATGCAGTCTGGCTGGTAGCCCCTGTGGTTGACCATCTGTCACTGTGCCCAGGCTGTACAGATATGGCTGAGGGTGGCTGGTTGTTTGGGTCAAGGTGATAGCATTTAGTGGACCTCCTGAGGTCCAGCCTACTTGTTCTATAGGTGAAGAAAGAGACAAGAGCAGGAGGTCACATAGCGGCAGGCACACAGCTCTTTAGAACAAGGCTGAGAAGGAAACATACCTCTGGGGAATCCTGGGCCTGTGCTGCTTTCACACTACATATTGGCCCTCCTAACTGCAGGATCAGCCAAAAATGTCTGCCTGATCTGTGCTGCTGGCTGTGCTCCAAATGTAACCTGTGCCCCCAGAGCCTGCCATCAGTATGTGTGCTGGTCCTGATCTCCGGGACTCCCTGGAGCTGATGGCAGCCAAGTGCAGTGCATGCGCCTTGACATCTGGCCTCACAGCACCTTCATGGGGTGGGGACACTGAAGCCCGGAGGGTTTAAGGAAATTGCTGGTGAAACAGAAGATCCAGAATTTGAACCTGGTTCCAGCTGATACCAGAGTCTGTGCCTGAAACCCACTGGCCCTCAGCAGTGGGTGAGCAGCTTAGCCAGACAGGGTAGGCATGCAGCAAAAGGACACCATGTGATGGTCACACCATAGGCCAGTTGACTGCAGGTGGCTTTTAAGAGCTGTGGCATAGCTTTGCCTATTGGAGCCTGACTCAACAAGAGATGGACTGGTAGTCATCGAGCTTGCTTTCCAGAGAGGAAACCGGGACTCAACAAGGTGGCATGAGTGCTGGACCCAGCTCCCTCAGCCAGGTGGTGGCGGAGCAGGAGCCAGAAGCCCTCATGCTGCTTCTCCTTGCCGCCTGCTGAGGATGTAGTAGAGGTACTGTTGCACCAAGAGCATCTCTTCTTGGAAAAAGAAAGTTTACTCAGCTGATTGACAGGGTAGTGTTTCTCTGGGTTCAGATGTGGCCCCACAATCTGTGAGCAAGGTGACATGGTGGGTCTGTTTCCTTGTGAATGGAATAGGACCTTCCTCACGGGGCATTATAAGGAATAAGGTTAATACAGGTGAAGTACTTTGCACATGCCTGATACGTAACCATGGAATAATAAATATTAGCTGCTACTTCTATTACTATCATGGTTATTATTCAATAAGATCAGATTTCTGTCCCACCAAGTAGTTTGTTTTATTGGAGGAAGGATCCTTGTGTGAAGCCAGGTGATTCCTCGTGCCTCTCCATCAGCAGATCAGACATGGTTTCATGAATCGGCAACTGAATGCATTAATAAAGCACAGACCTATGAATCAAGAGTCCTGGTTTCTAGAATCAGCCCTGCCACTGGTCGTGGCCTCAAAGCTCTTTTGGCCTTAGTTTTCTCACCTGCACGATGAGGTGGCTAGCCTAATGTTTAAGTAGGAACAGACCCTGGCTGAGTCAGCTACAGTCCACCTGGAGAATAAGACATGAACAGTGAACGTGCTGCACAAGGCAGGAGAGAAATCCTCAGGGCAGCTCGCCTAGAACCCAAGAGTGTCTGTTCTCTCTCATTAAATGTATAACTTATTGGTGACTACTTTTAATGTGCTTACTGTAGCCAATATTGGATATTATCTAAATGCTGTATTTCATTTAAAATCCTGATTTAATTACCCAATTATCCTCCACAAA
Source organism: Homo sapiens (assembly GCF_000001405.40). Classification (NCBI taxonomy): domain Eukaryota; kingdom Metazoa; phylum Chordata; class Mammalia; order Primates; family Hominidae; genus Homo; species Homo sapiens. The sequence goes on along the minus strand of NC_000018.10, from coordinate 49,855,027 downwards.
TCTCATGTTATTTTTCTTTAGTAATAGGTAATATCGCCTGTAGTGAATGAGTGATTTTCTCAATCACTTCTTCATTCATGTAACTTTGTTGAGGAGCCACTGGGAGTCAGGTGTTACACCCAGTGCTGCTATGGAGCTGACTCAGCTACATAAAATGTGGTTGCTTATATCAACAGTGTAGACTTTCCCTCTCTCTCTTGCTCCCTTGTAGACATGGTCCCACCTGTCTTATGATAATTCTCACCTCCCAAACCATCAGAACTGTAAAAAACATGGCGCCTTCCTCCAGGGCAGCCACGGCCTCCAACAGCTGTGTTAGAGGCACAACCAGTTCCTACCTGTGTGCCTACCTTGGTCATAATTGTTATGTGCATTCCTGGAAGACACTGGGGTGGATTTTTTCCATGTAACCATGTCTGGAAGCTCTTTACAGTACAGTACCTCTCCCCCAGCACCCTAGCTTTCTTCCATATGAAGCCTGCTGCACTGAATCGGAAAGCTGGTTTAAGTAACTAAGTCCAAGAAGGACAACATCATGGTCATATTAGCATCTAACTTCCTGAAGATGCGGCTGCCTGTGAGCCTTCATTAATCTCTTGCCTTCTATTATGATGGGAGCATTGCCCAGGTAACTGGCACCTCTTGGTCTTGGGCCTTTTGACTCAGAATGTTATAAGACTTCTCCTCAATCTTTGCAAGATCTCTAGGTCTCTCTGCTTCTTGTCATGACACCAGCTGATCTTACACCTTCCCCAAGATCATTTGCAAATAGTCTTAGTTTTCATTTTTGGCTGGAGGAAACTTGTATGTAAAAATTGTATATGCAATAATTGTATGTATAAAATAAAATGGGGCTAGTAATAATGGTAAAGATAAAAAAGGGGCTAATATTTTGCCTTTCTAAAACTTGTGGAGAATCTGCCACAGGGAAAATATGTGAATAATATAATTAGCTCAGTTTTGCCAGAGTTTTATCTTAAGAAGGAGGTTCTTGTGAACTTTGGGGCAGATGTAGATGTTTTTATTTAAAAGATGCTTTAAGAGATGTATTTCTGTTGATGGACATTTTGACAGGGAGACAGTCTTTCAATCCCAAACCATTAAACTATGCTCACTGAATGAGGAACAAGGGTCGAGAGAAAGGCTTAGGACCAGAAGTGCCTTTGGCCTTGGTTTCCCATCATCTGAGAGGAGGACACTTTGGCCTGCTTGCCTTGTGGTCCCCATGGCATCTGTCTCCTGCTGCATTCATCCCTCTGGGGGATGTGCAACCGCTGCTGCTGTGTGCTTGGCTGCTCCCCTGTTATGTTTCTGCCTGTGTCCCCTCAGATGGGGGCCCTGGCCTGGGCCACGTGCTCACCTGTCCTCTCCCTGGCACAGGCTGCTGGAGGCTCAGCTGCAGGCCCAGAGCCTGGAGCATGAGGAGGAGGTGGAGCATCTCAAGGCTCAGCTCGAGGCCCTGAAGGAGGAGATGGACAAACAGCAGCAGACCTTCTGCCAGACGCTACTGCTCTCCCCAGAGGCCCAGGTGGAATTCGGCGTTCAGCAGGAAATATCCCGGCTGACCAACGAGAATCTGGTGGGTAGCCATGTCTAGTGGACCCCAGCTTTGGGAAGTCACGTTCTAGAAGCAAATGGGATCGGGGTTGCCTTTGGCAAAACTGACAAGGTTCATGACCCTTGGCCCTATAGTAGGAACAGAGATTCTAGAAGTCTCCGGTCAAGACCCCTTCACTGGAGCTGAAAGATCTCAGACAGCCCCACTCCTGTGTCTGGGGCCTTGTCGTTGGCTGGGGGGCGTCACCTGCCTTCTTGCTGAATTTCACTGGTCTGAGCTGCTTTACCTGGCTGCTGGCTTCCAAGAGGATGAAAGCAGGAACAGCGAGACTCCTCAAGACTCAGTCCCTGAACTAACTGTTGCTTCTGCCCATTGATCAAAACCAGTCTCATGGCTAGGCCAGATATGGCGAGAGAGAGATTCTACCTCTTGAGGGGAGGAGTAGTGGAAGAAGTTGTTGGGGCCTCTTTGCAGACAGTCACCAAAGGAGCCCCAGCAGGTGCCAGAGAAATGGAAGAGGGCCCCTGTCTTATGAGAGCTTGCAGATTGGTCAGTAGGGGAAGCAAGGTATGTAATAAAGAAGAGAAAGTAGATAGTGTTTTTAAAAGCATGATTCTGCATTGAGTTAACAATGAGTATTACAGGAAGAGAATAAATGGTGGGGCGAGCTTTTGGGAGGACATGAGGCTTGAGCTGAGACAGGAGGTATGAAGGGGATGTAAATCATGGAGACTGGCAGAGGGGGAGGGAGAAGAAAAGCATGGACCAAGGCACCCAGACAGGAGTGAAGGCAGTCGGAGGGCGGGGCTCAGCAGTGCCGATCACCTTCTGGAGCTGAACGTGCCTGTAGAGTGCAGCACGTTCATGTGCCCGTAGTGCATCCAGTCCAGGAGTCCGGCCATGGCTGTCATTTCACTTTATAACCAGATCATCTGTGGTTGGGTGGCCAGTTCACTTGATCCCAAGAGGAAAAGTGGGGTCCCAGACTCACAGCTGAATAGCACTTACATACACATGATCTTCCCTCCCTCCCTCTCTCTCCCTCTCTTTGTCTGCAAGTCACTTTCTGTTGCATATACGTGTGTTACCTGGTGGCTTTATGAAAAGAAATGCACCATGTTAAAGAAACCTACCTGGCCAGCTTCTGCCAGGTAGAGGAGGCAGCCTAGGAAATGCATTTGGTGGCCTATGTTCCCTGGAGGGCCATTGACCAAGTAGTGCAGTGAACAATCACCCTATAAAGAGGGCTGTGCACCATGCAGGTACTGCGTTAGCTCACGGCACACCAACACAAGGTTGCCAAGGCCACACTTAGGAGAGTTAGTGACTGGAAAGAGGTGGGTAGTCAGTCCTACCTTAGGAGTCCTACCTTAAGAGAGCAAAAGAAAACAGTGCAGTGGGCCCCTCTGCTGGGGTGGTGACACTGGGTCATGAGTAGGGGCCTGTGCTGCTGGCCGGGCAAGGAGGAGGAGGAGGAGGAGGGCTCCAGTTTGCAGCCTGCTGAGAGACTCCTTCCAGAACGTGGTCCTCCTCATTTGCCCAGACAGAGGCTAGGACCCCTAAGGAGAGCCAGCTGCAGCAGGTTCCAGGGGCTGTTGGTGATGTATATTCACCTACTTAGCAAGCATTCCTGCCTACCGTGTGCCAGCTGGTGAAGCACTGACCTCAGGCAGAGAGGAGACAGTGTATACACAAGTAACCACAGCACAAGGTGCTTGGCAGTCTCACAGGGAGTGTAAGGGAAGTCAGGGGAAATGGCTTGAGGCTGGAGTGGTGGGGAAAGGGGTCTGTGTAGAGGGGAGGATGTGATTGTCCCTCCTGGTAGCAACTTGAAAAGTTTAGCGCCATCTTCAGATGTGCTCATTTTTCATTTCCAAGATTCCTTATGAATTGAATTCATTATTCTGTAAGCTTTTGTAATTTTAGGCTTTAGGACTTTGGGCCTTCGTGTCTCCACAAGTTTACAACCACTGTGGCCAGCACTATGTTCCCTTTATTTGTTCTAAATTTGTTGATTTCAAGCTTTAAAGATTCCCAGGTGGTTCCAATACCCCTACAAAGTTTGGGAAGCATAGCTCTATATAATTCCCCTTAGCACATTAAGAATTCAGCCTTCTGGGATTTGTAGGGGGTTGGGGGTTAGACACCCAGGCATGTCTTAGCACAAAGCCACCGTTAGTGACATGGATCTTACAATCACCTCTGCTTGAGCATTTCGGGAGGGGTATTGGATTTTCTGGGCTTTCCTGAGAAGATGACTGAGATGTCAGAGCTCTCAAAGACAGGCGTCAAAGCCTGGCCTGGATTAATCTTTCCTTCTTGAAGCATCTGGTGTATAAGATGCTGCAAATAGGCATTAGAGCATTTATTGCCTGTCCTCCCAGGGTGTAGTGAAGGTTTTCAAAGTAATGGTGGAAAAGACATAAGAAATGCTTTATCTTGTGGATTTGATAATATTGTACAGAGGAGCTTCGGACTGATGGTGGTCATAGTACCAGCGTCCTGGTCCCGATCCAGTCTGGAGCAGCCCTGGGCTCCCCATTCACTGGGCTGGCCAAGTCTTGTGGCCCCAAGAGTTGGTTAATCCTTTGCAAGAGTCAGAGTTGTAGCCGAGGATTCAGTGGGGTTGGATCTGGACAGGGTTATATGAACACGAGGCAGGGGTGGCAGTGCAGCGGAGCTGGGGAGCCAGGGAATCACATGCTTTGGTGCTGCTTGGCAAGGCACCTAACAGGGGAGACGGAGTCTGAGTAGAACTCAGGGTTCACAGGAGACCTTCGGTAGCCACAGAGATTCCTGGCTCAATTTTCTCTAGACACCTGGGTCCTTTCTACCAACTGGCCTCTCACGCAGAGGCCACTCTTAGGTCACTGAATAAGGTTTTACGGTCTGCCGCCTCTCCTGTCATTTAAGCTGGGTTTTTAGATGCCTCTCAATTTAAGAAGTATTTTTAAAGATTTGCTTCTTTATCAAGATGAATAAAGTTCCTAACAACATCTATAACTAGGTGTGTAGCTTGGGATGGCCACATCCCTGGGACTGGGCCAACTCCTGTCAACAGGCTGATCTTAAAAAGTTGTCACCCAATGTGTTTGTAGAGGCTCCACCATGGAATACTCGCTTCTGTCTTCCTGTCACTCTCTAGTCACCGAAGCCGGCTCTAGTGGTGGATGGAGCAGGGCTCCTCTTCTCCTCTTTGTGTCCCTGGCCACAGAGGACCACTGCTCAGCTGGGATGGAGGTGACATTAATGACAGCAAACTCCTCCCTCAGCGGCTTGCTGTTCTAGGTCTCAGTGGGCTGATGGGCTTCCAGTGGCAACAGCTGCTAGGGTCTGGGGCCACACCAGTGTCCTGTTTTGCCGCTGGGCCCTGGATAATCTCACTTGCCCACTTGCTCTTCCAACCTCCCTGCCCCCTGCATTCTCACACCTGTCCGTTCCTTCCCAGGGCGCTGCCCGCCCCACCCTGGGACTCCTAGGCTGAGTGTGTCTCCTGGGGGGTTGGCATGGCAACCGGAGGAGGCTTGGCTTGGGGAGGCTTGGGATTCAGCAAGGCGCCAGAGAGCCTGACCTGGGAGGAGTCTTGCCTTGAGAGAATGGACTCTGACTCATCATCTCCCACTTCCTGAGTTCCAGAGCAGGTGGCAACAGCCTGTGAAGAGCAGCTCTCCTGGCAGCGTCCCTGACTGGCGCATTTCTGACGGCTGCCCATGGGCCGCACTGGTCACCTCCAACTGCAAGCAGGATTTTACCCCCACCATCCCAGGCCGGGCTGATGTCTGTTCTCACACTGCTTCCTCTGCTTCCAGGACCTTAAAGAACTGGTAGAAAAGCTGGAAAAGAATGAGAGGAAGCTCAAAAAGCAACTGAAGATTTACATGAAGAAAGCCCAGGACCTAGAAGGTAGGGGGGTGTGAGTGAGTGTGTTTTGTGAATCACAGGTATACTTGGCCACGCCTGTGGGTGTGAGCTGTCTGCCTGCCCTCTGCACATTCTTCCTACATCACTGATTTCTTGGTGGCTCTGCCCAGTCCAGCCAGGCGATAGAAGTTGGATCCCATGAGCTTACCCATCTGCAGTTGCCAGAATATGGACAAAAGACACTTGAATTCAGCCAGTTTGGGTGCTTACTCTGAGCAAGGCTCTGCAGGGCTAGAGGAATGGGGAACCCAGAGGTGACCTGGTGGTCCCTGCCCTCAAACGGCTTGAAGTTGGGAGGCAAGATTGATGTGAAAGAATGCTGTGTAACACAAAGACCTAAACCCCAAGGTCCTCACTCCATGCTATTGAGTGTCAGGATTAAACTTCCAATCTGGGATCTTCAGGTAGAGATTTAAATCACTCTTCCAGAAAGACCTAGAATGTTCTCTCCCTCTGACTCCCTGCTGCAAATCTCACTGTGTCACTCTTTACATATGTCACCCTGCTTGGAACCCTCTTTCAGCCCCTCACTGCTTGGATACCCCTCCACATCCTTCCACCCTCAGCTCAGGAGCCACATGCTCAGGGCTTGAGTCTCGTCTTAGACAGTCCTGACCCCACTTGTGTGTTGGGCACAACCCTGATCACAGTTGTCATTTTACCTGTTTAATCTCCTGCTCCTCTAGACTGGAAGGTCTTAGAGGGCAGGGATGTCTGTGATCTCTATCCAGGGGGACACTTCTCTTCATATCTGCCCATGTGCCCACCAACTTTGGATTTGCTATTCCTCCAGTTTCTCATTCTCCTAGTCTCTTGGCTTCAAGCTTTGCTTACTCCTAAAGACCTATCACTCCCTCTTTTCTGATGTTTCTCTGTGTCTGCCCCTACCCTTGTGTCCAGTTCTTGTCCCCTGTTCCCAGATTGCTTAGTAGCTTCCCAGTCCTGTTTTTTCACAGCACTGTCTGGCCTTTGCCTTTGCCTTATTGCCTGCAGAATGAAATCCCAGCCCTAGTCTGCCAGCCTTCATCCTCTCACACTCTCCCCCACCTCCACTCAGAGCCTCCCTTCAGCCACTAGGAGTTCATGGAGCACCCTTCCCTGGGTGTCACTCGTCCTGGTCCTCTTCCATTGGTCCTTTCCCAGTGGATCAGCTCCTTTGAACCTGGATGTAAGAGTCCCACCCGCCCTTCATCCCACCTCTTCTGTGGGGTCCTTCCAGCCCCACCACCATCAGCACCCACATCATCAGCACCCACCCTTCATCCCACCTCCTCCGTGGGGTCCTTCCAGCCCATCACCACCAGCACCCACATCACACACTCCTGGCTTGGTGCCTGACTGAGCTGTGTCATAGTGTTTCCATGTGAATGTACAGATGTGTCTCCTTAGTTCGACTGGCCAGGGACAGATTAAGCATGCCATTGTATCTGTTCCCGTGCTTAGGACAGCGTCCCGTGTGCAGTCAGCACTGAGATGTGTTTGGGAGTGATGCTGTGGTTGCCCACTGTCCCTCTACCATGGTGTGAGGCTGAGGAGAGGCCTGAGTGAGGGTTGACCAGGCCTTTATACCTTCAACCCTGCCACTGAAACTCTTCCCAAATAGTCATCATCTTATGTAGTTGCAAAGACTGCACTTGGCAGCTTCCTAAACCTGAACCTGCATTTAGTGGCTGAGGACGTGTCCTTACTATCACCATCACCACCCTGATCCACCACCCACAGGTCACAGACAGTGTCCAGGCCTTGCCCTGAACACCTGGGTTTGCCCTGCGGCTGTGTCACGATGGCCACGTTGTGGCCACACACAGGGAACTGAGTGTAGTGGGCCAGGCCGAGGCCAAGCACTTCCCAGAAAAACGGTATCTCCTTTCCTTAGAAGTCAGTAGGGAAAGAGAAGCAGCTATGCAGGAGCGGTGAGAGACCATGCTGGCTGTCATCCTTCACAAGTTTTCTCTGGTCTGAAACCTGCCTGCTGTCTTTTCGGATGTTTCCTCTCCCCTATCCAGAGTGTGGACCCCAGTGCTGGATGCTGAGCTCCTCACACTTGGGGTGTGGCTCTGGCTGTAGGAACAGACTCCGCAAAGAGAGTGGAAGTTTGGAGAACCCAGTATGCCCCCTGCCCCAGGTGCCATCCTCCACCTGCCAGAGATGCCCCTTCCCCTGCCCCAGGTCCCATCCTCCACCCGCCAGAGATGCCCGCTACCCTCAGGCCTGCAGCTGGAAGTCTCATCCATGCTTCCTGTTTTCTTTCCTGCTCAGCTGCCCAGGCATTGGCCCAGAGTGAGAGGAAGCGCCATGAGCTCAACAGGCAGGTCACGGTCCAGCGGAAAGAGAAGGATTTCCAGGGCATGCTGGAGTACCACAAAGAGGACGAGGCCCTCCTCATCCGGAACCTGGTGACAGGTAAGGACCCTCTGTGCCACCCTATGCTGCCTGCCCCTCCTTCAGCCCCCGCTCCCATCTCCATCCCCAGCACAACCCCCACACCCCTTCCTTCACCTCCTGCACAGCCCCCACCCTCTGTCTCCTACTTGCCCTTGCACCTGCCCCCATCTTCCACTCCCCACACCTACTCTCATCCTCCCCCCAGCTCCTGCTGTGTCCAGCTGCTATTCTCGATGGCAAGACCCACTGCTTCTTTGTTCTGCCCATACGATGGAAGTGGGAGGGGAGCCACCCACATGCTTTTCCTCAGCAGCAGCCACAGCCCCCTTTCCTTGGTGCAGCTCTCTGCAGGCCACAGTGCTTTGGCAATGATGGAAGCTCATGCTTTTGGAGCACATCCTCTACCAGACTCATCCCTCCTTTAATCCTCACAACCTCCCTTTAAGTCAGAACTGCTGCTTTCTCATTTTACACTGAAGGAAACAGAGACTCACTCTAGTAACTTGCCCAGGTCACACAGCTGGGAAGCAGTGGATCAAGGATTCAGACTCCTTCTGTTTGGTTAGGACTTTACAGTTTAAAGTGCTGTGTGGTACAGCACATGTGGGTGTGGTCTCTGGAATCACATGGGCTGTGTTCAGACCTGGCTTCTTTCCTAACTAGCCGCACATGGCCGTGGCTGTGCTACTCACCAGTGTTCTTGTGTAGAGCACAGGAAAGGGGATCATGCCGCTGGCATGGAGTTGTGAGAATGAAAGTTCGTATTTCGTTGCTCATACATGGTCCCTGGACCAGCAGCATCAGCATCAGCATCAGTATCACCCCTGGGAAGGGGTGAGAGATGCAGAGTCTCGGGCTCCGTGCCAGGCCTCCTCAATTGCAAGGCACATAACAAGATGCCAGGTGACATTCACAGGCTCATTAAAGTGAGGAATGCTGAGCTTCTGCAGTCTGTCTGGGATCACCCTGGTCCCACTGTCAAAGTTCATCAGGGTTGGCTTTTACTGTCCCTGCGATCATCTGCAGTTTCTTATCCAGGCATGTGGCTGAATCAGGGCTGGCCTGCCAGCCTCCCACCCCCATGTGCTCCCTGGGGCCACCAGGCAGCTGTGAGAACCACTGCTCAGAATTCCTTCCCCAGCTGGGCTCCTAGGACTGAAAGACCTTCCACACTAGCTGCCAAGAGGGCAGGGTTTTCTCTGTGAAAAGAGGAGCCCCCGCCACCCCTCCGAGTCCCTCTTGGCTGCTCAGCAAGGGCCAGGAGGGAGTCTGTGTGACCTGTGCAGCTTGCTCAGGTTTGTGCCCAGTGCTGCTTTGCCAGTCGTACCAGCTCCCTCCCCTCCAGTCTTGTGCCCCATCTGCCACAGGCCACTGCAACAGGCCACCTCCCTGCTCTGTACCAACCCAGTCCAGCATCCCCCTGCAGAGCCAGGAAGAGTCTTAGAGGAGAGAGTCCTGTGGGAAAGAGGAGAAATCTTTGGTGGTCTGATCCTCTGGACCCTGAGCCAGCAGCTCCCTTCTTTATGGCACCTTAGTGAAATGGGATGATGACACTGACCTGCCTGCCCCATGATGTGAAGTGTGTCAAAGGCGAAATGCTGTGTTAAAACTGCAAAACCCTTCTCAAATGTGAGGCTTTCAAAGGAGTGGTAGCTTTTGCAGGAATATTTGAAGTTCAAATAAGAGGCAAGGCAAGCATTATTTTAGAGAAACTTATGTAAGACTGAAGTCCGACTCTGCTGAGCACTGTGCCTAGGGCCGAGGGACCCAGGAAGAACAGATTGTGACATCTGCCTTAAACAGATTTGCTCCAGCTGTTTGGTTTGTGTGTTTTTAGTAGCCTGCTTCTTAGATGTATTTTGCTCTTTTAAAAAGCTTAATCTCCCCTACAGTTGTCCAGCAATTAATTAAATGTGGTGTAAGTTTATCTTAAACTTCCTTAAACAGACTGCATCTTGTTCAAATGCAATTAGGAACAAACCTTTCATCTCTGGTGAATGAAACTTTCAATAAATAAGGCTGCTTGTGTCAGACAGGTGGCTCCCTCCTGCCATTTGCCAGGGTTTTTACAGAGAAAACCCTGCCATCAGCATGAGATGACCCTTGCTCAGGTGGCCCCAGGAAAGGTCATCTCCTGCTGAGCTACCTAGGAAAATCCTGCAGTCATCTTCCCTCCAAAAGACCCCATCCAAACAAATGCCAAAACTTGACTGCCGACCACCTACCTCTTAGGTACCTGGCACTGGCCAGTTGCTGTGGAGGAGAAATAAAACTAGTGTCATCGTCTCTTCCCCAAGATGCTAACATTTAGCTGGGGCACCCAAACAAGCTTTATTTAATCACAATAGAACATTCCAAGACAGGACAAGTTGTTTGCAATCTGCACATGGATCAGGTTTGAAGTAAGAAGTTATGGATTGGAAGTCTGGGCCTACAAAATACATTTTCCTGGATAAATGACTGGCATTCTAACTAGAGCCAATGGCCAATCCACAGCCATCTGCTGGACCTATAAAATGGCCAAATGTCAACCATGTACTCAAGAGTATTATGGCCTACAGTTATCATTTAACTAGAAGGATGCGTTGGAGCAGGGACAATGTAACCCAAGTACCAACTGGAGCTGCTGGCAGCAGAGCCCAGCCCAGGACCAGCCTGGTAGAAGGTTTGCAAGGATACTGCCCACCTGCAGGTGGGAGGGAGGTGGCCTCCCTTCATTGCCATTCTGAGCCTACAGGTGGCTCATGAGGCCTCGTTTGGGAGGGTATGAGTGTAAAGAACAAGGGCTGGAGATACAGTGCAGAGCTATGGTGAGACCCCTGGGGCCTTGTGCTCCTGCCCCATTCTCACCTGTCATCTTGCCTTTGCACCAGGCCTTTCCCCCTAGTTCTCTGGCCTTCTACCACCACCTGTTGCCTTAAGTCTGGCTCAGCTGGCATGGTCTGGAATAGAAAATGGTCTGACAGCTGCTTCCTGTCCCTCCAGGGCCTTTTGCAAGAAAGGGCCAAAGGGCTGAGTCTGCAGTTAATGGGGAGACTCACAAGGCCCTTCCAGTCCAGCCAGAGCAGCCCTTGCCCAGGCAGGGACAGGAGTGTGGGATACAGAGGAGAGCAGTTGGGGGAAGTAAGAGAGCCGCTGGAGAGATGCATGCCAAGCAGCAGCACCGGGGTGGGGAAGGGGGGCCTGCCTGATCTATTTGGCTGTGAAGCTGGGCAAGCACGGCTGGGTAATTTGTTCCTGAACTGATGGGCCAGAGATTGTTCCAACCTCCCTAGCCCTCAGCAGGCTGGCCCTGTCTTTGGGCACATACAATTTGTCTAATTCTGGAGCCAGCCCTTGCCTTCTGGAAGTGGTGGTGCCCACGAATCAGGAGTTCCTGCCCCCATGTGGGAGCTAGGCCCTGTCCTCAGCCTTCCACTTGCCATGGGCCCCTGTTGGCTGCGGACTGAGGCATCTGTGTAACTTGCAGGCACTTTTCCTCCATATTGTTAGGCTGAGGCATTAGAAGCCTGTTTCAGGGTTATAGTGCAGACAATTAGGAATGTGGTTTTGTTTGTTTGTGTTTTTAACCACAGTGTCTGAAACTACTGGTAGGCATGCTCGGGAGTTTGGGTACCCTGGGTGGCTTCTCTCCCAATCCTCTTTGAGACATCTATTCCTAGATGAGCTATGGGGAAATATTGAAAACACGTCTATTCAGATGAGGATTCTGACAGCCTCCATTGTCCCCCATAGATCTAACTTGCCATTTGCTGCTCTCGTTGCCCTTAGACTTGAAGCCCCAGATGCTGTCGGGCACAGTGCCCTGTCTCCCCGCCTACATCCTCTACATGTGCATCCGGCACGCGGACTACACCAACGACGATCTCAAGGTGCACTCCCTGCTGACCTCCACCATCAACGGCATTAAGAAAGTCCTGAAAGTAAGCAGCCCCTGCAGAAGGTCATGGTTTGTGGTGGGTAGAGTGAAGCCAGCCCCTTACTGTTGCTTCTCTGTGTCTGGGTTTGGCTGTAGTGAATGCTCCTAGGGCTCCAACTTTGAAGGTAAATGAGCCACAGAAGCATCCATATAACCAGGATGCCTGGCAGTTCCCAGAGAAGGATGCTCAGGCCCAGCAATGGCAGAAAGCCGAGGACTCTGGTGTAGGTAGCCCTCCAGCTCCTCCCTGCTGAGCCTCCAGACATGCCCAGTGCTTACAGAAGCCTTGGCCTGCCCACTGCCAGAGGTGCTAGGGAGACATCCTGCTGCAGCCAAGGGTGTGTGGGCCTCACCCTGGAGCAAGTTCAGGGACACCCCTGAAACATGGGCCCTCTCCACCTTTCCAAGGGGCCGGGTGCTTGCTTCCCTGGGGGGTAACACAGGGAGGGCTGTGACATTCCATCACCTCCCAAGGTGAGGCAACCTGGGCCAGGACAGGGCTTGCCGCATGGTGTTAAAGGTGCTCGGGAATGCCACCTGAAGGCACAAGGCTCTTCTTGAATGTAGTGCAGCCACTGCAGAAACAGGCTGGCCTGCAGGGAGGGTGAGGCCTGTCCACACATGGATGAGGGCCAGGCAGTGGGGGAGGTGAGATTCTTGAGGGAGATGAACCCTCAGTGAGAGGGATTTCTACCTGCTAGCAGGCCTGTGCCCCGAGTATTATTGCTCTTAGAGACCATCTTTAGTTCTTACACATTACTGCTTCCAGGATACAAGCCATTCTCAAAAGCTCTGAGTCCAAACCAATTCTGGAGTCCACTGAGCTGCTGGTTGCTGCTCAGAATTCCAGAGCCAGCCTTTAAGTCTGGTTTCCTGCCCTCAGTAGCTGCATTGCCCTCCACAGGCAATTTTATCCACTCACGGCTCTAAAACATATCTGCATGCTCGTGGCTCTCAGATTTGTGTCTCCAGCCTTGATCCTCTTTCGTGAGCACCATCCAGCTGGAATCTTCGGCCAGTCTAGGCCAATTTAGGGCTGACACAAATGTCACTTCCTTAGGAAAGCCTTCCCTAATTCTGAGCTAAAATAGCATGTCCCAGCCCCAGCAGTCACTTTCTATTCAACCTCATTTCTTTTTTTTTTTTTTTCTTTTGGTCGTACCTCATACCACTCTGTCATTTAAATAATGATAACGCTTACTTGACAGAATGAGCTGCGTGAAGTCATCAGCTTTAATGCAGCAGCTGTCTCATAGCTGTTTGGGTTGCTGAGCAGGCTTTTTCACCTAGTTAGGGTTTGTAGCCATTTTCTAGAGAGTTAAAGCCATGATGCATCTGACATCTAGATAAATGGGACACCAAACTATTTTGCTGTTATGCTCTTCAGCATCCCTTGTGTTGGATAACTGGCAGTTCAGAAACAGAGCCAGCTAGCCCAGGCGGTTAGACGAGAGCCCGGGGCTGTTGGGGCAGAGCCTCATCTGTCACTCAGCTTTGCATTCATTCTTCAGCCATGGAAGGCAGCCTGTCCTTTATGTGTGTCCCTGTATGTGCACCACTGATCAGGAGACCAAGGTGGGGGTTCTGTGCACCATCCCTGGTGGTAGAGGAACACTCACACAGCCTCTCAGCAATGGGTCTCAACCCCGTGACTGGCAAGTGCCCTGCCCAGCCTCAGGGCTGCTCAGGAACACTAGGTAAGGGTAGGAAATGTGGGGAAAGAGGTACCGAGGAAGCATTTCACCAGATGGGAGCCACTTAGAGCTGAGGATGTCCTTTTCTTTTCACAGAAGCACAATGATGACTTTGAGATGACGTCATTCTGGTTATCCAACACCTGCCGCCTTCTTCACTGTCTGAAGCAGTACAGCGGGGATGAGGTGAGTGGGGAGCCAGGCACCCAGGAGGCATTCCTGCTTCATCCAAATGTGGTTGAGAAGTGCTTTGTATACCCTCAGAGGTCAGTGGGGTCTTTGGAGCACCCTTGGGGACCTCAGACCGTGGGCACACCTTATCATGCCTCGTGGCTGGAAGCAGCAATAAGGCCAGCCACAGGAGACCTGCCTCTAGGAGGCCTTGATGAGCCCAAGGGGCCCCAAAAAGCACTCCTGGGTTATGTAAGTAGAGTCTGCATAACCCATGATCAATAGAGGCCCTGGGAGTCTCCATGAAACTCTTGTAACCTGACATTTCTGTATCAGCTCTAGAAGCCCCACTGCAGTGGATACTGGCAGGGAGCTCAGTTGCCTAGTGGGTCACCCTGTCTCCTAAGCCAACTGATTAATCTGTCCATTTCAAGATAGACAAAGATGGCCACAAGAACAGAGGCACACCATAATCAGAACTACGTGTGTGCAAACTGACCTGGAGGCCCAGCTCCATGCATTTATCCAAATTGGATTCCTTGACCTGAGGCCCAACTACTAACCCCATCACTTCACAATCCACACCGGACCTGTAAGGCCCAGCTTTTTCTGGAACTCACATTCCTAGCTTTGGTCCCTGAAAGAACTTCTCCCATGCTCTGCACTCTGCCCAATGACCTAGTAATATGTGGCTTGTTTCCATTCTAGTTTCTCTGGTGAGAATCCCAGCTTGTTCCAGATATGCCCGCTCACAGGTTCCTGTAGGTCTTCCAACTTTTCTTCCCCTTCCTTTCACATATCTCACCATCCACCCTTCCCAAGGTCAAGACATAGTGTAAACCAAAATAGTGCGACCATTTTTAAAGCTTTATTCCATCTTTTGTGCCAGAACCAATTTTGACAGACTCTTCTCCCTGGGTTAGTAAAAGGATATGCCCTTCCTTTCAGTCTTACCTTCTTTGCAGTTGGCTTGACGCCATCTCTCTCCTAAGAACCAGCACTTCATTTGATGGCCTGCTTTTATTATAAAAGAGATGGGCCAAAGGTTAAAGAAATAGCCATTTCAAACCCCATGACTTCTGTTACAAAATCATAATATCCAAGCATTTACTTGAAGCATAGAACTACATGTAATGTTATTTCATTGAGGTCCATCACTTTACCCAATGTTATACACATTCTAAATGGGAGGTTATATAAGGCTAGGGCAGGACCTAGAACTCCATTACATTAGGTTGTGGTTACATGTGCTCATATTCTCTGGGTCAAGAGCTGAACCACAGCATGACCAGATCCGTGTAGTCCAAATAACAAGGAAGAATGATTGACTCTATCTTCATCATTACAATTATCCCCTTTTCTGCCTGCTTTTTTTCATATTAAGATGGCTTTGTATTTGACACAGTACAACAGGCCTTGCTGAAGATGGTTGCCCTTTTGGGAGCACTAATCTTTTTGGCAGATACTGGTTTCCCTAGGCCTGAATGAAAAGGACATTGGTCACATGAGCCCTTCTGATATCAGCAGTTCCCTTAACTTACATGTGATTTCATCTGATTAATACAGAAAGCTAAGAGGACACAGTGCGGTAGCTATGAAATCACTTTAGTTCATCTATTAATTCTGATAACCAGTGATAGAATCTGTATAAAATTTCTCCTCATACAAGCGTATAATCTGGCCCATGGCCACACTCCTTTAGAGGCTGCACATCATCTAACATTTTAGGGGGACCTGATATATTGAGGAAAGCGCTGGATGAAGGGAAAAAGCAGGGATCCCTTTCTCTGGACCTGGTACCAACCTAGGTTTTGCTACCGTAGGGAAATCACTTCGCCTCAGGGATTTGGACTGAGCGATTCAGGCTTTCTCTCTCATGTTGAGTTTTTCTACATCCTTCAAGTTCAAGGGTCATCAATGAGGCCTCAAAGAACTGACAGGCTTTTGTAAAACATCATCTACATAGGGAGGGCCTGAGTAGGCCCCCTGCCCACCAAATAGATGACTAAAGTTACCAGAGCCCTGGAAGTTGTGCTGGGCCCAGCAGACCAGAGAACTCAGTAGTGCACGCCTCTCCCTCTGCAGGGCTTCATGACTCAGAACACTGCAAAGCAGAATGAACACTGTCTTAAGAATTTTGACCTCACCGAATACCGTCAGGTGCTGAGTGACCTTTCCATTCAGATCTACCAGCAGCTCATTAAAATTGCCGAGGGCGTGTTACAGCCGATGATAGGTAAGCTGGCAGCAGGAGAGCTACATCACTCATCATGGTGTCTGAAATGAGGGGAAGGCGTGGTCAGCACCCTCTGCCTTTCGGGAACCAGATATCTTAGCCATGACCTCCAGAAAGCCAGAACCTTCCAGTGAAGGCAGAACTGAGGTGTGCACATCATGCTTAAAAAGCTGTGAAAGTATTTGACACAGTGCAAGAGGCATAGATGACTTTCCCTTTATCTCTTTTTCTGTAATATGTTGTATTTTTTCCCAAATTTTAATACATAATAAATGTAAACTCAAAAGGTACAAATGCATATACAGTGAAAAAGCATAACCCTCTTAACCTATTATGAACTTGATTCATGGAAAAAAGCAGGAGTGTTCATGCGAAAGGACACAGCAGTCGGCACGATGCATCAGTATTTATTAGACACTTGCTTTGAACCAAGCAGTGTACTTGGGCACTGAACATGAAATCAGAATTGAGAAATGAGAGCAGTTACATTTTCAATCGGAAGAAAAATTATGTGTAGATGCATTACTCACTGTGCTCTGCAAAGGCTGGGAAGGAAAGTGTACCTGGACCTATTCATAATGCTTTCCCCAGGTTCTTACAACACAAGTAGGTTATGAGTGAATCCCAAGAAGGACCAATCTAGAAATACATTACTTGAAATGAGGTTCATTCCAAACCCTCCTTCCTGTCTGGAAATCTTTTTATAAGGCACCAGACAGAGGGAGAACTGACATATCAAGCTGGAGATACTCAGAATAATGTGAAGGTTAATAGCAGCAGTTCTGGAGTCAGACAGACTTGGGTTTAAATCCTGGCCCTGCCACTCCCTATCAGTGTGACCTCAGACAAGTTATTTAACCGCTTTATACCTCAACTTCCTCATAAAAATGGGTAGTACTTTATAGAGTTGTTGGAAGATTGAAAGAGATACTGAACATAAAGCCCCTGGTGCATAGGTAATGGCTGCTTAGTAAGTATGACGGACCAATGAAGCTCTTATTTACATAGTCAGTGGCTGGACGAGGATGACACCCAGGTTGCTCAATTCTCAAACTGTGGACTTCAGCACAGGCGATACCAAATCGAGCTGGTACATGCCCATCATCTTTGTCTAATTGCCAGTAAATTAAATGAAAATGCTGTCCACAGCTGTTTTATTCCATACAGAAATCAACACATTAGAAATTTTTTGCCAAATGTTATAAGTTCCTAAGCATGTCAACATTGCACACCTCTGGATGGTATCATTGCTAAAGCCCGGAGCACTAAATGATTTGAGTGGTCCAATCTTTGCATTGTTAGTGGGGAATGCAAGCTTCTCTAACTGTGCTTTTATTTCAGTTTCTGCCATGTTGGAAAATGAGAGCATTCAGGGTCTATCTGGTGTGAAGCCCACCGGCTACCGGAAGCGCTCCTCCAGCATGGCAGATGGGGATAACTCATACTGCCTGGAAGCTATCATCCGCCAGATGAATGCCTTTCATACAGTCATGTGTGACCAGGGCTTGGACCCTGAGATCATCCTGCAGGTATTCAAACAGCTCTTCTACATGATCAACGCAGTGACTCTTAACAACCTGCTCTTGCGGAAGGACGTCTGCTCTTGGAGCACAGGCATGCAACTCAGGTAAGGGAGGAGCACCCCCCAACAACACAGATAGAGTGGGCCCTCACTGACTGCAGCTAGAATCAGAACACAAGACTGCTGTTTCTAAAAATGAAATCCAAATCTAATTGACAGTCCTTGTCTCCATCAGTCTGTGACTCAAATCCATCACCTTTTTACCTGTTGGTGAAATCCGTCGAACACTGAGATGGTTGACTTGGTAAACAAATTAGTTCAAAGCTTAAAGATGTTGACATACTCTAAGTTAAAGACTGAATACAAAGCAGATAGGTCAGAGAGAAAACTCAATGAGTTAAGAGGCATGAAGGCTCACATAGAAGTATAAATACATTTGTGAATGTTAAATATAAATACTTACAATTCAGTATATTTAATGCCTGTTTTTCCCTGTTAACTTATGTAGACACTTCAGGTATTTCATCTTTGCTTGATTTTAAGTACCCACTCATTCATTTATTCATTCTTTATTCAACAAATAGTTCCTGAGTGCAAGGCACTTGCCATGCTTTTTAACCGTGTGAGATAAATAATGGCACTAGCTGCAGCGGGCCTGCAAAACACAACAGGTGTCCCCTTCTCAGTGAATTAGGAGGACCGGCTTAACATAGCTTGCTTTCTACCTATGGCTAAGGTACAATATAAGTCAGCTTGAGGAGTGGCTTCGGGGAAGAAACCTTCACCAGAGTGGAGCAGTTCAGACCATGGAACCTCTGATCCAAGCAGCCCAGCTCCTGCAATTAAAGAAGAAAACCCAGGAGGACGCAGAGGCTATCTGCTCCCTGTGTACCTCCCTCAGCACCCAGCAGGTACAGTCACTTTGCACCTCTGTCAACATGGTATTCCAAGGAAGCCCTGAGTCCATTCCAAGTCTGTTCTCGTTGGTGGTTATTTGTTAGTGTTGCACTCCCACCCTTTATATACCCCTAATGAGACAATTTTGAAGTGCAGCTGATGGGATATTCCTAGATGAACCAAAAACCATTTGGTCTGTGAAACAAGATGCCACAGATACTGTTTTCTAGTAACTCTCTATCCCTCTTACTCACTTAAAAAGATAAGGTAGCAAACTCACAAAACGTTAAGTTTAGGTAAAAACTTCTTTAAATATAATGAATTCTGGAATGTTTCTTACATAGAAATCCACAAATTTTCAGAAATTGGCAGCATCAGGTATTTGCTTTCT
Organism: Homo sapiens; assembly: GCF_000001405.40. Lineage (NCBI taxonomy): Eukaryota > Metazoa > Chordata > Mammalia > Primates > Hominidae > Homo > Homo sapiens. The sequence continues at coordinate 49,836,333 of NC_000018.10, read as the reverse complement.
TTACAAATATAACTGTAAGAAAAACCTTTTCTTTAAAACTAATTGCAATATGGTCATATTTTCACTCACACTCATTTATATTGTTTTAAATGAAGTCATTAAGAACTTAGGGGCATTTAAGTGTTACTTTCCTTTTCCCTAAAAAATGTATAACCATGATTCAGTTGCCGACACATTGCCAGTCCCTGAAAGATAAATAACAAAATCCAAACTCAGTACAGAAAAACACATCTTAATATAGCAAAGTGAACACCTTTCCTTACCTCCTCTGCTTACTATTAAAATATTAAATATCTAACTCTTTAAAAAACTGCTTCCTTCTGTAAACATTTCCAGAAAGTCTTCAAACATTTTTCTTCTCTTTAAATACATTTCACTTAAAGTAAGTTTCCTTCTAGATGCAGCTGGCATTGCATTTGGGCAGTCTACTTCCACCAAACCAGTGGTAGGCAGACAAAAGAGTATCTCCTGTTCAAATACTCATTTGTAAACAATGTTGGGGGACAGGGGGTAGTTAGGTATTAAACAAGACCTTTCTCATCTAAGGTAAGATCTCCAGTACTCTTCAGAAGAAACCTTTAAATTACTAGTAGATATGAGGCTGAGGATTTCAGGCAACTGCATTCTAAACTCCTCATTGTGTATACCAATGAGCATAGTGGGGAGGGGCAGGTGGGTTTACAGGAGACATGAGTTCGGTGAGAGGGCTCAGATCCACCTGACAAAGCTGTGGGCTCTAGTTTCCTGGATGCAGGCTCCAAGTGTAAATGTCAGTCCAGCTCCATCTGTGTTGTGGGCCTTGTCTAAAGAGGATCATACTCTTGTACCAATGTCACATATTCTTTAAAGTTCAAAAGTTGTCTCATGTTCATTTAGCTCTGTGCTAAATTCCGTTTTTATCCCCAACAGATTGTCAAAATTTTAAACCTTTATACTCCCCTGAATGAATTTGAAGAACGGGTAACAGTGGCCTTTATACGAACAATCCAGGTGAGTTTTAAGATAGTAATTTTATAAAGTCCAGTCTACGACTATAAAGGAAATTAAAAATTTGGGCTTTAATCTTGCTTCTCTTTATTACTAAAATACTGGTTACATATATGCTGGGAGACCTTACATTCCTAGACTTTCTACTTAGGTAAACATGAACCGTATCACCCATGAGTAACTTACTGTTTACACACAGAAAACTCAACTTTTATCATCTCTGCCTCTCAGATTATAGACATAGTTTAAGCATTATGTCATTTGCCACTAGCATGTTACTGAACTATTAGCACCAAATGGAATTAACAATGTCAGCAGAATATCAGCCCTAACCATAAATGGAACTAAGAAATGTTCTTTAAAGAAAGCAATTTGAGCTCTTAAATCTTTGTCTAAGACTTATAATATAGGCCAGGTGCGGTGGCTCACTCCTGTAATCCCAGCACTTTGGGAGGCCGAGGTGGGTGGATCACGAGGTCAGGAGATCAAGACCATCCTGGCTAACACGGTGAAACCCGGTCTCTACTAAAAATACAAAAAATTAGCCGGGCGTGGTGGTGGGCGCCTGTAGTCCCAGCTACTCGGGAGGCTGAGGCAGGAGAATGGCGTGAACCTGGGAGGCGGAGCTTGCAGTGAGCCGAGATTGCGCCACTGAACTCCAGCCTGGGCGACAGAGTGAGACTCTTGTCTCAAAAAAAAAAGACAATATTTGCTTTTAGGAAAATGCTTGAAAGAAAATGTATTAGGGAAAACGGTTATTTAAATCTGTCTTTTCCTAAGATGATGGGAATGTTTTACTTAAACATGAGCTTCCTTAAGCTGAGCCCAAGGTGATGGCTGAGCGCCTGACCTTTGCATGTGATAGTAACTGTGACAGTGTTGGAATGATAGTCATGTCGCAGTGATTCAGAAAACAGGCCACACTTCTCCCATGATTACCTGTGGGGAGCACCTCAGGGGAGACATAGCACTCCCTCAAACTTTTAAATGACCTTGTTGGCCAGTGAAGGGATATTGACACAAAACAAGGATTAAAAAGGGGTTCAGGGGGAAGTCATCAGAGGGAGAGTCAGGAAAAAGGGAACCAAATGGAGGTTTATCAAAGACACTGAAGAAACGTGAGGAAACATGGAGCTTTGTACAAGAACCTGTTCCCTTTGGAATACTCCTGGGATTTTATTTGGAGCTCCTTACAGTGTTTCAATGTAGATCCAGAGATTTAGAGAGCCCTGAAAAGAGCTAAAAAGGGGTTTGAAAAGAGCCATGGCAAAAAAAAAGCCTAAATGAACTTTAGCCCAGCATCTAAGTAGGGAACAGAGGCCAACAGAGGGAACGTCTGGGAAGTGGTGCCTAGTCAGACTAAAGGTTGTTCTCCTAAGGGCAATGACAGAAACACAGTCGATTGTTAAAGACACAGGCCGCAGAATGGGGCAGGCAGAGTGAGTCTCTCTACTCACCAACATGTATACAACAATGGGGTTGTGGGTGGCGCTGACAGAAAGGATCCAGTTAGGATGCTCATAGTCAGCTGCTGAATGGGAAGAGTTTGATGACAGAAGCCACTGAGATATCTGAACCTGGACCCATTATATGGATTTTTATGGAGGGCTGATAATTTATACAAAAGTGCAAGTTTAGAAAGTCTTGTTTAGTTTCGAATATCTGAGACACACATTAGAGGGAGAACTATAACTGCTCATAAATTGGCAACCCCACTGTTTATGAGAATTCAGGTTAAAAAATATATGCCACATCATACTGCAGGTTTAATGGATCAAGGACAAAGGGAAAATATAATGGAGGTTAAGCCCAACTATTCTCTCAAAATATGTACAGTCAGATTCTGAATCTTCCTCAGTAATCAATTTCAGTGTCTCGCAGTTCTAGCAAAATATTTTTTTCATGAGCTATAGCTTTATGTTGTTTCTACCTATACAATGCTCAGAAGAAATGGTGAACAATCAGTCCTGCCCTCCTACATTTGAACTCACATGTGTGATAAAGACAAGTTACTTGTTAAAGCAAACCATTGCTTGGGCGCTCTGGGCTTTTTATAGCTTTGTACTGACCTTTAAAAATGTAAATTTGAAGTTGTTAAACTCACCAAAGCATTCACAGGAGGATTTCTGTGAAATGACCACCTTATATACTTTAATTGATTAAAAGTATACATGCCTTTTGCTGTTGAATTGTGATAATATAGGTAATATTTCACTTTCTTTTCCCATTTTTATACTCTCTAAAATTTCTTCAAACCCTTTAGGTAGTGAAGTCTACTGTCACATCTAACTAATGTGGAGAAATACAAGGGCCCTTAAGTGCTACAAAGATGACTTTTTTTCCCAGAGCCTCCTGCCATTTCACATTTTACATACATATGCCTTGTGATAGGTTCATGATAATAAACGCAGCAAACCTCAGAGTGGGCTGTGTGTGAGCTGTCAACAATCCCAGAGAATCATTCTGCCAGGCCACACCAGAGCCATCATTGAGTACCTTGAATTAGTGAGGCTAGTTGCTTATTCCTCCCTAAATACCTTTCTCTCCTTTAAACTTCTCTCCCATTATTTCAAACCACTTTTTCAAATGATTAAAATTACTTTAAAATTTTGGCCCATCTTTCAAGATGCCAAACACACGGGTACTGGAAATTTAAGTCATGCTTTCTATTCATAATTCAGGTAATGGATGAAAACGTGGGCAATTCTAGGTTCCCCTGCCACTATAGAGCCATCTTACAGTGCCATGCTCCAGCTGACTTCATTCTGTAAACCTATTTCCCAGCGATTTTCAAATGCTGCTATGTATTTACTGACTATGGCCTGTTTCGAGGTTTAAGAAAAATAAATTGTGTTTTCACAAAATCAGGATATATTGATTTTCCTTTTTGGCAATACTCCCACAGTTAACCCTATTGACTTTTGTAAAAGTACAGCTTCTACCAGCAGTTCATGGTTCAGAGGTCAATGGTTAATGCATGGGCAGGAGGAACAAAGGAGCATATTATAAAACTGATAACAGCAAATACAGCACTTACTATGTGCCAGTGATGGTACTCTGTGTTCTTTACACCTGTTAACTCTTCAAATCCTCACAACCTTATCAGAAGGGTACTCTTCTCCATCCCATGGTTTTGGGGTATGTGTGTTCCATTTTAACCATTTTTAAGTGTATAGTTCCGTGGCATTAAGTATATTCACAATATTACATAACCATCACCACTATTTCCAAAATTCTTTCATCATCCTAAACAGAAACACTACCCATTTGGGCAAATAATATTCTCCCTTCCCTTCAACCCTGGGTAGGCTTCTATATGTAAATTCTAGATATCACATATAAGTTGGCTCATACGATATTCTTTCGGGTCTGGCTTATTTCACTTAGGTTCTCAAAGGTCATCCATGTTGTAGCATGCATAAAAACTTCATTTTTTTAGTGACTAATATTCCCTTTATATATCCCATTCTGTCTATTCATTGGTTGATGGAAACTGCACTGTTTCTACCTTTTGGCTATTGGGAATCATGCCGCTATGAACATTGTTGCACAAGGAGCTGAGATCAATTTTTCAGTTCTTTGGGGCATATATTTAGAGGCAGAATTACTGGGTCATATGGTAACTCTATATTTAACTTTTTGAGGAATCTGAAACTTTTCCACAGCAGCTATACCATTTTACATTCCCACCAGCAATGCATGAGAGTTCCAGTTTCCCCACATCCTCACCAACACTTGTGATTTTCCAGCTTTTTAAAATTATAGCCATCTTAATGGGTGTGAAGTGGCATCTCATTGTGGTTTGGATTTGTATCTCTCTGATGACTAGCATCTTTTCGTGTGCCTATTGGCCATGTATATATCTTCTCTGGAGAAATATCTATTCCAGTATTTAATTCATTTTTAAATTAGATTATTGTCTTTTTGATATTGAGTTGTAGGAGTTATTTGTATAATCTGGATATTAAATCCTTATCAGATATGATTTGCAAGTATTTTCTCCCATTCTGTGGGTTGTCTTTTCACTTTCTTGATAGTGTCCTTTGATGCAGGAGTTTTAAATTTTGAGGATGTCCAATCTATGTATATTTTTTTGTTTCCTATGCTCTTGATGTCATTTTTAAGAACCATAAATACTTTCCCCTATGTTTTCTAAGAGCTTTGCAGATTTAGCTCCCTTTAAGTTTTTGATCCATTCAGAGTTAATTTTTGTATATGGTATAAGGTGAATGTCCCACTTCATTCTTCTGTATGTGGATATCCAGTTGTCTCAGCACCATTTGTCAAAGACACTGCCCTTTCCCTCATTGAATGGACTTGGCACCCTTGTCAAAAATCAATTGACCAAAAATATGAGGGTTTTTTTTTTTTCTGGGCCCTTATATTCTATTGGTCTGTATGTCTGTCCGTATACCAGTACCATACTGTTTTGATTCCCATAGCTTTGTAAAAAGTTTTCAAATGGGAAGTGTGAGTCCTCCAATTTTGTTTTCCTTTTTTTTTTTTTTTTTTTTTTTGAGACAGAGTCTCACTCTATCACCCATGGAGCGCAGTAGTGCAATCTTGGCTCACTGCAACCTCCGCCTCCCAGGTTCAAGCAATTCTCCTGCCTCAGGGAATATAGGCATGCACCACCATGCCTGGCTAATTTTTGCGTTTTTAGTAGGGAAGGGGCTTCACCATGTTTGCCAGGTTGGTCTCAAACTCCCAACCTCAGGTGATCTGCCCACCTCAGCTTCCCAAAGTGCTGGGATTGCAGGCATGAGCCATTGCACCTGGCCAATTTTGTTATTTTTCAGGATTGCTTTGGCTAGTCAAGATCCCTTGAAGTTTGATATGAATTTTAGGATTTTTTTAGATTTCTGCAAAAAACGTCATTGGGATTTTGATAGGGATTGCACTGAATCTGTAGATTGCTTATGTAGTATTGTCATCTTAAGTCTTCTAGTACATGAACATGGGGTGTCTTTCCATTTGTTTAGGTCTTGACTTTTTCAGAAGTGTTGCACCTTCTTGGCTAGATTTATTCCTAAGTATTTTATTCTTTTTGATGTTATTGTAAATGGAATTGTTTTTCTTTCTGATTATTCATTACTAGTGAATAGAAATACAACTGATTTTTATGTGTTTTTTTTTATTATGTACTTCGCTGAATTCATTAGCTCTAGCAATATTTGTGTGTGTGTGTGTGTGTGTGTGTGGATTCTTTCAGTTTTTCTACATGTAAGATATGTTGTCTGCAAGAGGATCATTTTAAATTGGCTGCCTCTTATCTCTTTTCTTGTATAATTGCCCTGGCTAGAACTATACTGAATAGAAGTGGTAAGAACAGGCATCCTTATCTTATTCTTGATCTTAGAGGAAAAACTTTCTGAGTGTGATATTTGTGATGTTAAATGTGGGGTTTTTACATATGGTCTTCATCATGGAGGGATTTATCTTTTTATCATTAAAAAAGTTGGATTTTGGCAAATGCTTTTCTCCATCGATTGAGATGATGTGGGTTTTTTCCTCTTCATTCTGTTAATGTGGTATATTACATTGATTGATTTTTATGTTGAACTAACCTTGCTTTCTGAAGGTAAATCTTGCTTGGTCATGGTGTATAATCCTTTTAACCTTTTACTGAATTCAGTTTGCTAGTATTTTCTTGAGGGCTTTTACATCTGTATTTATAAGGGATGAATATAGTTTTGTTTTCTTACAGGGTCTTTATCTGGCTTTGATATTAGGGTTATACTGGCCTCATAGAATGAGTTAAAGTGTGCCTTCCTCTTTGATTTTTAGGAAGAGTTTGAGAACTGGTGTTAATTCTTCTTTAAATGTTTGATAGTCTTCACCAGTGAAGCCCATCTTGGGCTTTCCTTTGTTGGGAAATATTTAATTACTAATTCAATATGCTTACTTGTTATAGGTCTATTCAAATTTTCTATTTCTTCTTAAATCAGTTTTGGTAGTTTGTGTGTTCCTGGGATTTTGTCCATTTCATCTAGGTTATCCAATTTGTTGGTGTTAAATTTTTCATAGTATTCTCTTATAATCCTTTTTATTTCTGTAAAATTGGCAGTAATGTCCTCACTTTCATTTCTGATTTGCTAATTTCTCATTTTAGTCTTCCCACACACCTGTAATCCCAGCTACTTGGGGGGCTGAGGCAGGAGAATCACTTGAACCTGGGAGGCGGAGATTGTGAGCAGAGATCACACCACTGCACTCCAGCCTGGGTGACAGAGCAAGACCCCATCTTAAAAAAAAAAAAAAAATTGTCAATTTTTTGAACCAACTTTGATTTCATTTGTTTTGGGTATTGATCTGTTCTCTATTTTTTCCATCTAATTTATGTTATTTCATTTCTTCTAGGTTTAGGTTTAGTTTGCTCTTTTTCTGATTCCTTAAGGTATACAGTTAGGTTATTGATTTGAGATTTTTTTTTTTAATGTAGACATTTACAGCTACAAACTTTTTAGCACTATGTTTATCCCATCCCATAAGCTTTGGTTTATTATATTTTTATTGCCTAATTCCCCCTGTGATTTCTTTAGCCCATTGGCTATTTGAGAACTTATTATTTTCCATATATTTGTGGATTTTGCAGCTTTCATTTATTGATTTATAGTTTCATTCCATCCTAATCAGAAAAAATATTTCATATGGCTTTAATATTTTTAAATTTATTCAGACTTGTTTGAATATTGGAGACTGTTCCATATGCATTGAGAAGAATGTGTATGCTGCTAAGTGGGGTGTTCCATATGTGTTTGTTAGGACTAATTGGTTTATAGTGTTGTTCATGGCCTCTATTTTCTTATTGATCTTCTATCTGGTTCTATCCATGATTAAAAATGGGGTATTGAAATGTCCAACCATTACTGTAGAACTATCCTCCCTTAAAGTCTGTCAATTCTCCCTTCAAATATTTTGGGGTTCTGTTGCTAGATGCAGATGTTTATTATATCTTCTTGATGAGTTGAACCTTTTATTAAAATATAATGTCCTTCTTTGTCTCTGGAAATGACTTAATTTCTCCTTCATTCTTGAAGGGTAGTTTTGCCAGATTTAGAATTCTTAGCAGACAAGATTTTTTCCTTTCAGGATTTGAGCTGTGTCATCCCACTGCCTCCTAGCCTCCATGGTTTCTGATGAAAAACAGCTGTTAATCTTATTTGAGGATACCTTATACAGTCAGCCCTCCATATCCACAGGTTCCATATCTGCAGATTCAGCCAACCACAGATTCAAAATTCAGTATTCACAGGATGCAGAACCTGTAGTTATGGAGGGACAACTTTTTCTATCTATAGGTTCTACAGGGCCGACAGCAGTACTTGCATATCCATGGATCTGGGTATCTGTGGGAATTCCTGGAACCAATCCCCCATGGATACTGAGGGATGACTGTATGTGACAAGTCACTTCTTTCTCACTGCCTTCAAGACTCCCTCTTTGTCTTAGGGTTTTGACAATTTAGTATAATGTGTTTCACTGTGAATCTCTTTGCCTTTATCCTGCTTGGAGTTCATTGAACTTTTTGGATGATTACATACATGTCTTTCATCAGATTTGGGAAGTTTCTGGCATTATTTCTTCAAATATTTTGTTGCCCCCTTCTTGCTCTTTTCCTTCTGGTACTCCTGTAATGTGTATGTTGGTATACTTGATGGTGTCCAATAGGTCTGTTAGGCTCTGTTCATTTTTACCTCATTATTTTTATTTTCTTCTCAGACTGGATCATTTCAATTGCTTTATCTTCAAATTCACTGATTTTCTTCTGCCTGCTCAAGTCTGCGGTTAAACTTCTCTAGTGAATTTTTCATTTCAGTTTTTGTACTTTTCCTAAAATTTCTGGCTTCAAATAGGAAGCAGGGAGGGGCTCTGTGCCTTTAAATTTTCCAGTTGATGCCACTAGTGGAAGCCATTGCATCCCAAGGAATGTCTAAACCAAGACAGGCATCTGCTGGGACCCACCAGATCAAAGGGCACAACCCCAAATTTTTGGAGGACAAGGTCCCACTGCCTACCCTGGCCAGCTAGCTACTCCAGGAATGTGAGCTGCTATCCCCATAGCTTCAGGGGAGCTGAAGAGAGGGGGATAGTAGCTGGGTCACACACACAGTTCCCTTAGCAAAGATCAGCAGCCTCTCCCTTTACCAATCAGTCTCCCGATTGTTATAAATGTCCAATCAAGTTCCAGAGTTATGAGATAGTTGACAATCACTGTTTCTACTTCAAGGTAGCTTCAGTGGAGGGACCAATCCCTAGGGCTTCCTACTCTGCCATTTTATGTGATGTACTCTTCTCCCATTCTACAGGTAAAGAAACTGAGGCATAAAAAATTCAGGAATTTGCCCAGGGTGGTGCCAGGATTAGAGCTCAGCTGTCTACCTAAAAAAAAAAACCCATGCCCTTGGCCACTTCACTATAGTGCCTCTCCATATGGTTTGCACCTGAGATGTATTTTATATTCTCCCTTAGACAATTTTTTAAAGAATGCTAGAATTGGGAGAGTGCTTACAGCCCTCTGATCTCCAAGAAGCCTAAGTCAGGGCTTCTCTCCCCACTAAATACCTCAAGGGTGAGGAGATCACATTCTCCTAGTCCTGAAGTTCTACCTAATTGTCGTAGAAATCTTTCCATGATATATGCCAACTCACTTTTGTGAATTCACTTAAACTGGCTATTTTTAGGGGTACTCAAACTTTACATGGTCTTATTCTTCCCCATAGGCACAACTACAAGAGCGGAATGACCCTCAGCAACTGCTATTAGATGCCAAGCACATGTTTCCTGTTTTGTTTCCATTTAATCCATCTTCTCTAACCATGGACTCAATCCACATCCCAGCGTGTCTCAATCTGGAATTCCTCAATGAAGTCTGAAGATGCATGTTTCCAGCATTAGTTTGATTCCCAATGTGAGCAAGAAGGAAGTATATACAGTAAAGTAAATTCAAGGATCTGTTAAATCTGGTAAAAGTAGATCAAATCAGAGATTGACAGCCTGTGGAGGGTGCTGAACTATACAGAATTAGACACAACTATGTCATTATTTTTTGTACCTACTGCTCAGAATAAAAACACTTGAAATATGGAAGATTTTAAGTTTGATTTCAGTCCAACACATATACATAATTTATAGACACCAAGCAGTCCCCATAGACATATAAAAGGTGTCAATTCTATAAAACGAAGCTGCCTAGTTTTGATCTTTGCATAGAACTAGAGAATGTCCAAATTAAAATACCAAATATATATAAGTCACATAAATTGCCTTCAAAGGGCTTTAACAAATAATGGTACTAATAACCATGATAATGGCATATACTGACATTTCCCAAAGTTTGCAAACCATAGGTGTGGTTGAGTTTGTGGTGAGATGTTTTAAGAACAAAAATATGGGGATGAGACTTCTGAGAAATATTCCCAAAATATTTTTTAATGGCTGATTATACACAGACAGTGGTGTAACTGACCTCCAGACCAGACATTTTGAGTACTGGTTTCTGAAGCAAAATTAGAAGTGCCAGTCCTCAGTGTGCTCAAACGCTTTTGTGTTATCTTGATTTAATGGAAGAGATTATTAAAATGCTGCTATCCCAAACTCCAAGTGAGAAAGATGGAAAAATATTTTGTTTCTGATGCTAGTCCATACACTTTCCAAGTCCCACAAAACTTTCACAAAAATGTATATAAGCTAAATATTAGAAACGGATAACAAACTTGTTTTATTTATAGATGTAAAAACCAAACAAGTCAATATGAAAGCTTTTAATCTCTTAATACCATTAAGCTTCCAGTAAGAGCATCACATAATGCTCTACTGTTCCAGAAACCAAATAGTAAAACAAACTAAAGTTCGCACATCAGATCATCTGAAAAACCTTCAAAAATAATCAGTTCAGGGATATTATACAAAAGTTTGGGTTTTTTTTTTTTAAGAGAATAAAATGGCTTAGGTCAACTTTCCCTTTTCAGGTTATTTTCAACGTTTTTCAAATTTAGCACACAAAAAATTGTAAATATCTCTCCCACAAAATAAGGATTTTAAAAAAGTAATTCAGTAATATAACAGGCTTAGATGTTTGCTGCTCTTAGAATTTTTTTTAACTTGTTTTTGGTTTCTTCAAAAGCAAGCATTCAATTGGAAACCCATATTCTTTCCACACTTTTTTTTACTGTCTTTTCTGTATTTCTTGATAGCAGTATGCTGTTCCCATAAGAAAAAAATGGTATTTGCAAATCATGGAAGAACAGCCTCTGTATTACATTGAGAAAATAAGATTTATCCATGAATTGGAAGTAGAACAGCCTGCCTTCACCCTCTTTTACTCAACCACCCAACTTAAAAGGCTCTTGGAAACACAGCACACTCCACGCTACCTTCTGCACTGTGCCCTTAGAGCACAGCTTCCTCAGTTGTTCTCTGCATCTCCTGGGGCTTAGGCCAGTCTTAGCCTGGGTTAAGGCTGCTGACATTGTGTTCCAATCAGTTGTCATGGGCATTATCCCCTCTACATCCACATTAAACATGCCGGCTTCTCTTGGGCATCGGCAGAGCTGTGCCTTTTTCTTTCAGTTACAGTTACATAATCACTGACGTCCATGACACTTACCCATGGATCCATGTGCTGACTTCATTTAGAAGGCCAATCTAAAACAACTGGGTTTGTGGCTACCTCTTTAAAGTTGTTTGTGAAGGATAATTTGTTTTTTAATGCACTTTAGTTTGAAAGTGAGTCTCTTATGTAAGGACCATCCTTAAAAGACCAAAAATGCCTTGTTAGAGTGTTAAGGAGTTTTGACATGCAGTGGTTCCACAAACACAGTGGCTTACTATCCTTATACACTGTCTTATACCATCATTCTCTCCATCTCTCTTGGTCACTACTCTCTGCTGTCACTGGTTAATCACTAGGTGCCAAGAGCTTACTGAATAAAAGCTTGGCAATTAGAATAAATGGGGAGGGAAGGACCTTATGAATAGTCCATTTAGCCTAAGAAATGGCAGATTTAGTTCTTCTCTTCCAAAAGATAAAGGTATATCCTGGAATTGTACTTAAAACTTACAGATGACTAACAAATATATACTTTATATGTAGTTAATATTTAGATCTGTCTTATTTAATACTTGGAGGCTAGAAGAAGCATCTTTAGGGGAACTATATAATCTTTTGTTAGCATTTTCTCTGCATTTTAAAAAATCATTTCAATTCAAACATTTATCAGTGTCATGAAATCAGTAATGACTCTTTAACAATTCAGGTTTGAACTCTGCATTAGATGTCTCTTTAATTTTTTAATATTTAAAATTTAGTTGACATTTTTTTCACCAGGTGCCTTTAGCGGTTACTAAGATAACTGACATCAGTTGTTTCTCTGAAATAAGTGTTGCTGTGGGAATAATTTTAATGTTCAAGGTGATATCATGGGGGAGTTTTGTCTTTTAAAACATTAGAAGCATTTTAAATATTAAGAATCAAATATTTATAGATCAAAACTTGTGTTTTAAGTATTATACGGGACCTGTTTACTTATAGTAAATGTGAATGTACACATGAGTTGTTGCTGAAGCTGACAAGCATATTACATACATGCATTTTCCCTGTGCCCTCATAGTTGCAGTTAGAGTTCCAGTACCTGTAGGCTCACCTGGGAGGCAGATTAGACCCAAAGGTAGATGTTTTTCCCCTTTCCATGAAGCATGTCAGTGGGAGTTGCTTCCTTTGATTTCCCTAGTACTAAATTTTAAGGCTTTTGTAAAAACAAAACAAAACTAGGAGCTTGGAACAGTTAAAAATCAACACTGCTACCATCAATTCATCAAATATTTACTTAGAGCTTTCATACATTAAGATTCCAGTAACCAATAAATTAGAATTCATTTCTTCTGCATAAAGTAAATTTTCATACACTTGACCTACTAAGACAGCAAGGGTGTCCTAAATTGAGGCATTTGTATAATGCCTGCATAACTAAATGGTCACTAAAATGGGACAGCATGGGGCAAGACCTTGTAGTTCTTCACAGAATATTTGTGGTCAGTTTCTCCAATTAATTTGCTGCATGAGCCAAATAACCATAATTCACTTTTTATACCCACTGGTGCCATAATTAGAGAATTAGAGGGTGTAGACAGAGGTTAATGCCAATGAGAAACACAGGACAGGGTTTTTTTTATTATAAAGGTCATTAGATACAAAAGATTGTTTTTCAAAAAATTTCTAATTCTAACAAAGGGGATCAATCAGAAATGAAACTAAGCTACTTTCTAAAGTGACACTGTATCAGAATAATCCAGATTTGAATATAACATTTTGCCACCAACTGACATTTAGATGAAGGACTGCCTCTCTGAAAGAGTTCAGATCATATTCAGGGGTGAATCCAACACCATGGAAGAAAGACTACTGATGAAAATATTTTCCCACTTTGCACAAATCTGTAAACTACACCTTTGTTTATAGAAAAATGCTTGTAATAGTCACTGTAATATTTAGCTGTGGATAAAAATTTGTGGAAATAAATACTTTTGAATAAAGAGGTGTGCCAAATCTAAATGAAATTTAAAACTCTGCAGCTACAGGTTGACAAAGTTTCTTTGTAATGCTCTCTTGAGAAGCTTCATTATGGGGCCTATATTCTAATACGTGTCAAGATCATTTAAACCAGAGGTCAGCATCTTACAGTCCAAAAGTTGGGGGCAGGGAGAAACTCTCAGATAACAAGGCTTATTGAGCAATTACTTTAAAGCTATGGAATTAAAGGCAGTTTTGGTGTAGGCAAAGACAAGTAGATCAACGAAACAGAATAGGGAGTGCAAGGATAGGCCCAATCCTATGTATAACATAGCATACGGTAGAGATGGCATGAAAAATCAGTGGGGAAATAGTCATAAGATCTGTATGGAGGAATTTGTAAAATATAAGTGAAAAACAATGACAACATTAAAATGGAGAAATAATTAGGTACAAGAATTCGAAGACTCCATACCACTAAAAGTTTGTCAGTTGTCCCCAAGTTGATCTATAGATTAAAAATCAAAATTTCAACTGTTTCTATGTGAAAACTGACAAGCTCATTATAAGATTTATATGGAAGAGCAAAGGCCCATGAATAAGGAAGACCCTCCTTGAGAAAGTGGGAAGCTTTCCTTAGCAGGCATTGAGACTTACAAAATTTCAGTAATTAAGATGTGTGAGGATGACAGACATGGAAATTTTTTTTTTTTTTTTGAAACAGAGTTTCGCTTTTGTTGCCCAGGCTGGAGTGCAATGGCACAATCTCAGCTCACCGCAACCTCCGCCTCCCAGGTTCAAGCAATTCTCCTGCCTCAGCCTCCCTAGTAGCTGGGATTATAGGTATGTGCCACCATGCCCAGCTAATTTTGTATTTTTAGTAGAGACAAGGTTTCTCCATGTCTGTCAGGCTGGTCTCAAACTCCCGACCTCAGGTAATCCACCCGCCTCGGCCTCCCAAAGTGCTGGGATTATAGGCGTGAGCCACCGCGCCCGGCCCTGGATGTGGAAAAATTGACCAGTGGAACAGAATAGCCCAGAAACTGAGCATCTATATGGAAATACTGATACATTTTTTCTTAACTGGGAGTACACATCAAAATCACCTGGAAATCTTTAAAAAAATTTACACCCAAATTTATGGAATAAGACACCTCCAGAGATGGTGCCCTTCCACACCCATTGTTAACCTGACCCACCTAAAAATATACAAGAAGACATCCCCAGGGATGGTGCCCTTAAGCACCCATCATTAGAGACCACTATTGAAATATTTCATGATCCAGAAAAATGGTCACAGTATAATTAGTCCTCAACGTCACTGATAAGTTCTAGGAAACCACGAGTATAAACAAAATGACGTAATGACACCAATTTTAACATAAGCTAGTTGATATAAACAGTTCCTTCGGCATATTTATGGTCATACAAACATCACCAAATTTTTTTTTTTTTGAGATGGAGTCTTGCTCTGTTGCTCAGGCTGGAGGGCAATGGCAAGATCTCAGCTCACTGCAACCTCTGCCTCCTGGGTTTAAGTGATTCTTCCTCCTCAGCCTCCCGAGTAACTGGGATTACAGGCGTCCGCCACCATGCCTGGCTAATTTTTTTGTATTTTTATAGAGATGGGGTTTCACTATGCTGTCCCGGCTGGTCTCAAACTCCTAGCCCCCAGTGATCTGCCTGCCTCGGCCTCCCAAAGTGCTGGGATTAGAGGTATGAGCCACCATGCCCGGCCAAAACATCAACAAACTTCTAAATAAAGACCAAAACACTTCTAGAATTAAACACTGAAATGAAAGCTATATATACATTTGAGAAAGATTAATAAAAACAAATGAGAAAGTTGCCCACTTATTCCATTTAAGAGTCACTGAGGGCCCACCTCTCCTGGCAGCTCAGGGTGCCAGGGAGGCACCAGGCCTGGACAGGAAACCATCCTGTCACTGGGTGTGCTCACAAACCCACACTCAGACTGGGATCACTTAGACACATCCATTCACCTCATGTACACAGCTTTAGGACATGGGAGGAAATGAGAATCCAAAGAAAACAGTCATGGGGATCTCACCAGTGGAACGTATCCATGTCTGTATGAATGAGGCTGCAGCCTCAATTCTTGCCACCTCAGAAGAAAGAATTTGAGGGCCGTACAGCAGAAGGAGAGACCAAGGCAAGTTTTAGAATAGGAGTGGAAAGGCAGGAAAGTACACTTGGAAGAGGGCCAAGTGGGTGACTTGAAAGAGTCAAGAGCGTGGCTTAACCTCTTGACTTGGGGTTTTATATGTTGGCCTACTTCTGCGGTCTTGTGTTACTTCTCTCAACTCCTGAGATCTTGTCAGGAAGTGGCTGATCACCAGTTTCATGTGTTTTCTATCGGGAGACTGCCTTTCTCTGATGCTGGCTGCGACCAATGACTACTTTAGAAAGACAGTTAACAACTGCCTTGACCATCACTGGATGGTCACAAGATGCTCCTGGTGTGTGTGTGGAGGGGGGAGCTCTCTCCTGCCCTGCTCATGCCTGACTAGGTACCCACTGTAACAGGGAGAACCTGCAAACTCCACACACACAGTGGCCCTGGCCAGGAAGCAATTCTTTTTTTCTCACCAACATTATGTCAAAATGACAATGAATGAAACAATGTTATGTAGGGACCTGCTGTATACTATGCAGTGAAAAGTTGACTTTTGAAACCACCTTCCAATCTAAAGATGGATTCACTTTTTGAGTGGCTGACCAAAGAATACCCTCACTTGAGGAAAGCCTTCAGCTCATTCTCAAAGAGGTTTAGTCCTAGCTTCAAAGCCTCAACAGGAAAACCACATTTGAAAAGAAGCAAATTTCATACAAGATACACTTAATAACAGTTCAGAAAGAGAAAAGCAGACTGACTTCCAGGAACTGATTTGAAACTCAGAGCTAGGCCTGGGTCATGCTAGAAGCTGGCCTGGTCCTCTGTGCTGGGCCGTGTTGTTCTTTTGCTATGAACAACCTTATAAAACACCAATATCAGATGTGGCCACTCTGACTACACTAAAGTGATATGAAACAAGACTGTAATTTTGCCCAGGCACAAAAACAAGATCACTGTGTAAACCATGTAACACCAAATATGCCCTGTCCCAGGTAATATGAGGGACTGTAGCTGCTTTCCCAGGTGCAGCTTGAGCCTAGCTCTAATCAGCCCTCCTTCAGGATAAGATGATACTGTGACGGTTAATATTAGTTGTCAACTTGATTGAAGGATGCCTAGATAGCTGGTAAAGTATTGTTTCTGAGTAGGTCTGTGAGGTTGTTGCCAGAGGAAATTAACATTTGAGTCGGTGGCCTGGGAGAGGAAGAGCCACCCTCAGTGTGGGTGGGCACCATGCAATTGGCTGCCAGCGCAGCTAGAACAAAGTGGGTGGAAGAAGGTGGGATAAGCTGGCTTGCTGAGTCTTCTGGCTTTCATCTTTCTCCTGTGCTGGATGCTTCCTTCCATTCCTCCTGCCCTTGGACATCAGACTCCAGGTTCTTCAGCCTTTGGACCCTTGGACTTACACCAATGGCTTGCCAGGAGCTCTCAGGCGCCCTTTGGCCACAGACTGAAGACTACACTGTTGGCTTCCCTACTTTTGAGGCTTTTGGACCCAGACTGAGCCATTCCTGGCTGAGCCTGCTGATGGCCTATTGTGCGACTTCACCTTGTGATCCTGTGAGTCAATTCTCCTTAATAAACTCCCTCCCTCCCTCACCTCCCTCCCTTCCTTTCTTTCTTTTGCTTTTTTTTTTTTTTTTTTTTGAGACGGGGTCACAGAGTCTCGCTCTGTCACCAGGCTAGAGTGCAGTGGCACCATCTTGGCTCACTGCAACCTCCGCCTCCTGGGTTCAAGTGATTCTCCTGCCTCAGCCTCCCAAGTAGCTGGGACTACAGATGCACGCCACCACGCCCAGCTAATTTTTGTATTTTTAGAAGAGACGGGGTTTCACCATGTTGGCCAGGCTGGTCTCGATCTCTTGACCTCGTGATCCACCCGCCTCGGCCTCACAAAGTGCTGGGATTACAGGTGTGAGCCACCAGGCCTGGACTTAAACTCCCTTCCATATATACATATGTTCTATTAGTTCTGTCCCTCTGGAGAACCCTGAATAGTACTGATACCCAAAGACTTGTCCCTACTTCCTGACAGTACCCAATCCAGAGTGAACCCGTACTTCCTTGGATCCTCCCCAAATCACCTAACCAAACCCCAAATCCTACCACCCTTTTACTGAGATGTGCTGCAGTTCCCAAAGGCACACCCATGATGTGCAATCTCCCTTCTTCCAAAGAACATTAAACCCAACTTGTTCAACTATAGGTGTGTTTCTGGAGGTTTCTGGCTGGAAGGCAACAACAGCATTGTCTCCTTCTACCAACATTAGTATTTTGCAGAGTAAACTTAGATCCAAGGAAGATTTGCCTAAGGTTATGCTACTAAATGAAAGTTGAGCCAAAGATATAGAAGCTGCAAATAACTTTCAGACAAGTAGAGAAAAAAGAAAAACAAATATCTATCTTAAGTTTGAGACAGTGCCTTAGGGTTACTGGGAACACATCAAGACTTAGGGTAAACTTAACATGAGGGAGTTTGGCGTATTGGTGTCTTTATTACTTCCTGTCTACATTCCCTTAGAATAGGTAGCTAGGCAGACTTGGGCAGGGCAGGAGAAAACCTCCCCCACCCCGCCCAGGAATGTCAAGCGACTATCAGGTGATGGTCAGGCAAGTTGTTAAACTATCTAAAATAATCATTCGTCTCAACTGGCGTCAGGGAAAGGCATTCTCCCAATAGATGGAAAATACTAGAATCTGGTGATCAGCAGCTTGTGGATAAGATTTTGGGAGAGTGGGCTCAAACATGCTCACTAAGAGGCAAAATGGTAGAGTTTAACTGGTATATGAGCTTCCTCTAGGAACAAGACTGGTAAGGGAGGAATGTCTCTAGTGAGTATGTGCACAACTTCAGTAAACACACTGCACATGCCACCCCTCCCAAGTGCCGGCAGGCCACTGAGCATGCCGACAGCCCACCCCAAGGGAAAAATCGGAAGAAGTAATGCAAGGCCTAGAACCGTACCAATGTATCAATCCCCAAATCAAGGGTCAGGTGGCACAGCTGAATCTCTCAAGTTGCCCACTTGGCCCTCTTCCAAGTGTACTTTACTTACTTTTATTCCTGCTCTAATACTTCTTAATAAACTCTCACTCCTGCTCAAAAACTTGCCTCGGTCTCTCACTCTGCCTTATGCTTCATTCCTTTGAGGAGGCAAGAAGTGAGTTGCTGCAGGCCAGTACGGATTTGCCACTGCGAACAATTTCATTCATCTGATGTTCTTGCTTGGCAACTTGAACTTTCTGAAGAGTTAGTATTTGTTTTAAGAATAAAACCACATTCAACATTTGCGTTCTAATTAACAAAAATTGAAGTATTTCCAAAGCAATTAGATTAACAGTGAGCACACACATAACGTTCCAAACTACTCAAGATCAGCAAATTCACTTATCTCACTCATTCAGATTCATATACTCATTTTTAAAAGTTGTCCTAGGCCCTACTGACTTCGTCAGCTTTCCCCAGTTTCCATTACTGAAACTTCTAAAGCCACTGCTGCTTAAGCCACCGTCAATTTTTAGTGTTATAGGAAAGCAGGAGAAACTGTGTTTAAGCATAGGAAAATAAGTAAGGAAATGATAATATTGCATTTATAAAAATACTGAGAGTTAAATGTCTAAAAGTAGAACAATAACTTTACATCTCATGAAAGACTCCACATCTAGACAAAAATTATCACAATTTTAATATACATATTAAAATTACAAGAATACATAACTGCTTAAACATGATGTAAACCTGAAAAGGACTAAATATTTTCAAAAATAACTTGTTTCAAGCAATTTTGTAGCTTACGTGAAGGACATTTTTTATCCCAACTTCTATTTTGAAAGAGTTAAAACCTACAGAAAAGTTGCAAAAATGGAAGAATGTGGTACACGCCTGTAGTCCCAAGCTACTCAGGAGGCTGGGACAGGAGGATCCCTTAAGCCCAGGAGTTTGAGGCCAGCCCTGGCAACATAGCAAGCAAGACTCCCCTCTTAGAAAAAGAATAATGGGCCAGGTGCAGTGGCTCACGCCTCTAATGCCAGCACTTTGCGAGGCCGAGGTGGGCAGATCACCTGAGGTCAGGAGTTTGAGACCAGCCTGGCCAACATGGCGAAACCTGTCTCTACTAAAAATACAAAAATTAGCCGGGCAGGATGGCAAGCACCTGTAATCCCAGATAATCGGGAGGCTGAGGCAGGAAAATCACTTGAACCTGGGAGGTGGAGGTTGCAGTAAGTGGAGATCATGCCACTGCACTCCAGCCTGGGCAACAAAGCAAGACTGTCTCAAAAAAAAAAAAAAGAAAAAGAATAATGAACAACTGTATATTCTTCATTTGGATTCCCCAGTTGGTAATATTTGGCCATATTTGCTTTATCTTTCTCTGCCAGTGTATAGTCATGCACTATCTTTCCTATGTTTAGATGCACAAATGCTTACTACTTGCTACAACTGCCTACAGTGTTCAGTAGAGTAAAATGCTATACAGGTTTGTAGCCTAGGAGCAATAGGCTGTACCATATAGCCTAGGTGTGTAGTAGGCTCTACCATTGAGGTTTGTGTAAGTGAAATCTATGATGTTCACACAATGACGAAATCGCCTAATAGCACATCGTTCAGGATGGATTCTCGTGGTTAAGCAACACATAACTGTATATATATAAATGCATTTTTTCCAGTCATCTGCAAGCTCATGATTCTTCACCCCCATATATTTCAGTATGTATTTCCTTAGAACAAAGGACAATCTTCTACATAACTACAATATAATTATCATGATCAGGAAACTTAATGTCAATATTACCATGTCATCTATAATTTATATGTTTCTCCAGTTGTCCCAATACTGTCTTTTAGAGTATTTTTTTAACCCAGGTTTTAATTAAGGATCTCATACAATATGTGTCACATATCTAGTCTCCTTTAATGTGATACTATTCCTATTTTAGCCATTTTTTGTTTTTCACCACACTGATGTTTTTAAAGAGTTCAGGTCAGTTGTTCTGTGGAATGTACCTCCATGTGGATTTGTCTCATTGTTTCCTTATAATTAGATTCAGGCCAGATGTTTTCAGCAGAAATTCTACGCAAGTGAGATTGTGTTGTCGCTGTAGCAAGGGGAGCGCATGACGTCAGTCTGTCCCTTTATTGGTGATGGGACACCATTACTTCATAATTTGGTGAAGTAATACCCGCAAGATTTATCCATTGTAAAGGTACCCTTTCCTCTTCATGAGACTTGGAGACTATGTCAATATTCTCTCATATATTTACGTGTTTTAATATATGTAAACCTTTCACTGAATGGTGTTAGAATCCACTCATTAGTGACATTTCCAATTAGAGAAAACACAGTACATCTATAAAGACCTACTGATGGTGATCTGCAGTGGGAAGTTGTGATACTTAACCTTTCTTAAATATGTAGAGGCAAACTGAATAGAAAACTGTGTACAAAAATGAACACTCTATACATGAGCATTTTTTTTTTTTTTTTTTTTGAGACGGAGTCTTGCTCTGTCACCCAGGCTGGAGTGCAGTGGCACGATCTCGGCTCACTGCAAGCTCCGCCTCCCAGGTTCACACCATTCTCCTGCCTCAGCCTCCCCAGCAGCTGGGACTACAGGCGCCCGCCACCACGCCCAGCTAATTTTTTTGTATTTTTAGTAGAGATGAGGTTTCACCGTGTTAGCCAGGATGGTCTCGATCTCCTGACCTCGTGATCCGCCCACCTCGGCCTCCCAAAGTGCTGGGATTACAGGCGTGAGCCACGGCGCCCGGCCTATACATGAGCATTTGTGAAGCTTGTCTAAGATTTGTACATTTGATTGCGTGGATATTTTGCCTTAAAAAGAACTGTAAATGAATAATGTGTGCTGATGTGTTCATGGGTGTAGAGTACTAAGGTCTGCATTAAAAAGATAAGATGGTTTGATGGAAGAACAGGTGGATAGCAATATAGCAAAATGTTAACAATTGGGTCGATATGTGTCCACTGTACAAGTCTTCCCACTTTTCTGTAAGTTTGTAAGTTTTCATAATACAAATTTGGATTTAAAAACACCCCAACATTGCAAGAGTGTCACCAAAGTGTTTGAAAAGCAGGATTCTAGGGGGGGCATTCGCTGACGACTCAGAGAAACCGTCCATGCCACCCACCACCCCTACGCACTCAAAAGAAGCCCTCGCTAGGCAGCCCGGCCCTCCGAGCCCTGGTATCGAGGGGCTCTCCGCCTCTCCCCTGCCGCGGCCGCCTCCTGCTTGCCCGGCCTCAGTCTGTTCTCAGAACATACTCCATCACCTGGTTCCCAGAACTCAGATTGCGCAGTGGTCTCGTCATCATCGGCCAGGACTCACAGTGCCCGCGGCAGAGGCCTCCCTAGACCTCCCTCCCGTCCAGCCTCACCCGCTGCCTACTCTCCTCACGCCCCTGCTCCAGGTCCCCTGGCCCCATTTCGCTCGCCACGTTTTCATAATCCTCTCAGGCTCCGGGCAAGCGGCGCCGCCCGCAATGGGACCTGATCATATAAGGAAAATACTGCGGGCTCATCCGGGGGCTGCAATGGGGACCCGAAAGCGCCCTAGCCTACTACAATCACCGCACCCCAACTGCCGCCCACCTCTCTGCCCTGCCCCCAGTACAGTACCCAAAACCGGTCCGGGTCCAGCTCGGCGGCCCAAGCCTCTGCCCAGCGGACTGCGCACCCGCCCGCCCCAGCCAATCCCGCCGCCGCCGCCGCGCCCCGCCCACAGGACGTTCGGTCCCGCCCCCAGCTGGCGGCCGCGGCCGCCCGCGCGCCAAGTTCCTCAGCCCTTGGCTCCTGCCCAGTGTTTAGGGTGTTGGCGGAGACAAAGGGGAAGAGTCATCGCCTGTCGGGGCTAGGATATGATGGGTGAGAGGTGTCAAACCAAATTCTCTCGGTTTGGAAACGGAGAAAATCTAAAAATGAGGATGTGAGGAAAGAGTCCGCTCTCAAGGCGCGTTGTGGTCTATCCGAGCCCCGTCCCCTGGGCTCCCTCGGGCTGGGGTGAGGCGGGCAGCGCTACGCGTGGGGTAGGACCATCTTACGCTGGGACCCCGCCAAGGAGCCCCAGGAAGTAGGTGAAAGGGCAGGGGCGTGGCTCTCGGGGCGCCACCCACGCTCTTGAAATCTGGGTGATTGCGAGCGGCCGCTCAGCGTCCCCCACACCACAGACCCGCGCCGCCGACGACCCAGCAGCCGCCATGGCTCTGCTCCGAGGTGAGCGCAGCCCCCTCCTCCTCTCCTCGCCCCTCGGGGTCCTGCCCTCCCCAGGCCAGGCCTCCGCTTCCGGCCGCCGCGGAGAGTCGGGGTCGTGGGGTGAAGTTCACTCAACCTCCTCGGTTTTGGAGCGGACGTGATAAAAACCCAGCCCGAAAGGCTTGTTTGGGTTAAGGAGAAAACCCTTACTTGTAAGGCGCTAGCGACAGCGATTTCGGTGCAATTTCCTGTTTAGTTGAGACCAAAGTTTGCTTGCATGTGACCTTGGAGGTCATTCCTTTCTTCGCCTAACAGTGACCCCACTAGTTCGAGTCCAAGTATTAGAAAAAATGGGGCGGCGCCATAGGCCGCGGGCGCCTGCTGCGGGGCAGCTGCGCACAGGAGCCCGCCGCTCGGCCTCGGTGGTCAGGGCTCCCCGGGTGAATCGATGGAGAGGCCTGCAGAAATGGTAGCTGGTGTTCTGCTGGAAGACCTGCCCTGCTCCCATTTCCCTTCTGTTGCTTTAGATTAGAGCGGTCACTCTATACCTAAGTTCTAGGGTTATGAACTTGTTTAAAACAACTGTGTAATAAACTCCCTTTTCAAAACAAGTGGGCACAGTCAATGGAATCTTACTTTAAGGATGTACGAGTCGAAGAACATTGAGGTGGAATACATATCGAGGCCCTGAGACAGGAAAAAGCTTGGCAGGATCTAAGAACCAAGCATTTTGGTGCTCCAGGGCCCTGTGGGCTCTGTAAGAAGGTGGGGTTTTGTTCCAAATTCAGTGGAAGGCAATACAGGGATTTAAAGCGGGGTAATGACAGGATCTGATTTCCACTCTGTCCGAATTTGGGGCGGTCTGTGTAATGGCGAAGAGACCATTTAAGGATCTATTGTAGAGGTCCAGGGAGCAGCAAATGATGGCTTTGACTCGTGTGGGGCAGTGTAATTGGGGAGAAAAGGGGAGGGATGAGTTGAGATAGATTTGGAGGTGGATTTGATAGAAAGTGGATTGGATGTGGTGGAGTAAATATAAGAAGGAAATGTCGAGAATGATGAAAAGTGTCTGGTTTGATGAACCGTGTTCATGATGATGCCACTTTACAGAGTGAGGAAAATTGGGAAAGGAATAGATGTGGAAAGAAGGATTGAGAATTCAGTTTTAGGCAGAAAACTTTTTGGTGCCTGTGAAGCAGCCAAGTGGAGATGCCAGCTAAGCATTGGTTAGGGGGATCTGAAAGTGAGAAGAACCAAAGTGGCATGGGAACAAATCAAGGGAAAAATCCGTATTCTGGGACCAAATGCAGTGTTTACAGTTTCCTGCAACGTGGATTTCATTTGCCAGTGCCCTTCCTGACTGAATTTACTACATTTACTTCATAAAGCAGCGTGGTGAATTTTTTTTAGACGAGGCATTTACACTTCATTTAAAAGGTGCATTGTCATGAGCTATCTTCTAAAAAAGGAAATAATATTTTTACTGATATCATTTTAATATTTTATCAGTGGTTCTTACCCTTTCTTATAATACAGACCTGTTTGAAAATTTCACAAATACTATAAACCCAAAAAGGAAAAAAATGCACATTGACACCTGTATTAAGGAAGTATAAAGTTTATAAATTTCTGGTACAATTTACTGTAGTGTTAGAGCTAGTGATCGTATTTTTTTCCATTTCCTTATTGTAGCAATTAGGAGGACACTCATGTCGAGAGAGGTAAAGTGGTTGTGTATAATAACACAGGTAGTTAGTGGCTGTGACTAGAACCCAAGCTTTGAGCTTGAAATAGTGATGTTACAGGCCAGCTAGAATCATTAAAGATAAACTTCTCTCAAGCAGCATACCAAGTGTTTGCAGGATGGGTGGGAAGAAAGAAGAGCATGTGACTGATTATAGGGAAAAGGACACATTTGAGTTAAATTTTGTTAAGGATTAACATTAATTTGTCAGATTTCAGTCAACAAGAAGAACCGGCTCCTAGGTTTTTATTAGCACCCATCCCAGTACTTGGCAGGAGGTTTTCGCTCGACAGATCATAGCTCTCCTACTGCTCCTAGCTTTGTTGGGAATGTTTGTGTATTTTTTCAAGGCAAGTAGACAGGGCTGCTAAATTACCTTAATCTTGAAACAACTGGATGCCACCGCAGCTTTCCTTAATTTGCCCTCGTTGCTGCCTGAAGTTGCTCTAAGTGAATATTTACCTAACAATGTGATAGAAAGGTAGTGCTCCTGTTTCTTTCCTAGTGGTGCTTTTCCTGTATTGTCAACTCAGCACATCTTTCCAGGGCCTTTCTTGGAGCTACTTGGACTCACTACACTCTGGGTTAATAGGTCTCTTCACTGTCTTTCAGTTTTGGGAAATTTTTAGCCTCTGAATTTTCAGGGTGTTCAAATGAGATTTCAGTTTGGTGTTAAAGATTGTTAAGTTTTAGACCTTTTAGTATCCACGTAAAATTGACATCAAATGAAAATTGACATGGTATACAATTTATGAAATTAAAAAAAAAAAACTTTAAACCTTTATAGTCTATCTGCACATCCCAGATTATTTGTTAAAATGAAGATTTAAAATAATAATAACAAATTATTTTTTAAAATAGAGAAACCCAGTCTCTACAAAAAATACAAAAATTAGCCAAGCATGGTGGCACTCGCCTGTAGTCCCAGCTACTCGGGAGGCTGTGGTGGAGGATTGCTTGAGCCCAGGAGGTTGAGGCTGCAGTGAGCCAAGATCACACTACCGCACTTCAGCCTGGGTGACAGAGTGAAACCCTGCCTCCAAACAAACAAACAAAAAAAACCCAAACCAAAAATATATGATTGAGAACATTTTCTCTGTTCAAAATAATTGTTTTAGTTCAGTTAAGGTCTTACTTGAGCTAACCTTTACAGTCTGGGAGCATCAAATAAGAAGTAATATAGGTAAAGGGGAGGTTTTTTTTTGTTTTTATTTTCCCATGCACACCCTTTCCTTTGTAGATATTGCATATTTCACTACTAGCACTGCCCTATCAAATGCTTTCTTAGAATATGAGACATAGGGGAGAAGTTCATAAAAGGAACTTTGTAGAGAGACAAATGAAATTAGGCTCTATTGTTTCTGAGAAGTGAGGGGTCATTTCCATGTGTGCAATATGTCATTTTTATTTCTGGATGCTTTATATATTTTTGTTATCTTTGGATTTCAAAAGTTTGACAATGATGTGCCAAGCTGCAGGAGAACGGGGTGTGGAGTGTTACGTGTGGTGTTTATTAGAGTTGAGGTTTACCAAGCTTTAATATACAAATTTATGTTTTTTATCAAATTTGGAAATTTCTTCTTTATTATTTCTGCAAATGTTTTTTTAAATCCATTCTCTGTCCTCTCCTATGACTGTAACTTGTTAGTCCTTGAGGTTCTGCCCGTGTTTTTTTACTATCCGACTTTAAAGAAAAAATTTACAAACTTTGTTTTTGAGCAGATTTAGGTTTTACAAAAAAATTGAGCAGAAAGTACGGAGTATTACCATGTGCTCCCTTGCCCGGTCCGTTTCCCCTATTATTAACATTTTGCATTAGTGTGGTACATTTGTTACAATTGATGAGCTAACATTGATATATTATTATTCACTGAAGTTCATATTTTGCATTCAAGTTCATTCATTGTATTGTATAGTTCTATGGGTTTTGACAAATGTGCAAATGACCGATGTCAGTATTATAGTGTCATGCAGATTAATTTCACCACCCTAAACATCATCTGTGATTCACTTATTTATCCCTGTCTCTGAACCCCTGGCAAGCACTGATCTTTTTACTGTCTCCATAGCTTTGCCTTTTCCAGATATCATGTAGTTGGAATCATACAGTATATGGCCTTTCCAGACTGGCTTCTTTCACTTAGCGACATGCATTTAAGATTCCTTCCTTTTATGGCTTGATAGCTCACTTCTTTTTATTGCTGAATAATATTCCATTGTATGGCTGCACCACAGTTTGTTTATCCATTCACCTGTTGAAGGACATTGTTGTGGGAAGTCAGGGACCCTGAATGGAGGGACCGGCTAGAGCTGTGGCAGAGGAACATAAATTGTGAAGATTTCATGGACATTTATCACTTCCCTAATAATACTCTTAACGCCTGTCTTACTTTAATCTCTTAATCCCGTTATCTTCGTAAGCTGAGGATGTACGTCACCTCAGGTCCACTGTGATGATTGTGTTAACTGTACAAATTGATTGTAAAACGTGTGTTTGAGCAATATGAAATCAGTGCACCTTGAACAGAATAACAGCGATTTTTAGGGAACAAGGGAAGATAACCATAAGGTCTTTACTGCCTGCGGGGTCGGGCAGTAGGAGCCATATTTTTCTTCTTGCAGAGAGCCTATAAACGGATATGCAAGTAGGAGAGATATCACTAAATTCTTTTCCTAGCAAGGAATGTTAAGACCCTAGGAAAAGAATTGTATTCCTGGGGGGAGGTCTATAAATGGCCGCTCTGGGAGTGTCTGTCTTATGCGGTTGAGATAAGGACTGAAATACCCCCTGGTCTCCTGCAGTACCCTCAGGCTTATTAGGGTGGGGAAAAAACGCTTCTTGGTAAATTTGAGGTCAGACCAGTTCTCTGCTATTGAACACTGTTTTCTGTTGTTTAAGATGTTTATCAAGACAATATGTGCACAGCTGAACATAGGCCCTTATCAGGAGTTTTTGATTTTGCCCTTTGCCTTGTGATCTTTGCTTTGTCCTTTGCCTTGTGATCTTTATTGGCCTCAGAAGCATGTGATCTTTGTTCTCCTTTTTGCCCTTTGAAGCATATGATCTTTGTGACCTACTCCCTGTTCGTACACCTGCTCCCCTTTTGAAATCCTTAATAAAAACCTGCTGGTTTTGTGGTTCAGGTGGGCATCCTGGACCTACCGATATGTGATGTCACCCCCGGCGGCCCAGCTGTAAAATTCCTCTCTTTGTACTCTTTCTGTTTCTCAGACCGGCCGACACTTAAGGAAAATAGAACCTACACTGAAATATTGGGGGGCGGGTTCCCATGATAGGACATCGTGGTTGCCTTCAAGTTTTAACAATTAGGAATAAACATTTGTTTGCAGGTTTTTGTTTGAACATAAGTTTTCAAATCATTTAGGTAAATACAAGGAACCTGATTGCTGTATCATACATATGGTTAGGTGTGTTTAGTTTTATAAGAAACTGCCAAAGTGTCTTCCAAGCTGGCCATACCATTTGCATTCCCACCAGCAGTGAATGAATTTCTGTTGTTCCACATCCTCACCAGTGTTTGGTGTTGTCAGTGTTTGGGATTTTAGCCTTTCTAAAATCCAAAAGACTAATAGTTGTGTAGTAGTATCTCATTGTTTTAATTTGCAATTCCCTAATGACATACAATGTTGAGCATCTTTTCATATGCTTATTTGCCATCTGTATATCTTCTTTAGTAAGGTATCTGTTCAGATCTTTTGCCCATTTTTAAATTGGGTTGCATGGGTTTTTTTTTTTTTTTTTAATTGCTGAGCTGTAAGAACACTTTGTATGTTTTGGATACCAGTCCCTTATCAGTTAGGTGTTTTTATAAATATTTTCTCCTAGTCTGTCGCTTGTCTTTTCATTCTCTTAACAGCATCTTTTGCAGAGCAGAGGTTATTTATTCATTTGTTTTTAGAGGGTCCCGCTCTGTCACCCAGGCTGGAGTACAGTGGTGTGAACACGGCCACTGTAGCCTTGACCTCCTGGGCTCTAGCAGTCCCCTTGCCTCAGCCTCCCAAGTGGCTAGGACCACAAGCACACACCACCATGCTTGGCTGATTTCTTAATTTTTTATAGAGACAGGGTCCCATCATGTCTCCCAGGCTGGTCTCAAACTCCTGGGCTCAAGCAGTCCTCCCACCTTGGCCTTCCAAAATGCTGGGATTATAGGCATGAGCCACTGCACACAGCCAGAAGTTTTCTATTTTAATGAAGTCCAACCTAAGTTTTCCCTTCATGGATCCTGCTTTTGGTGTTAGATCTAAAAAATTATCACCAAACCCAAAGCCATGTAGATTTTTCTCGTATGTTCTAAGAGTTTTGCATTTTATATTTAAGTCTATGATCTCTTTGTTTTTGTTTCTGTTTTTTTAGATAAGAGATCTCACTCTGTCACCCAGGCTGGAGTGCAGTGACTTGATTGTAGCCCACGGTAGCCTTGAACTCAGCCTCCTGAATAGCTGGGACTACAGGCACATGCCACTATGCCCAACTAATTTTTTACATTTTTTAGAGATGGGGATCTCGCTATGTTGCCTAGGCTGGTTTCAAACTCCTATCCTGACACAGTCCTCCCACCTCAGCCTCTTGAGTAGCTGAGATTATAGGCTTGAGCCACAGTGCCCAGCCCACTATCAAAGTTGACGCATTTTTGCCTGGATTCATTTTGTTTGGTATATAGATGTTTTGTTGTTCCAGCACTGTTTGTTGGAAAGACGATCCTTTTTCCAGTGAATTGCCTTTCCTCCTTTGTCAGACCTTGAGGTTCTGGCTTTGTTTTTTAATCTTTTTTTTTTCATCTGTTCTTCAGATTGGTTAATTTCTATTTATCTATCTTCAAAGTCGCTGAATTTTTCTCCTTTCATTTCTATTTTGCTGTTAAGCCCATCCAGGGAATTTTTTATTTCAGGTATTTTCCAGTTTTGGAATTTCCATTTTGGATTTTTATAGTATGTATTTCTTTACTGAGATGTCCTATGTTTTATTAGGAGCATATTTTCCTCTACATCCTTGAGCATAGTTGTAATAGAATGCTATTTTAAAATCCTTGTCTGCTAATTTCAGTGTCTGGGTCTTCTTGGGATTGGTCTCTGTTGATTGTCATATTTTTTGTTTCCTCATATGTGGATTAACTTTGAATTATATTATGAATATTGCAGATGGAACATTGTGGAGACTGGATTCTGTTATAATCCTGCAGACAGAACTGACTTATTGATTGGTTGGCTATTTATTTTTTGTAGACAGTTACTTTGCCTACAAAATCACCCCCATGCACCCCCGTGATAAACTATGTCTCCCCTTGTAGTGGGCAGCAGCTTAAATCTAAGTTCAGTTTTTTAAGGCTTGGCTTAGGTGCTTGTGGTCTGACCTACACATGAATGGCTAAGGAGTCAGCCAAATATTTGGGCAGAGTTTATATGTGAAATTTGGAATCTCGCTCTATGGTGCTCCTCTTTCCCAGATTCTCATTCACTTTCTAGTGGCTGTGCTTACCATGAATTTTATTCTCTGATTCTTCAAGCCAGTAAGACTGTTTCTGAGTTCTAGCCATTCCATGCATCATGGACTGTTAGTCTTCAAGTTAGTTGCTATAAATAAATTGGACACTTACCCTGTTCTGTTCCCTTCCTCTAAGTATCAACTCTTCTCCTTACCTGTCTAGTTTTGTTCATTTCCAAGACCGTCAGGTAGTAGTTGTTCTTATATATTGTCTGGAGTTTTTCATTGTTATCTGTTGGAGGGTTGGTCAGATAGGAGCATAGTAGGCCATGACCAGAAGCAGAACTAATGAAATTAGGAAGAAGGCATGGAAAGAGGAAAGAAGAATGAAATAAAGCAACCACTGATAGGCCAGGTGCAGTAGCTCATGCCTATAATCCTAGCAGTTTGGGAGGCCAAGGTGGGAGGATTGCTTGAGCCCAGGAGTTCGAGACCAGCCTGGGAAACATAGCAAGACCCCATCTCTACAAAAAAAAAAAAGAAAAAAAGGTAAAAATTAGCCAGGTGTGGTGGCACATGCCTGTAGTCCTACCTACTTGGGAGGCTGAGGCAGGGGGATCACTTGAGTTGGGAAAGTCGAGGCTGCAGAGGTCGAGGCTGCAGGGAGCTGTGATCACATCACTGCACTCTAGCCTGGGCACAGAGCAAGACTGTCTCAAAAAAAAAAGAAAACACTGATATAAAAATAGGCAGAGACTGTTAAGGAAGGAGGATGAAAGGAAACTTGAAAAGATTCAGGAAGGCATCATGGTACAGAATAACCAATTTACCAGAACAAAACGTTTGTAATGCACTCGACTAGTATTTATGGCCTTTTGTAACTATCTGAATTTGTATCTGTAAAAAACTGAGTGGATCTGTTCTAAATTATAGTTATATATATTGCTCCTAATATTCCTTTAAACTGCAAATTTCTCAAAATAGGAATGAAAAGAGAGGTTGAAATAGAAATATTTTAGGCTAGGCTTGGTTTGTTTGATGAAAGAGATCATAAACTGGAAGATTATACTTAGATACCAGTAGTGGTATAATGCTTGAATAGTCTCATTTGTAGATCAGTATCTTATCACAAACCCATTGCCGAAAGTCCCATAATTTCTTGACAAGATGTGGAAATGTGAGCTTAGATTGTCTTGGAGAGAATAAAGTTAGTATATGCAAAGTGCTAGCATGAAGTCTATTCCATAGTAAGTGTCCCCTCTATGTTAGCTATAATATTTACCTTGCAGAGTTGCTGGGAAGATTAGCTTTTGTGTGGAAAGTGATAAAATGTCTAGTATTTAGTAGACACCTAATGAATGTCAATATGATGAAATGGCTATAACTGATGCTGCTTACTGATATGCCGGTTTTGCACTGTACAGCTCTAATGATGATGAGTGGGTACCACTCACATCATAATCATATATTTGTATAGTCACAAGTTTTTTTTTGGCAGATGGTAGTAGGTGATTGGGAAGGGGTGATTTTTATTTATTTGTACAAGGACACCGATTTAACTAATAGTGATGCTGCAAATTTATAGTCTTAGTTTGTATTAGTAGATGTATAGATAATTCCTCTATTCTTTGTGATTAGATAAAATGCATGCTATTTTTGTTATATTCTTATATTCTAAGGGACACATTTTAATAGGATGTTGGCAAACTACAGTGTCTTTAGAGGAAAGCAGTCAGAATTAATGTCAAATAAAAAACTATTGAAAGAATGCCTTTAATTTACCTGAGATGAGAGTCACTAGGTTTGGGGACTTACAGGTTAGCTGACTTCAGATACTGGAGGTGGGGGATACACATGTAGAAGGTAACCTGTTTTGCCCATTTTTTTTCTAAGAGTAAAAGATAATAGTTCAGGTTATTTATTTGAAGTCTGTAACTTGAGTCATCCTGTGACTCTAGAACCGGTAGCAGCATATATTCTAGAAACTACATCTCTATCTGTGTTGGTGCTTTTGGAGAGAACTAGAATTGGTGGATGGAAGACTTTGTAAGCTGAGTTAGTTCAATATAAAGAAATATCATTCGTTGGGGCCGGGAGTGGGTGACTCACGCCTGTAATTCTAGCACTTTGGGAGGCTGAGGTGGGTGGATCCCCTGAGGTCAGGAGTTCAAGACCAGCCTGGCCAACATGGTGAAACCCCGTCTCTACTAAAAATACAAAAATTAGCCGGGCCTGGTGGTGGGTGTCTGTAGTCCCAGCTACTCGGGAGGCTGAGGCAGGAGAATCACTTGAACCCGGGAGGCGGAGGTTGCAGTGAGCCGAAATCGCGCCACTGCGCTCCAGCCTGGGCGACAAGAGCAAAACTCTGTCTCCAAAAAAAAAAAAAAAAAAGCAATATCATTAGTTTATGTTGTCCATGACCAGCACACTGTTTCATGCAGTAGAGTATGCCCTCTTACTGAAAGTTTCCTGGCAGAGGTTTAGAGAGAACCTTTTGTCAGGAATTTTTAGAGGTAGTTCTTATAGAGTGAGTGGTTGACCTCAGACAACCCTAAGGCACCTTCTAGTTTGGAGATTCTTTTATTCTAATACTAGGCAATATACTCCAGCACATAGAAGAAGGATTTTAGTTCTCAACATATGTTTCTAGCATTGTGAAGCATCAGAGAACAAGAAAGTTGTCTAACCAGAATGGCTTTACATCACAGTGTAGCAGGACGAGCCACAGTCAAAACTCCTCAGACACTGGATTAAAGAAGGAAGAGGCTTTATTTGGCTTGGAGCATCCACCAACTTGCGTCTTAAGAGCCGAGCTCCCTCAAAAAGAAATTCTTGGCCCTTTTAAGGGCTTACAACTCTAAGGGGTCCACCTGAAAGGATGGTGATAGATCAAGCAAGTGTGGGGAACGTGACTGGGGGCTACATGCATTAGCTTACAGAGCAGAAAGTTTTGCAATGCTTTTTCATACAATGTCTGGAAATTACAGATAACACAAGTAGTTTAGGTCAGGGATTGATATTATTATTATTATTATTATTATTATTATTATTATTATTATTTTAACTACCAGGGCCGGGTGGTGGCACCAGGCCATCTGGCTATTTATCTTACTTCTGTTTCTTTTTAACTTTTTGCTTTTTTCTTTTCCTCCTGTTTTATAAACTAGGCAAGGGGGGCGGGGTGCGCAGGAGAAGTGGTGGTCTTCTTCCTTAACAGCATGCAGTGCAGTTCTTGGTACCTGCATGTAGGTAAAGATCAAACTGTCAAACTGGTAGTCCTTAAGACTCTGCTTCCATGGGTATGACTTGTTCTAGGTATTATTGCCTAACAGAAATTTCCATTATCTAATTTTAAATTGTGTAAGGTTTCACAGTGAGATTATTCGAAGCATTTAGAGGTATTTACTAACCTGTGATGGCTTACAAATCTCTTCTTGTTGCAATAGGTGTGTTTGTAGTTGCTGCTAAGCGAACGCCCTTTGGAGCTTACGGAGGCCTTCTGAAAGACTTCACTGCTACTGACTTGTCTGAATTTGCTGCCAAGGCTGCCTTGTCTGCTGGCAAAGTCTCACCTGAAACAGTTGACAGTGTGATTATGGGCAATGTCCTGCAGGTTAGTAGAGTAAAGGAAGGTGTTCACTCCTATTGCTTCTTTGATCAGTTTCTAAAAATAATTCCTTTAACATATCATAATGGTAAACAAGTTAATAATAGTTATAGACTTTTTTTTTTTTTTTTTGAGATGGAGTCTCGCTCTGCCGCCAGGCTGGAGTATGGTGGTGCGATCTTGGCTCGCTGCAACTTCCGCCTCCCGGGTTCAAGCAATTCTCCTGCCTCAGCCTCCCGAGTAGCTGGGATTACAGGCGTGTGCCACCAAGCCCAGCTAATTTTTGTGTTTTTAATAGAGACAGGGTTTTACCACATTGGCCAGGATGGTCTCGATCTCTTGACCTCGTGATTCTCCTGTCTCGGCCCCCCAAAGTGCTGGGATGACAGGCGTGAGCCACCACTCCCAGCCAATAGTTACAGACTTTATACGTTTGTAATTTGAGTAATTCTGTGACTCCAGAATCAACAGCATGCATAATTCAAAGCATCATATGTTCTAGAAACTGTATGTCTGACTTGGGATGCATTTCAGTGCTTCCTAAATAGCAGATTGACTTCCTTGGCTTACTTGAAGTTAATTGATCTTCTCTATATGCCACCTTAGTAAACCCAAGCCATTACAGCACACCTCCCCTAATTTTCTTACACATTGTAGGAGCTTGATCAGTGTTTGTTGTAAGAAATAAGATGCTTCCTTACCCTCTGTCTTGCTATGTGTGATGTACAAAATCAATCATTCATATGCAGGTAATTGAAAATTCAGAATTCCTTTAAAGTATACAAACATTTGTTGGATACCTAGTTAGAGGCTATTATAGGTGCTATGGCACCCAAGGTGGACCAAAAGGAGGTAATAATCTAATGAAAAAGATAAGATATATATATATATATATATATATATATATGATCAGTTTCTGTGATATATCTTATGTATCATATATACACACACAAATATATATATGATACATATATTTAAAGATGTCAATGATGTGATCATTGCTAAAGGAAAGAGAATGACAATGGACACAGAAGTCACTAGGCCTTGCATTTGAACTTGATGCTGTTCATCTTGCCGTTGTGTATCTTCACATCCAGAAAAAGCAGTGACTTTTTTCCTTTGGCAGTTATGTCTGTTGAACCTAAAATATTTTCATAAAGAATTCTCAATATTGTCTTTTGTTCTTTTTATTTTATTTTGTAACTTTTACCTCTGACCTAAGAAGGCATTAGAACAGATTGAATAGAAATTGGATACTTCCGTTTTTTGCGTTTTCTAGAATTTTGAAGGAAAAATATTTTTTTCCCAGCATGTATTCTCTCAAACTTTATAACACAAAGTCACTATAAATAGTATCAGTTTCATTGTGTTTGTGCCTCTGTTCCTAAAGACAGTTTTTCTTGTGTTAAGTTTTCTGTCAGGCCAAGATAGAGTTTTCTTGTAAGGATGTTAAGTGCTTAACATAAATATTTGGGGTTAGGCCTTTATGGTTAAGAGAGAACAGAATATGCTTCGAATAACATTTGACAAATACCACAAAGCTGCTTTTCTAATTGAGTTTTATATTATTAAATATCACTTGGAATAAATGAGTTTTACTTATTTCATAGGAAACAATGAAATCCAATGTGGATTCTTTTTATTTCTTTTTCTTCCCTAATTGCCCTGGCTAGAATCTCCAATGTTGAATAGAAGTTATAAGAAATGGATATCTTTGTCTTATTCCTGATTATAGGGGGAAAGCATCTGGCCTTTCAACTTTACATATGATGATAGCTGTGGATTTTTTTTTTTTTTTTTTTATTGATCATTCTTGGGTGTTTCTCGCAGAGGGGGATTTGGCCCACAGGACAATAGTGGAGGGAAGGTCAGCAGACAAACAAGTGAACAAAGGTCTCTGGTTTTCCTAGGCAGAGGACCCTGCGGCCTTCTGCAGTGTTTGTGTCCCTGGGTACTTGAGATTAGGGAGTGGTGATGACTCTTAACAAGCATGCTGCCTTTCAAGCATCTGTTTAACAAAGCACATCTTGCACCGCCCTTAATCCATTTAACCTTGAGTGGACACAGCACATGTTTCAGAGAGCACGGGGTTGGGGGTAAGGTCACAGATCAACAGGATCCCAAGGCAGAAGAATTTTTCTTAGTACAAAACAAAATGAAAAGTCTCCCATGTCTACTTCTTTCCACACAGACACGGCAACCATCCGATTTCTCAATCCCTTCCCCACCTTTCCCCCCTTTCTACTCCACAAAACCGCCACGGTCATCATGGCCCGTTCTCCATGAGCTGCTGGGCACACCTCCCAGACGGGGTGGTGGCCGGGCAGAGGGGCTCCTCACTTCCCAGTAGGGGCAGCCGGGCAGAGGCGCCCCTCACCTCCCGGACGGGGCGGCTGGCCGGGCGGGGGGCTGACCCCCCCACCTCCCTCCCTCCCGGACGGGGCGGCTGGCCGGGCGGGGGGCTGACCCCCCCACCTCCCGGACGGGGCGGCTGGCCGGGCGGGGGGCTGACCCCCCACCTCCCTCCCAGACGGGGTGGCTGGCCGGCCGGGGGCTGACCCCCACCTCCCTCCCGGACGGGGCGGCTGGCCTGGTGGGGGCTGACCCCCACCTCCCTCCCGGATGGCGTGGTTGCCGGGCGGAGACGCTCCTCACTTCCCAGACAGGGTGGCTGCCAGGCGGAGGGGCTCCTCACTTCTCAGATGGGGTGGCTGCCGGGCGGAGGGGCTCCTCACTTAGACGGGGCGGTTGCCGGGCAGAGGGTCTCCTCACTTCTCAGATGGGGCAGCCGGGCAGAGACGCTCCTCACCTCCCAGATGGGGTCGCGGCCGGGCAGAGGCGCTCCCCACATCCCAGATGATGGGCGGCCGGGCAGAGACGCTCCTCACCTCCTAGACGGGATGGCGGCTGGGAAGAGGCGCCCCTCACTTCCTAGATGGGATGGCGGCCAGGCAGAGACGCTCCTCACTTTCCAGACTGGGCAGCCAGGCAGAGGGGCTCCCCACATCCCAGACGATGGGTGGCCAGGCAGAGACGCTCCTCACTTCCCAGACGGGGTGGCAGCCGGGCAGAGGCTGCAATCTCGGCACTTTGGGAGGCCAAGGCAGGCGGCTGGGAGGTGGAGGTTGTAGCGAGCAGAGATCACGCCACTGCACTCCAGCCTGGGCACTATTGAGCACTGAGTGAACAAGACTCCGTCCGCAATCCCAGCACCCCGGGAGGCCGAGGCTGGCGGATCACTCGCGGTTAGGAGCTGGAGACCAGCCAGGCCAACACAGCGAAACCCCGTCTCCACCAAAAAAATACGAAAACCAGTCAGGCGTGGCGGCGCGTGCCTGCAATCGCAGGCACTCAGCAGGCTGAGGCAGGAGAATCAGGCAGGGAGGTTGCAGTGAGCCGAGATGGCAGCAGTACAGTCCAGCTTCAGCTAGGCATCAGAGGGAGACCGTGGGGAGAGGGGGAGGAGGAGGGGGAGAGGGAGAGCTGTGGATTTTTTATAGATTCCCTTTGTCAGATTGAGAAAGTTGCCATCTGTTCCTAGTTTGTTCAGTGTTTTTGTCATGAAAGGGTGTTGTATTTTGTCAAATACTTTTTCTGTTGACTTTTTGTGTTGAAATCCACATTGGATTTCATTGTTTCCTAAGAAATAAGTAAAACTCATTTATTCCAAGTGATATTTAATAATATTAAACTCAATTAGAAAAGCAGCTTTGTGGTATTTGTCAAATGTTATTCGAAGCATATTCTGTTCTCTCTTAACCATAAAGGCCTAACCCCAAATATTTATCTGTTAATAATTTACACGAGATGATCGTGTAAATTTTTTTTATTCTGTTGATATGTGATATTTGACAAACCTTGGCAAAAGAATATCCATTGGCCAAGAATTTTTTTAATGACATTAATTTGTAAAATAAGATAATTTCATCTCAGTCAACAGATGAAACATTTAGTTAGTAGATTAATTGATGTTATACTGAGTTCCTCCCAGTTCCATCTGCATTCAAAACCCTTAACTTATAAATGTGCCGAATTTGTCAAGTTTTGAAAAACTTGAAACCTACACAAAAGTTAAAAGAATAGTACAATGAACATCCTAAAACCCCGTACCTTGATAGACCAATGTTTTACATTTTGTCAAACTTGCTTTTGCTCTTGCTAACAGCCTCCAAAACAGGCTGTTAATGTTTTTGGTTGTTGTTGGTTTTTTTTTTTTAAGTCATTCTTTTTATTCAAAGTGTGGTTCTTGGACTAGCAACATCAGCTTCACCAGGGAAATGGTTAGAAATGCAGAATCTCCGGCAGACCTAGACCTGTTGATTCAGAACTTACATTTTATTATAACAAGACGCCCCCATATGCATTTTAAAGTTTTGGGAGTGGTGGTCTACTCCTACCTCTTACTCTCCTGACCAATCATTCATCTGTCTTCTCCCTAAGTATGCAGTCCTCAGCCTGTTTTACATTAGAATTACTTGGGATGCTTTTTAAAAGTGACTACTGATGCCCAGGCCCCACCTCCAGCCTTTCTGGTTTAATTGATTTGCTTAGGAACTTAAGCATGAGTATGTTAATAAAGCTTCCTAGGTTATTCCAGCCTGCAACCAAGGTTGAGAACCACAGCCTCCGATACTTCCTCTGTTAAGGAGCATACTACTTTAGGATAGCGTATTCCATTTTTAAATAACTCTAATTGTTATAAATTTCTGTCTTATATTAAGGACTTAATGGGATTTCTCTAAGTAGCAATTATCTTTAATATATTTGAAAACCAATTGACTGTGGTTACACAACATTATGAATGTATTTAAATAATACCATTGAACTATACACTTAAAAATGGTTACAATGATACATTTTGTTATGTGTATTTTGCCCCAATAAAAAAATAGAAAAAAACCCAATTGACTGTAGTTTTTATTCAAATTGTAAACACATATTAGATATAATATGCTGTACTTAGATGCATTTTGTCCTACCTTAGAGCCATATAGTTTATCATTTTTGATAGATTGCCAACATTTCCATGTATTTCGTGCTTGTTCTTAATTAGTAGATTTATAGAGAAAATTATTTTTCTTTTCCTTCTCTCTTCTAGAGTTCTTCAGATGCTATATATTTGGCAAGGCATGTTGGTTTGCGTGTGGGAATCCCAAAGGAGACCCCAGCTCTCACGATTAATAGGCTCTGTGGTTCTGGTTTTCAGTCCATTGTGAATGGATGTCAGGTATGGACAACATTTTTTTAAATTCTCTGAAAATATGTTAATAGTTACTAGAAGAAATGTCCCACTGCAATATAACACTTTAGCTTTAGGGAGGATTGCTTGAGCCCTGGAGGTCAAGTAAACCATGATCATACCACTGCACTCCAGCCATGGGCAACAGAGTGAGACCTTGGCTCCAAAAAAAAGAAAAAAAAAAAAAAGCTAATAATGAACCTGAAAGTGGAATAAGCCTGTCATAAAAGGACAAATACTGTATGTTTCTACTTCTTTGAGATACCTAGCGTAGTCAAATTCATAGAGACAGAAAGTAGAATGGTGTTCCCAGGGACTGGTGAGGGAAAGTTAGTGTTTAATGGATATGGAGTTTCAGTTTTGCAAGATGAAAAGCGTTCTGGAGATGGGTGATGGTAATGGTTGCATCACACTATGAATACACTTAAACTACTGAGCTGTATACTTAAAAATGGTTAAAATGGTAAGTATTATATATATATATATACTTCAATATTTTTAAAAGCTAGTATGTTCATCATTCTTTCGAGTGCTTCCTACATGCTAGGCACCCTGCTAGATTTACATTCAATATCTCATTTAATCTTACAACCATCCTATGAAGCAAGAACTATTATTATTATTCCCATTTTACAGGCAAGGAAACTGATTAAAGCCATTAAGGTTACTCAGTCATAGAATTTGAACCCAGGTCTGTGAGTGTTACCTGTGAGGCACTGAATAAAGACCGTGAGGCAAGCAGGAAATCTCAAGAATTTAGGAGAGGATAAGGAAATGTATTTTATTTCAAAGGAAGTGAATGATGCTGTTAGTAGAAGTACAAACTAGTTTGACCTTTTTAAAGGACAGTTGGTTAAATACATTTGTTTCTTTGAGCACAGAGAAGAAAGTGAAATCCAATTTCATTTGTAAAAGTCTTCATTTTATTACAAACAAAATAAGAGCCAGAGGCGTATTTTAATAAAACAATTTTCACATTAATTTGTTTCTATAACGATATATCTTAAATAGTGACCTCGGTTTTCCTAGTAATAATTTTAAGAACCATCAGGTTCATAGAGGCTCATTATTTGCTCCTTTTCTGAGAAAGGCAAACAGTGGAAAGTGTTGGAAGAATGAAGTGGTTTCCTTTTTATGAGTCACCTAGATTGAACTAGTTCTTGTAAATCTCTGTTCTTGTTCAGATACATCCATTAATGGGATAAATTTTTCTTTTGCCTTTTTAAAGGGTATGTCCTTTATTATCTGCTGTACATTTATGCCAGGTATTAATATCTGTTGATTTTCAAGATTTATATTGTGTTAAGAATTACTATTCTTAGCCACATGTAGGTAGGGCCTGTTACTCAGGCAAACATGATTGAAACCTTTTAGTTTTCTCCTCCTACATCTTGGTAATGGATACTTTAGCATTTGCTTTACAGTTACTTTAAAAGCATTTCCTTTTGAGACACTGTAAGCTACAGTACAATATTTGTTTGATTTACCATTAATTTGTAAAATCAGTGTGTTTCTTAATACATTGTTTGGGTACGGTAAAAGGAGTTTTTATTACTGTTTGTTTTTAAATAGGAAATTTGTGTTAAAGAAGCTGAAGTTGTTTTATGTGGAGGAACCGAAAGCATGAGCCAAGCTCCCTACTGTGTCAGAAATGTGCGTTTTGGAACCAAGCTTGGATCAGATATCAAGGTTGGAACCATAAAAATTTAAAAGAATTAGTTCTTATTAGCATTATATAAGTACTTTTAATAACATACCTTTTTATGGGAGAGAAAACTAATTTTGAAGCCAATTTCGTTGATGAGGATTGGCAAGATATGAATGATTAGAAGTTTGTAAACTATTTCAAAACTCTATTTTGGTGGTTAGTTTTGACATTTTAACCCATATGAAATTAGATTCTATCTATCTCAGCAGACCTCTAGTAGTATAATTATCCTGTGTAAGTGGCCATAGGCATGGGAGAGATGGAGGAAGGGAAGAAGTGGATTAAAAAGATAGACAAAAGAGTGAATTAATCTCACTACTAAACAATTAGTAATCTGAGTAATTAAATCTTTAACGTGACTTATAGAAGTTTTATTTCTGGGACAGTCTCAGAATAGATTTCTTCATCATCACAGAAAACATCTTTGAATACAGATTATATTGTCCCAAATCAAACAAAAACTGATTCTTTTATCTTTGAGAGCTACAACTTGAGAATGATGGTACAGTACTGATAAAGAATGATGTTTTCTTCTCATTCCCATGTGAAAGGGCTACTGACATTTTATATTTTTTAGCATTTTCTATAGTAATGTTTGACTCACACTGTTCACCCAGTTTCTCACCTGGCCTTTTTGGAAGTTGAAAGGAATGGGACTTAAGAGAATCTATGCGGATTTTAGCCACCAAACACATTTGAGATATCTTTTATGAAGACAGGTCAGTGAGTTAAATGTTGATGAGGCAGCAAAGTGGGGCACACTTACCAGAGACTAACTACTTGAATAATAATTAACAACCTTTCTGTAACTCTGGGAACCTGTCCCAAGATCTTTTCAGCCTCATAGTAACCGATAGAACCAGCTATTCCTGTCACTGAGGCGCAGGATGAAAAAGAAAAACAGATAATACTGTTTATTACAGAGCTCAGGGCTGGTTTACAAAGATGGCTATAAGAAAACATTGCATGAAGACTCATTGTCAGGTTTTCTACAAAATATGACCTTGAGGATTTAATTTTTGATCGTAGGGTAACTTCTGTGATCTCACCATGCACGTCTAGTCCTGTTAGCTGTTCTTAGACCCCCACATTTAGAGAGGGACAGAGAATGTGTGCATTTTATTTTGTGACATTGAATGTTTTCAAAAACATTGCATGTTTTTAAAAAATATCCCATAACTGAATATGAATAGTGGTTATCAGAAAGTCTTAATTTTACTTTTGTTTATTGGAAGTGTTGATTATTTAAAGAAATTATAACATATTACTTTTAAAAGGAAATGCCTTAACAAGTCACTTTATTAATGTCTTTTAATAGCTGGAAGATTCTTTATGGGTATCATTAACAGATCAGCATGTCCAGCTCCCCATGGCAATGACTGCAGAGAATCTTGCTGTAAAACACAAAATAAGCAGAGAAGAATGTGACAAATATGCCCTGCAGTCACAGCAGAGATGGAAAGCTGGTGAGTGAAACTGGAAAGTATCAGTATCTATAGAATAAATATCTATAGGAAATATTTTCATCATTTCTATTATGGTTATATAATATTTACAAATCATACCTTTAAGAATTATTACATCTTTTCATTATTCCTTTGTCTTTAGATGATCAGATATTTTATTAATTATTGCAAAATTAACTAGGAATTTCTCTTTTGAAAAAGTTAGTACTACTTAAAAAGTGGTATTGCTACTTGACCCTAGATGGACCCTTGAGTTTTGTGCTGAACTGGTCCTGTTGTCAGTAGAACATGATGAGGAATACGATACGTTCTGTCAGAGGTGATAGCTCACTGTGGCAACTGGAATATAGAGGATGTCCTCTCCCACAAGCCATATCATAATCATAAGAAGGGGTAATGTATTTGGAAAAGACCCACTGGGTCTTTTATGCTTTCCTTCTGCCACTCCTAATTAAGAATCATTGTACCTAACTCAGAGACTTAGAACTAGTCCGAGACTCTAGTTAGAGTGCCCTGGTGTAGCACAGCAGGTTGCTATAGAGCCGGTCCAAAACAGGCAAATGTGACAGCAGTTCTTTTAGCAGTGCAGCAAGTTGAAGAAATGTGATATTTAAAAAATTAAACTGTTAAAGCAAGTGGAAACTCTTATTTAGGAATATTAAATGCTTGAAGTAATGAGGATAAAGTCCATCTTAGCATTTCAGAAGGATAAGTGGAATAGAGCTGATGCCATCTAACTCGTGTGTTTTTTTACTTATATGTTCATAGTGGAAGAGGATTGGTCTAGAAGTCAAGAGTTATCAGTTCTGTTTCTACTTCTACCACGCACAAGTTATCAAGCTCAGTCATATCATTTATTCACTGAACCTCTGTAAGATAGAGATAACAATATTTGCCTTCCCTATTTATCTAATAAGGTTGTTTTAAAACCAAATAAGGGCATATAAGGAAAGTATTTTGCCAATTGTAAAGTGATATGAAAATTAAGGTTAGTATTATTCCTGACCCTATTTCCAAAGCTATAGATTACTACAGTACATTCTAGTCAGTGGAGGTCAAAGTAGGTAAGATGTTTTACTTATAATTGTATTAGTGATTGCTCCCATAATTTCTTCAGGTTGCCTATCACTATTAAGTTTCAGTTAGATTACTTTGTGGCATAGACAACTTGGTAACTTTTTAATTGCTTATCTCACCAAAAGAAGTTTAAAAGGGGTATTAAGTCCATTTATTGCCATTACATCTATAGCAAACAGACAGATGCTGCTAACAGTCTTAGCAGTACCTGGTGAAAAAAAATT
Organism: Homo sapiens; assembly: GCF_000001405.40. Lineage (NCBI taxonomy): Eukaryota > Metazoa > Chordata > Mammalia > Primates > Hominidae > Homo > Homo sapiens. The sequence goes on along the minus strand of NC_000018.10, from coordinate 49,792,978 downwards.
GTGGTTAAAAAAATATAATTTTTAAAAATATAATTTTTAAAAGATGCAAAATGCATCTACATAAACACATGACAGTATCGTAAATCCTCCAATACGGAAGGTAAGTTGTGTAAGTAAATAGTAAAGACTCTATAATTTTTAAAAGATGCAAAATGCAACTACATAAACACATGATGGTATCGTAAATCCTCCAATACGGAAGGTAAGTTGTGTAAGTAAATAGTAAAGACTCAGGCTGAGCGTGGTGGCTCATATCTGTAATCCCAGCACTTTGGGAGGTCAAGGAGGGTGGATCACGAGGTGGTGAGTTCGAGGCTAGCATGGCCAACATGGAGAAACCCCATCTCTACTAAAAATATAAAAAAAATTAGCCGGGCATGGTGGTGGGCACCTATAATCCCAGCTACTGGGGAGGCTGAGGCAGGAGAATCACTTGAACCCGGGAGGCAGAGGTTGCAGTGAGCCGAGACTGTGCCGTTGCACTCCAGCCCAGGCGACAATGTGAGACTCCATCTCAAAAATTAATAAAGACTCAATATTAAAGTAGACTGTGAGGAAAAGGTAGATCAGAAATTAAATTGAATAATATGTTTGATTTATTTTCATGTTTCTCTCTTTTATTCTTATGATAGTCTCTCTACTATTTTTCAGCTAATGATGCTGGCTACTTTAATGATGAAATGGCACCAATTGAAGTGAAGACAAAGAAAGGAAAACAGACAATGCAGGTAGACGAGCATGCTCGGCCCCAAACCACCCTGGAACAGTTACAGAAACTTCCTCCAGTATTCAAGAAAGATGGAACTGTTACTGCAGGGAATGCATCGGTTGGTATCACCACACAGATTAGCTTGAATTCTTCCTGGTGTGTTCAACAAAAGTAATCATGAAGTATCTTGTAAATACTTTTTATGCCAGTCTTTAGTTGTTTAGCTTAAACTAATAGTGTTCATATTCAATTAATTTAGGTTTTCATAGACCCACACAAAATCTTTTCATATTTATTTATATAATACTCTTCTGATTTCTTAATTTTTTCAGAACTAAGAAATTTCAGAAACAAATCTATCTGGCTTATTTTGGTTTTCAAACTTTTTTTTTTCTCATGCATACAGTTTATCGTATTTCTTCTTACATCTACTCACATCTAGATAAAAGTTTTTCCTTGACACCCTTTTCCTTGTTCTTTAGTAAAGTTGTATTCTGTGCCTTAAAAAATCTCCTTCATCCACCACAGTACCACTTTTCTAATTGTATCTCACACTGTGCACTGGCTTCCTATGTACTGCCATATTCCTAATACTACTAGTCCATTAGTTCAAACTTTGATTAACTGGATTATTTTAGCCTTTAGTTAATCTAGTATTTTTATTTTCAAGGGTGTAGCTGATGGTGCTGGAGCTGTTATCATAGCTAGTGAAGATGCTGTTAAGAAACATAACTTCACACCACTGGCAAGAATTGTGGGCTACTTTGTATCTGGATGTGATCCCTCTATCATGGGTATTGGTAAGTTTATAGTAAAACAAACTGGTTCTATAATATTTCTGGAGGTAAGTCTTCTTTGGCATTCAGAGTCCTGAAAAAGTGGCCAAACCAAGGTCACCTGTAGAGAAAAGAAGATTGGTAATCAGTTTAAATAAAAAATCTTTATGAAGAACTGTCCTAGACACAATAGAAAAACCAAGACCGTGTAAACTCCATGGAGGAAGTAATCATATCTTAGTGTCCATTTGAGATTTAAAAAATCAACACACAGTAATTATATCTTATTGTTCCTTTGAGAGTTTAGAAATCAACACAGAAAATAACAGAAGAATTACGTGATCCTGACAAGATAAAAGAAATTATGAGATGGGAGAAATCCTGGGGTGAAACAGAGAAGGCTGTATGGAGAAGGTGGTATCGCAGCTCCTTGCTGGTTGTTTTACACACATTCAGTCTTCCCACGTCTCCAGTAAGGGAGACTTCTTTGTGAATGAGAAAATTGAGGCTTAGGGAGGTTGTCTTACAAGGTTCCAAATCAGTAAGTGACAGCCAGGGTGTGAATCCAAGTCTCTCTGAAATCAAGTGCTCTCTTCACTGTGAGTTAAACGCATAGTCTCAGGAAGTCAAATTAATATTCCTCTTGCTCAGGTGAGTATTAGCAAAATAAAGACTTATAATTAGATTGGTAAAATGCTAGATGGAAAAAATTTGGAAGTCCATAAACATGTATAGTCTTGGCTTAAAATATTTGATTTAGAAGTAGAACAAAGAGCTTTTTGCTGGATGCACTCCTAGGAACCACACACGATGCTGAATTTTAATAGTTCCTGTCATTCTCTGGGGGAACAGGGAACCAATTAGGTGCCTTACTTAGAAAAATAAAATTTGGTGCTCAGTAACTTTGATATATCCCACCTACATATAACCTCCCACTGTAAGGAAAAGCCTGCCCTAGGGTATAGATTTCAGATTGTTTAGCCCTTTTTTGAATAACTAAATTGTTTTCTGAGGTGGGTTCCAAGAGAGGAGGAGGAGGATAACCTGTTACTGACCTGCCATCTCAGAGATCCTTCAGTGTAAGCCTACAGGTTCTACTCAAACAATACCACTTACACTGACTTGGGATTAATACTCAACCATATTTGCTGCCATGTCCCTCAGAGAAGACATATCTCTGTATAGAGTTCCTAAGAAAAAAAGCTGGCATGTTCATATTTTGTCATCTTTCACTATGTGTCTCAAATTTATGTCAGCAAGAACTGCAAGATATTTTGACACATATGAAAAGTCAATCTTAAGCTTATTAGCTTTTGGCTATCCACTATTGGCAAAAGATAACTTTTGTCTTAGAAATGGAAGGTGGTGGAAAAATTAAACATCCGTATGTTGTTATGGCATTTATTATTTTGATATCTAGGGTAGTGGTTCCCAACCTCAGATGATTGTCAGAATCCACTCATAACCCCCACACCCTTAGATTTTGTTTCAGTAAGTCCAGAGTGGAGCCCAAGAGCAGAGTTGGTTTTGTTTTTTGTTTTTGACACAGAGTCTCGCTTTGTCACCCAGGCTGGAGTGCAGTGGCGTGATCTCAGCTCACTGCAACCTCATTCTTCCCAGTAGCTGGGATTACAGGTGCCCGCCCCCACGCCTGGCTAATTTTTGTATTTTTAGCAGAGACAGGGTTTTTCCACGTTGGCCAGGCTGATCTCAAACTACTGACCTCAGGTGATCCGCCCACCTCAGCCTCCCAAAGTGCTAGGATTACAGGCGTGAGCCACCATGCCCAGCCCAAGAGCAGAGTTGGTTTTTTTCCTGCATACACCTAGATGCTTTTGATGATCAAACAAATGTATGTGACATGGGTTGGCTATTTTATACTCCTTTTTCAGTTTAACTTTATTTAATAGGTTCTGGTAGATTAGCATAGCCAGTGAACCAAGAAAGCGTTGTTTTCCTTCCTTCTGTTCCTGGGCCTGAATATTTGCCCTAAAGTACAAAGAATGCTCCTGTGGTAGGATTGTCATTTTTCCTCGGGGCTTGAACAGAGCTGTACATTCCAGATGTCCCACAGTATCAGCTGCCCCCTTCATCTAGAAGTTTGGCTGTCACTTGTATATAGTGATGGGATTAAACAAAGTAACTCGTTGAAGCATCCCAGATGAATAAGTGGGGAGAATAAGTTATTAAGTATCTAGTGGGAACTGGTTTGTTAATCTAACTTACAAGAATAGTGGTTCTCAGTTCCATGATTACCTAATGACTAGCAATCCTTAGCCCTGCAGAATAGCTGCAGACCAAAAAAAAACGGGGAAAGCCATGACTTGAAAAGAATAGTACTGGTTCTGAGGAAATACACAGCTATAGAAAGACAGCACTCCCTGGAACTCCTCAGGGGTGGCAATGGTAGAGGTTGGTGGGTGGAACTTTGAGCCTCTTCAGCTGGAGCAGTCTGGCATTATCTATTACTTGGCATCATATGCAAAAAGAATTCTGATGCTTAAAGAGAAAAAGGTGGAAAACCCATTCAGAGTGCTATTGATGAGTAGCTTGTTGCCCAGAGAGATGCACAAAGTCGCACAGCTATTAGTGACAGGAACCAGGACTAGAAATAAGGTCTCCTTTTCCTAACAAGAATACTAAACCTTCCTGAAGTCCCAGTAAATAACAGTGGTCTGGGAAGAGTCCTTTAAAAATCGAGTTATGGCCTAGCATATTGTTACGGTGGATTCTGAGTTAAAGTGAAAGTACGAGTCATGCTTGCTGTGTTGTTTATGCAGACAAGGAAGTGTGTACAGTGGTCTGAACATTGTCCACCTTTTATGTGTCTGTCACCACTGTTGGCTACTTCATCCCCTCACCAGGCTGGATAACTGATGCTTTACTACTGACTACCCATCTCATTTTCATGATTTCATGCTTTAGACATACAAAGAGAATCTGGAATCAGATCCTGTAGTAAATCAGTAGCTGTAGTAAATCAGTAGCCACATGAAACTGGCATTTTAAATTGAAGTGCATTAACTGGATAGTCCTAATCAATAAGCACGTGGTTTGTTGTCCAAAGAGTATTTTAACTACGTGACAAAATAAATATTATATTTAGGTTTCATTATGCCTTTCTTGTAAAGACTGATTTTCCATTTTATAAGGTAAAATGCTTGTGAAACTTGATGCAGAATATTTGACTACTTGAATTCAGCAGAACATACTACATATTTTTCTTTGTAGACATTTTTGGCAGTTTCATTCTTTAAGAACAAGTCGAGAAGTAGATAATCTTCTCTACCCAAATTTTTTACCTTTTGAGAAAAAATATGGATTTAAATTATGAGCAATATTAAACTCTCATTACATCATCAGAAATCTGGGAGCTAAAGTTTATTTCAGAAGTCTTATTAGATGGAGTTGCATTTCTTAAATTAGGAGTTATGTTTTATTTAAATTTCCTGCCTACCCTTGGAGTTGTAAACATCACCTTACTTCATAAAACCTTCCCTGAAGTGCCTCGTAGTTTCCCATCTCTCTGTGCCCATGTGGAGATACTGCTATTTCTTGTCTTTTATCCAAATGGGCCTGAAAATTCAGAGTGTAGCCACAGTAACTTCTGTGCTGTGAATGCATATGGCTTGGATCCCAAGTAGAGCACTCAGTCTGCCTTGCTCTTTGATATCAATTATAATCTATTAACATAACTAAAATCCCATATATGGACTCCTTTGGCTGTTTTCAATCTTAAAGCCGTTTATGGTAGAACTTTTCATGTAATTCTCTTATCTGCAGTTTGAATGTATAAACAACTTTTCACCTTGGTTCCATTTTATTTTTATTATTATTTTTTTTCTTTTTTAGAGATGGGGTCTTGCTGTGTTGCCCAGGAGGCTAAAGTGATCCTCCCACTTCAGCCTCCCAAAGTACTGAGATTACAGGCATGAGCCACCATGCCTGGGCCCTTTTTCTGCCTCTTTATGGTCACTTCATTTAATAGGTACGGTCAAGGTAGTAAGATTTGTGGCTACTAATAACTGCCGCATTATTTCTTCCTTACTTGGAAAGAAGGAGAAGCTTGATACGTAAATATAAGATGACATTTATTTCTATATTTTTATAGAAGATTTTTATTATTATATAGGTCCTGTCCCTGCTATCAGTGGGGCACTGAAGAAAGCAGGACTGAGTCTTAAGGACATGGATTTGGTAGAGGTAAGTGTTTTTTTTTTTTTTTTTTTTTTTAACAACATGAATAAACCATGTACTTTTATAGCATAAATGACTTTAATTTGGTCTCATTGCTCTTTGAATTTCATTGTAGTTAGCCTTTCCAAATGATGTACATCTAAATAAATAGTACCTTCATTAGATGCCTTGTGTTGATACTTTTCCCCACCTGGTTAACATGCTTTATTTATATTTGAATATTCAAACTGCCTGATTTCTCTTACTCAAGTATAAATTCCTGGGAATTTCTTACTACTTTATAAAACTGTTACATTTTAGACTATTAACATGCCTGTTGAATATTAAAGTGAAAAAATATATGTAAAATAATTGACATAATAGAAAAGCAATATTTAGTGCCAAATCTACAAGTTTCTTGCCCTTCTCGCCAGATAGAGCCCCCTCCCTTAAATGTATCTTTGGCTTTTATACGATAGTTGTAGCTTGATTTGGGATGCACCTATCATAATTTTTGACACTGGAACTTAAATTTATTGAGTGATTTCTTTTTAAATGTTAGTATTAGAACTAAAGTGTCTTAAGCATAATTAAAAGAAGAGGTGGAGAAACATTTAAAGATGGTTATATACATTCCACACTTTTGGAATATTTATTTGAAAATTTTAGGTGATTAAGCATGTGATGCCTGGCATTGGGAAATAACTAATAGAACAAAGGAAATCTATTTAACTTGATAGCGAAGGGGTAGGCACAGGTGTGATTTCCTCTATGATAATCTCTCACACAGGAAACCATGATTTCAGACAAATGGTTTATCTTTAAATCTCTTCCACTTTTAGCAGATCACAGTTCAGAGCCTCAAAGAGGCTGTTTAATTTATTATATTTGTGTCAGCAAATAGGTACCACTAAATTTCTCACTTTAGACCTCACATTTAAAACTATTAAACTATATCAACTTTGGGAAGTTGTTCATAATCATTTGGAAATGTATACATTCTCAAGGACATAACTCAGACCATAGTTTTCCTAGGTTCAAAAGCCTAGTTTCACTACCTATTCTAGGTCTCTTAGTACCTCCTTGAAGATGGCTCTGTATATAGAGTAGAAAGATAATGGTGGATCTAAGCACATATGAGGCACCATCTTGAGAGACCACAAAGTATAGTAGGAAAGAGCACAAGACTGAATTTTATCCCAACTCTGCAAAAGTTACCTTTCTTAGAATGAGTTTCCTTATCTATAAAATTCCTGAATTAAGATCATATGATAATACAGTACTGTAAACTTGAAGTAAGGTAATTGCCAGTTTGTGTAAGTATAACATAATATACTTTTCAGTTCTGCCACATTTCAACATAGTAACTGTTCCCTTTATGTACGTGGCTTTGAAGGTTTATTCTTTGTTGTGTGTCAGCTTCTTGGAAGGATAGCTCCTAGTACTGCATAATAATAATAATACTTGCAACCACTTATTGAGTACTTGCCATGTTTCAGGTAACACACTGGACACTTAATACTCATGATTTTATCTAACTGTGACAGTGACTCTTAGCATGATACCACAGTCACATTTTCACACGCGGAAACGTGAATTTAAAGAGTTTAAAGAATATGCATAAGGTCACACCCTAACAAATGGTATAGCCAATATTTGAACCATCCATCCAGTTCTAAAACCTGTGGGCTTTCTACAGTATCCCACTGTGTCTGGTATGTGTCAATTTATGGGATTACTGAGAATTGCCTCTAAGGGATGCATTTGACTAAAAGTATTATTTAGTAAATATACACATTTTAAACCTGATAGCTTTATGCAGAATGATTGTAGATAAAATAACTTTGCGAGGTAATTTAAATAGGAAGAAACAGCAGACTTAGCTGTTGATAGGACTGGACCATTCTCATTTAAAAATTAGTTTGTGAGTAAGGATTTTTGTTAGTGCTCTAATTTTTGTTTTAAGGTGAATGAAGCTTTTGCTCCCCAGTACTTGGCTGTTGAGAGGAGTTTGGATCTTGACATAAGTAAAACCAATGTGAATGGAGGAGCCATTGCTTTGGGTCACCCACTGGGAGGATCTGGATCAAGAATTACTGCACACCTGGTTCACGAATTAAGGTATTTGCTAGAAATAGCTGCATTTCAGATTTGCTGTTTTTTATAGAAATGCATGGATTTAGGCTTCCCCAGAACACTCCAACATTTTTCATTCTTCTTCATGTCTCCTGCACTGGCTGTTACCAGGAACAAGTTACTTGGGCAGTGCTTTTCATCTGGTCTCATAGATGAGTCAGTCACCTTGTTAGTGGCTTTGCACTTAAGAACCAAGCTCTTCCTCTGTGTGTCCAGTCTCTGTGCACTGTGTGCCCCACTCAGCTTGTGTTCACTGCATGAGCAGATAATGAGGCCCTGCTTCTCATGGCACTTGTATTTTAGTGCCAGTTACAGGAGTAAAATAAATCTATTTTAGAAAAAAAAAGTACTGAGTGAGTACTGATCTAGATGCCATAATTTATGAAATCTAAGCAAACTGACATTTGGGTCTAAGTTTTTCTTTTCACTGCTTGCAGGGTTCCAGGAGGAACCTTTTGGGTGTTTGGTGCTTTTCAGTTTTGATAGATAGTACCAGAAGGAGGAGCTCTTCTATTTTTGGAATATTTTGCTCTGTAGAAAAATTGCAAACAAAACCAAGTAAGTCAGGCTGAAAAATTACTCTGACTCCCTGTTAGGCCAGGGGAAATGTGACTCTTATTTCACTTAATGATTCCCTGAGTTGAAATAGGTGATTGCCACATACAAAAGTAATTCCTGGATAATTTTCTCGAAGTCATCATATTAGGAGTGAGGAGTACTTTAAAAGAGTCTAATTTTTATGAAAGGGACATGGATAGTTTCTAAATTATCTGCCCTTTCATAGGGACAAACTTTATTAATTACATTTCTTCTAAGGTGCCATGAGGCTCTCACACTATATAAATCAAATATATAAATCAAAGGAGCTTAATGTTCATCCCCTTCCCCAGCTTCCCATTTATCCAGTTACCTCCTCTTCTCACTCCTTTCCCGTAACACACACAAGCTTCTGTATGTGTTTCATATACCCTAAATCTACTCTATAACCCTAAATCCACTCATCTCCTTTTTAGTTTGCCTCCCTCTTCTGGTGTTTGTTTTTGTTCTTTGTTTTTTGTTTTTTTTGATTAAAAACTTTCAGCTTTCCAAAGTCTGTTGCCTGTTGTAATTATACCAAAATTGAGGACTGGGGAAAAGATTGAGCAGATGAGCTGAATAAGGATGAGTAATGCAGATGTGATGTTATTAGTTCTATTTCATTAATCTGATTTTTTATTAGAGTAGATTTCAGTCACTGCTTTCTTTTTCAGGCGTCGAGGTGGAAAATATGCCGTTGGATCAGCTTGCATTGGAGGTGGCCAAGGTATTGCTGTCATCATTCAGAGCACAGCCTGAAGAGACCAGTGAGCTCACTGTGACCCATCCTTACTCTACTTGGCCAGGCCACAGTAAAACAAGTGACCTTCAGAGCAGCTGCCACAACTGGCCATGCCCTGCCATTGAAACAGTGATTAAGTTTGATCAAGCCATGGTGACACAAAAATGCATTGATCATGAATAGGAGCCCATGCTAGAAGTACATTCTCTCAGATTTGAACCAGTGAAATATGATGTATTTCTGAGCTAAAACTCAACTATAGAAGACATTAAAAGAAATCGTATTCTTGCCAAGTAACCACCACTTCTGCCTTAGATAATATGATTATAAGGAAATCAAATAAATGTTGCCTTAACTTCAGTTAATATTTTCCTGTCATTTATATTTTTAAAAATTTTAAATTGTGATAAGATACACATTACATAAACTTTACCATCTTAACCCTTTTTTAGCGTACAATTCACTGGTATTAAGTACATTCACATTTTTATACAAACATCCCCACTTTTTATCAACAGAACTTTTTCAGTCACCACACATGGAAACAATAACTCCTGATTCTCCCATCCCCCATCCCCTGACAACCACCAGTGTATTTTGTTTCTATAAATTTGATGACTCGAGGTACCTCATAAGTGAAATTATAAATATCTGTCCTTTCGTGACTGGCTTATTTTACTTTACTTTATATAATGTTCTCAAGATTCATCCACCTTATGGTGTAGCATGTGTCAGAATTTCCTTCTTTTTAAAGGCTGAATAATATTCTGCTGTGTGTATAAACCTTACTTCCTTCTTCCCAGCTTAAAGGCCATCTTTCATCCTTTATTTTCTCCCTTTAAAATGCCCCCACAACACTTCCATTGCTTTATTTGTCTGTTCTAAGACTGGATATCTAGTAGGGCAAGGCCCTATTCTTGTTAACTTCATCAAAGAGCCACTGGAAATTTTAATTAAGATTAAATTGAATTTATGGGTTATACATTTATTGGGGGGAAATTTTTTTTTTTTTTTTTGAGACAGAGTCTCGCTCTGTCCTCCAGGCTGGAGTGCAGTGGCGCGATCTCAGCTTACTGCAAGCTCCGCCTCCTGGGTTCATGCCATTCTCCTGCCTCAGCCTCCCCAGTAGCTGGGACTACAGGCGCCTGCCACTACGCCCGGCTAATTTTTTGTATTTTTAGTAGAGATGGGGTTTCACCGTGTTAGCCAGGATGGTCTCGATCTCCTGACCTCGTGATCCACCCGCCTCGGCCTCCCAAAGAAGTGCTGGGATTACAGGCGTGAGCCACTGCACCCGGCCTTTTTTTTTTTTTTTTGAGATAGCATCTTGCTCTGTCACCCAGGCAGAATTGCAGTGGCACAGTCATGGCTCACTGAATAATAGATGTTAAATAATACTAGATGTTAAATAATAGTATCATAAGTACCTACACTGTTTCCTCAACCCTTTGCTTATATGGTTTCCTTCATTTGATTAAAAAGCTGAAGTGGCACATACATCCCCCTTTCTGTCATAGAGAGGCAGATGACAAGCGGCCTACCCACGGTTTGGGATAATGGACTAGTGGCAACAGGCAAGTCCAGCTTTTATTGTTTGGGATCCTTACTGAGAAGCAGCAGGCTTCCTCTACTGTCATAAAAATATTAAAAAGTAAGAGCCCTGTATAATTTCTCATAATAAAACAATGTTTTGCAGAACATTTTGTTTTTTACATATTCTTCGTTTGTTGTAACTTATAATAAACTTTCTCTGGGATGAAATGACCAAGGTCACATGTTACCATCTTCTAGAAACACTAGTGATAGTTTATCAAGCCTATGAATTTCCAGATGAAGAAGGAATTGTCGCCAATAGCTGAAGCAATCCGCTTCCCAGGGCATCTCCTGGCACAGGCCTTGGTAAAGGTTTATCGCTTTTCCCCATAAAGGTCTTGTGTAGTTTTGTTATCCAACTGAGACCTTTTTCCTATTTTCTTTTACATTTGATTATTGCTAATGAATAGCTTTTGGATATTATATATCTAGCCAGCTTGTGGAACCCTTTTATTAATTTGAATCATGCAGATAGTATCTCATTTATTTTTATTGCCTTTTTGCCTTGTGCTGAGACCACTGGCGCAGTACTGGAGGAAATAAAATGTGGTAATGCTCATATTCGTTCCTCACTAAGTTGATGCTTACAGTAGGTTTCTGATAGATAATGCTTTATCAAGGTCAGGAAGTTTCCTTCTATTCTTAGTTTTCTTAAGGACTTTATGAGTGGTTCATTCATTCTTCACTCTAATCTTACTTGGCTGCCACCACTTAAGCCACAGTTCTCTTGCTCATGCCACCCTTTATGTTCATATTGCCAGAACTAGTGGAGATCTTTCTGTCTTCACCTTATTTGACTTCTCCAAAACATGACCCAGTTGACCACTCCTCCTTGAACTGACTTCTGTTCATGTCTCTGCTTTTCCACTGCCTCTCAGGCCATTCTTTTTCATCTTCTTGGGCAGCTGCTCCACTGCTGTGAGTTTCTTGGGATTGGTTTTTGGATTTGTGGCGATTTCTTTCTATGATTCTAAATACCATTACATTTGGCTGGGTGCAGTGGCTCATGCCTGTAATCCCAGCACTTTGGAGGCCAAGGCCAGAGGATCACATGAGCCCACGACTTCAAGACCAGTCTGGGCAACATAGTGAGACCACATCTGTACAAAACAAAAAACCAGAAAAATGAGCTGGGTGTGATGGCATGTGCCTGTAGTGCCAGCTGCTCAGGAGGCTGAGGTGGGAGGATTGTTTGAGCCCAGGAGGTTGAGGCTGCAGTGAGCCGTGATTGGGCCACTGCACTGAAGCTTGGATGACAGAGTGAGACCCTGTTTCAAAGTACATACATATATACATACATAATATATCATCACATTTACATCCCAGCACTGGTCTCTACCTCCAGACTGCTGTAGCAAACTCCCGTCTTGACTTTTCTCACAGATGTCTTCTTAAACATGCCCTGAGCAGTAACTTTTATCATATCCCACTTAACCAGCTCCCTCTTCAAGTTCTTCTCAGTGCCAGTAGCTCAAGTCAGAAATCCAGGCATTTCCCTCAGTTCTACCCTCTCCCTCACTCTTCATCTCCAGTCTATCAGCAAGTATTATCAGTTCTTCCAAGATATAGCTCAAATACATCCATTTCTTCCCCTCTCCACCTCCACTACTGTGGTCCTAAGCCACCAGAATCTCTTGCCTGGACAACCACAAGAGCTTTTAGAGGCTCCTACCTCCATTCTTACCCCTCTTCAGTCATTCTCTAAGAAGCCACCAGGAGCATCTTTTAAAAACTCAAACTATGGTGACTCTAACGTGATCTCAGGCCACTCCTCTAGCTCCCAGTGCTTCAGACAAATGGCCTTTCTGGGGACGGCTTGCACACCATGCTCTTTCATGCCATAGGGCTTTGGCAGATGTTCTTTCCTGTGCCTTCCTGGGCCTGGGTCCCGCTCACCAAGTCTCAGATGCTTCCTCTTCAGTCAGGTTCTCTGTTCTGTTCACCCTAAGTTCCTCGCCCTGAGACTTTCCACTGTAGCACCCTGACCTTTATGGAACTTTCCTGAATTCATATTCACTTAGTAGTCCATTTACTGTCTCACTCCCTCATTAGACTGTAAACTCCATAAAGGCAAAGACTTCATGTGTTTAGCACAGCGCCTGGCACATGGTAGATGCACAATAATGTTGTTGATGGAATGAGTGCTTGGATGGATGGGTGAATGGATAGATGGACAGATGATGTTTGAAGAAATTATAGCATAAAAATTGCTTAATCTTCAAAGGATTAAGAGATGGATGGGGCCGGGCACAGTGGCTCACACTTGTAATCCCACCACTTTGGGAGGCTGAGGCGGGTGGATCACCTGATGTCAGGAGTTCGAGACCAGCCTGACCAACATGCTGAAACGCTGTCTCTACTAAAAATACAAAATTAGCTGGGTGTGGTGGCACCTGCCTGTAATTCCAGCTACTCAGAAGGCTGAGGCAGGAGAATCACTTGAACCCGGGAGGCAGAGGTTACAGTGAGCCGAGGTTGTGCCTTTGCACTGCAGCCTGGGCAACAAGAGCAAAACTCTGTCTCAAAAAACAAAAACAAAAAGATGATGGATAGGAGGCAGGACTAGATTACAGCTCCCACTCAGACGGATGGAGCAGTATGTGGAAACTAACATCATGAACTTTTGCTCCAAGAACTGGCAGGAACATACCAAGAAAGCTGAGACAATCCACAGACCCCTTTGTGAAGGAACTGGATCACTGCTGCAGGCTCCCTGAGACACCAAAAAACTGTGAGTCTGCTTGCTTTCTCGATGGGAAGGCTCGTGGTCTGGGGCAAGTTCTCAGCCCTGGTCTTCGGCTGTCTGAAAATAGACTCGGTGCTGTTGGCAAGGCATGGTGGGAGTGAGACCAGCCTTTAGGACTGTGGGCTATGTGGAAGCGGGGTGAAGCCTGTGACTGCCGGCTTCCCACCACTTCCCTGACAACCTGTATGACTCAGCATAGGCAGCCATAATCCCCCTGGGAACATAACTCCATTGGCCTGGGAACCACACTCCCATCCCTTACAGCAGCTGCAGCAAGCCCTGCCCAAGGAGAATCTGAGTTCAGACATGTCCAACCCTGCCCCCACCTGGGGTCTTTCTCTACTTGCCCTGGTACCCGAAGACAGATGTCATAATCTCTTGGGAGCTCTCTGGCCCTGCCCACTGCTTGAGAAACCTGAAAACCGGGTGTCCCCAGGGCAAGTTTGCATCCTCCCTATAATACTGCAGCTGATATGCTCTTGAAAGCACCACCTCCTGGCTAGAGGCCAACCAACACAAACCAGCACACTAAACAAAAATACAACCAAGGACCCTCACAGAGCCCACTTCACTCCCCTGCTACCTCCAACTGGAGCAAGTGCTGTTATCCACGGCTGAAAGACCTGAAGACAGATCACTTCCCCGGACTCTTTGCAGACATTCCCCGGTACCAGCCCAGAGCCTGGTAGCTTCACTGGGTGGCTAGACCCAGAAGAGCAAAAACAATCACTGCAGTTCGGCTCTCAGGAAGCCCTATTCCTAGGGGAAGGGGGAGAACACCACATCAAGTAAGCACCCTGTGGGACAAAAGAATCTGAACAGCAGCCCTTGAGTCCTAGATCTTCCCTCTGACATAGTCTACCCAAATGAGAAGGAAACAGAAAAACAATTATTGTAATATGATGAAACAAGTTTCTTTAACACCCCCAAAAGATCACACCAGCTCACCAGTAGTGGATCCAAACCAAGATGAAATCTCTGAATTGCCTGAAAAAGAATTCAGAAGGTCGATTATTAAGCTAATCAGGGAGACACCAGGGAAAGGTGAAGTCCAACTTAAAGAAATCAAAAACATGACACAGGATATGAAAGGAAAAGTCTTTAGTGAAATACATAGCATAAATAAAAAACAATAATGACTTCTGGAAACCAAGGACACACTTAGAGAAATGCAAAATGCACTGGAAAGTCTCAGCAATAGAATTGAACAAGCAGAAGAAAGAACTTCAGAGCTCAAAGACAAGGCTTTCAAATTAACCCAATTCATCGAAGACAAAAAATAATTTAAAAAATGAACAAGCTGCCAAGAAGTTTCGGACTATGTTATATGTCCAAACCTAAGAATAATTGGTGTTCCTGAGGAAGAAGAGAAATCTAAAAGTTTGGAAAACATATTTGAGGGAATAATCGAGGAAAACTTCCCCAGTCTTGCTAGAAATCTAGACATCCAAATACAAGAATCTCAAAGAACACCTGGGAAATTCATCACAAAAAGATCATCACCTAGGCACATAGTCATCAGGTTATCTAAAGTCAAGACAAAGGAAAGAATCTTAAAAGCTGTGAGGCAAAAGCATCAGGTAACCCACAAAGGAAAACCTATCAGATTAACAGCAGATTTCTCAGCAGAAACCCCACAAGCTAGAAGGGATTGGGGGGGTCCTATTTTTAGCCTCCTTAAACAAAACAATTATCAGCCAAGAATTTTTAATCCAGCAAAACTAAGCTTCATAAATGAAGGAAGATTCAGTCTTTTCCAGACACATGCTGAGAATTTGCCACTACAAAGCCGGCACTACAAGAAGTGCAAAAAGGAGCTCTAAACCTTGAAACAAATCCTCAAAATGCACCAAAATAAAACCTCCTTAAAGCATAAATCTCACAGGACCTAAAATACAATAACACAATGAAAAAAAACACACAGGTATTCAGGCAACAAATAGCACAATTAATAGAATAGTACTTCACATCTCTACACTAACGTTGACTGTTAATGGCCTAAATGCTCCACTTAAAAGATACAGAATGGCAGAATGGATAAGAATTCACCAACCAAGTTTCTGCTGTCTTCAGGAGACTAACATAACACATAAAGACTCACATGAACTTAAGGTAAGGGAAGGAAAAAGATATTCCATGCAAATGGACACCAAAAGCAAGCAGGAGTAGCTATTCTTACATAAAACAAAACAAACTTTAGAGCAAAAGAAGTTTAAAAAGACAAAGAGGGGCCGGGTGCAGTGGCTCATGCCTGTAATCCCAGCACTTTGGGAGGCGGAGGCAGGCAGATCACAAGGTCGAGATCGAGACAACCCTGGCCAATGTGGTAAAATCCTGTCTCTCCTAAAAATACAAAAATCAGCTGGGCATGGTGGTGTGCGCCCATAGTCCCAGCTACTTGGGAGGCTGAGGCAGGAGAATCGCTTGAACTGGGGAGGCAGAGGTTACAGTGAGCCGAGACCTCACAACTGCACTCCAGCCTGGTGACAGAGTGAGACTCTGTCTCAAAAAACAAAACAAAACAAAACACAAAGAGGGACACTATATAATGATAAAAGGACTAGTCCAACAGGAAAATATCACAGTCCTAAATATATACGCACCTAACATTGGAGCTTCCAAATTTATAAAACAATGACTACTACACCTAAGAAATGAAATAGATGGCAACACAATAAAAGTGGGGAACTTCAGTACTCCACTGACAGCACTAGACAGGTCATCAAGAGAGAAAGTCAACAAACAATGGACATAAACTATACCCTACAACAAATGGACTTAAGAGACATTTACAGAACACTCTACCAAACAACTGCAGAATATACATTCTATTCATTGGCACATGGAACATTCTCCAAGATAGACCATATGATAGGACACAAAACAAGTCTCAGTAAATTCAAGAAAACTGAAATTATATCAAGTACTGTCTCAGACTACAGTAGAATAAAATTGGAAATCGAGGAGCCAAGATGGCCGAATAGGAACAGCTCTGGTCTACAGCTCCCAGCGTGAGCAACGAAGAAGACGGGTGATTTCTGCATTTCCATCTGAGCTTTGAAGAGAGCAGTGGTTCTCCCAGTACGCAGCTGGAGATCTGAGAACGGGCAGACTGCCTCCTCAAGTGGGTCCCTGACCCCTGAGCAGCCTAACTGGGAGGCACCCCCCAGCAGGGGCACACTGACACCTCACACGGCAGGGTACTCCAACAGACCTGCAGCTGAGGGTCCTCTCTGTTAGAAGGAAAACTAACAAACAGAAAGGACATCCACACCAAAAACCCATCTGTACATCACCATCATCAAAGACCAAAAGTAGATAAAAACCACAAAGATGGGGAAAAAACAGAACAGAAAAACTGGAAACTCTAAAAAGCAGAGCGCCTCTCCTCCTCCAAAGGAACGCAGTTCCTCACCAGCAACGGAACAAAGCTGGACGGAGAATGACTTTGATGAGCTGAGAGAAGAAGGCTTCAGACGATCAAATTACTCTGAGCTATGGGAGGACATTCAAACCAAAGGCAAAGAAGTTGAAAACTTTGAAAAAAATTTACAAGAATGTATAACTAGAATAACCAATACAGAGAAGTGCTTAAAGGAGCTGATGGAGCTGAAAACCAAGGCTCGAGAACTACGTGAAGAATGCAGAAGCCTCAGGAGCCGATGCGATCAACTGGAAGAAAGGGTATCAGTGATGGAAGATGAAATGAATGAAATGAAGTGAGAAGGGAAGTCTAGAGAAAAAAGAATAAAAAGAAATGAGCAAAGCCTCCAAGAAATATGGGACTATGTGAAAAGACCAAATCTACATCTGATGGGTGTACCTGAAAGTGACGGGGAGAATGGAACCAAGTTGGAAAACACTCTGCAGGATATTATCCAGGAGAACTTCCCCAATCTAGCAAGGCAGGCCAATGTTCAGATTCAGGAAATACAGAGAACACCACAAAGATACTCCTTGAGAAGAGCAACTCCAAGACACATAATTGTCAGATTCACCAAAGTTGAAATGAAGGAAAAAATGTTAAGGGCAGCCAGAGAGAAAGGTCAGGTTACCCTCAAAGGGAAGCCCATCAGACTAACAGCGGATCTCTCGGCAGAAACCCTACAAGCCAGAAGAGAGTGGGGGCCAATATTCAACACTCTTAAAGAAAAGAATTTTCAACCCAGAATTTCATATCCAGCCAAACTAAGCTTCATAAGTGAAGGAGAAATAAAATACTTTACAGACAAGCAAATGCTGAGAGATTTTGTCACCACCAGGCCTGCCTTACAAGAGCTCCTGAAGGAAGCACTAAACATGGAAAGGAACAACCGGTACCAGCTGCTGCAAAATCATGCCAAAATGTAAAGACCATGGAGACTAGGAAGAAACTGCATCAACTAACGAGCAAAATAACCAGCTAACATCATCATGACAGGATCAAATTCACACATAACAATATTAACTTTAAATGTAAATGGACTAAATGCTCCAATTAAAAGACACAGACTGGCAAATTGGATAAAGAGTCAAGACCCATCAGTGTGCTGTATTCAGGAAACCCATCTCACATGCAGAGACACACATAGGCTCAAAATAAAAGGATGGAGGAAGATCTACCAAGCCAATGGAAAACAAAAAAAGGCAGGGGTTGCAATCCTAGTCTCTGATAAAACAGACTTTAAACCAACAAATATCAAAAGAGACAAAGAAGGCCATTACATAATGGTAAAGGGATCAATTCAACAAGAAGAGCTAACTATCCTAAATATATATGCACCCAATACAGGAGCACCCAGATTCATAAAGCAAGTCCTGAGTGACCTACAAAGAGACTTAGACTCCCATACATTAATAATGGGAGACTTTAACACCCCACTGTCAACATTAGACAGATCAACGAGACAGAAAGTCAACAAGGATACCCAGGAATTGAACTCAGCTCTGCACCAAGCAGACCTAATAGACATCTACAGAACTCTCCACCCCAAATCAACAGAATATACATTTTTTTCAGCACCACACCACACCTATTCCAAAATTGACCACATAGTTGGAAGTAAAGCTCTCCTCAGCAAATGTAAAAGAACAGAAATTATAACAAACTATCTCTCAGACCACAGTGCAATCAAACTAGACCTCAGGATTAAGAATCTCACTCAAAACCTCTCAACTACATGGAAACTGAACAACCTGCTCCTGAATGACTACTGGGTACATGACGAAATGAAGGCAGAAATACAGATGTTCTTTGAAACCAACGAGAACAAAGACACAACATACCAGAATCTCTGGGACGCATTCAAAGCAGTGTGTAGAGGGAAATTTATAGCACTAAATGCCCACAAGAGAAAGCAGGAAAGATCCAAAATTGACACCCTAACATCACAATAAAAAGAACTAGAGAAGCAAGAGCAAACACATTCAAAAGCTAGCAGAAGGCAAGAAATAACTAAAATCAGAGCAGAACTGAAGGAAATAGAGACACAAAAAAACCCTTCAAAAAATTAATGAATCCAGGAGCTGGTTTTCTGAAAGGATCAACAAAATAGACCACTAGCAAGACTAATAAAGAAAAAAAGAGAGAAGAATCAAATAGACGCAATAAAAAATGATAAAGGGGATATCACCACCGATCCCACAGAAATACAAACTACCACCAGAGAATACTACAAACACCTCTACGCAAATAAACTAGAAAATCTAGAAGAAATGGATAAATTCCTCGACACATACACTCTCCCAAGACTAAACCAGGAAGAAGCTGAATCTCTGAATAGACCAATAACAGAAGCTGAAATTGTGGCAATAATCAATAGCTTACCAACCAAAAAGAGTCCAAGACCAGATGGATTCACAGCCGAATTCTACCAGAGGTACAAGGAGGAACTGGTACCATTCCTTCTGAAACTATTCCAATCTATAGAAAAAGAGGGAATCCTCTCTAACTCATTTTATGAGGCCAGCATCATTCTGATACCAAAGCCAGGCAGAGACACAACCAAAAAAGAGAATTTTAGGCCAATATCCTTGATGAACATTGATGCAGAAATCCTCAATAAAATACTGGCAAAACGAATCCAGCAGCACATCAAAAAGCTTATCCACCATGATCAAGTGGGCTTCATCCCTGGGATGCAAGGCTGGTTCAATATATGCAAATCAATAAATGTAATCCAGCATATAAACAGAGCCAAACACAAAAAACACATGATTATCTCAATAGATGCAGAAAAGGCCTTTGACAAAATTCAACAACCCTTCATGCTAAAAACTCTCAATAAATTAGGTATTGATGGGACGTATTTCAAAATAATAAGAGCTATCTATGACAAACCCACAGTCAATATCATACTGAATGGGCAAAAACTGGAAGCATTCCCTTTGAAAACTGGCACAAGACAGGGATGCCCTCTCTCACCACTCCTATTCAACATAGTGTTGGAAGTTCTGGCCAGGGCAATTAGGCAGGAGAAGGAAAGAAAGGGTATTCAATTAGGAAAAGAGGAAGTCAAATTGTCCCTGTTTGCAGATGAAATGATTGTATATCTAGAAAACCCCATTGTCTCAACCCAAAATCTCCTTAAGCTGATAAGCAACTTCAGCAAAGTCTCAGGATACAAAATCAATGTACAAAAATCACAAGCATTCTTATACACCAATAACAGACAAACAGAGAGCCAAATCATGAGTGAACTCCCATTCACAATTGCTTCAAAGAGAATAAAATACCTTGGAATCCAACTTACAAGGGATGTGAAGGACCTCTTCAAGGAGAACTACAAACCACTGCTCAAGGAAATAAAAGAGGATACAAACAAATGGAAGAACATTCCATGCTCATGGGTAGGAAGAATCAATATCGTGAAAATGGCCATACTGCCCAAGGTAATTTAGAGATTCAATGCCATCCCCATCAAGCTACCAATGCCTTTCTTCACAGAATTGGAAAAAACTACTTTAAAGTTCATATGGAACCAAAAAAGCGCCCACATCGCCAAGTCAATCCTAAGCCAAAAGAACAAAGCTGGAGGCATCACACTACCTGACTTCAAACTATACTACAAGGCTACAGTAACCAAAACAGCATGGTACTGGTACCAAAACAGAGATATAGATCAATGGAACAGAACAGAGCCCTCAGAAATAATGCCACATATCTACAACTATCTGATCTTTGACAAACCTGAGAAAAACAAGCAATGGGGAAAGGATTCCCTATTTAATAAACGGTGCTGGGAAAACTGGCTAGCCATATGTAGAAAGCTGAAACTGGATCCCTTCCTTACACCTTATACAAAAATCAATTCAAGATGGATTAAAGACTTACATGTTAGACCTAAAACCATAAAAACCCTAGAAGAAAACCTAGGCAATACCATTCAGGACATAGGCATGGGCAAGGACTTCATGTCTAAAACACCAAAAGCAATGGCAACAAAAGACAAAATTGACAAATGGGATCTAATTCAACTAAAGAGCTTCTGTACAGCAAAAGAAACTACCATCAGAGTGAACAGGCAACCTACAAAATGGGAGAAAATTTTTGCAACCTACTCATCTGACAAAGGGCTAATATCCAGAATCTACAATGAACTCAAACAAATTTACAAGAAAAAACAAACAACCCCATCAAAAAGTGGGCAAAGGACATGAACAGACACTTCTCAAAAGAAGACATTTATGCAGCCAAAAAACACATGAAAAAATGCTCATCATCACTGGCCATCAGAGAAATGCAAATCAAAACCACAATGAGATACCATCTCACACCAGTTAGAATGGCAATCATTAAAAAGTCAGGAAACAACAGGTGCTGGAGAGGATGTGGAGAAATAGGAACACTTTTACACTGCTGGTGGGACTGTAAACTAGTTCAACCATTGTGGAAGTCAGTGTGGCGATTCCTCAGGGATCTAGAACTAGAAATACCATTTGACCCAGCCATCCCATAACTGGGTATATACCCAAAGGACTATAAATCATGCTGCTATAAAGACACATGCATACGTATGTTTATTGCGGCACTATTCACAATAGCAAAGACTTGGAACCAACCCAAATGTCCAACAATGATAGCCTGGATTAAGAAAATGTGGCACATATACACCATGGAATACTATGCAGCCATTAAAAAATGATGAGTTCATGTCCTTTGTAGGGACATGGATGAAATTGGAAATCATCATTCTCAGTAAACTATCAGAAGAACAAAAAACCAAACACCGCATATTCTCACTCATAGGTGGGAATTGAACAATGAGACCACATGGACACAGGAAGGGGAACATCACACTCTGGGGACTGTTGTGGGGTTGGGGGAGTGGGGAGGGATAGCATTGGGAGATATACCTAATGCTAGATGACGGGTTAGTGGGTGCAGCGCACCAGCGTGGCACATGTATACATATGTAACTAACCTGCACAATGTGCACCTGTACCCTAAAACTTAAAGTATAATAAAAGAAAAAAAAAGTCATATACAAAAAAGATACTTGCACACACGTTTATAGCAGCACAATTTACAATTGCAAAAATATGGAACTAGCCCAAATGCCCATCAATCAATGAGTGGATAAAGAAAATGTTGTATAGCTGGGCGTGGTGGCCCACATCTGTAATCCCAGCACTTTGGGAGGCCGAGGCAGGTAGATCACCTGAGGTCAGGAGCTCGAGACCAGGCTGGCCAACATGGCGAAACCCCATCTCTACTAAAAGTACAAAAATTAGCCGGGCATGGTGGTGGGCGCCTGTAATCCCAGTTACTCGGGAAGCTAAGGCAGAATTGCTCGAACCAGGGAGGCAGAGGTTGCAGTGGGCCGAGATTGCGCCATTGTACTCCAGCCTTGGCAACAAGAGCAAAACTCTGTCTCAAACAAACAAACAAACAAAAAAAAAAAAACAAAAGAAAATGTGGTATATATACATACTATGAAATACTACTCAGCCATAAAAAGGAACAAAATAATGGCATTCACAGCAACCTGAATGGAATTAGAAACTATTATTCTAAGTGAAATAACTCAGAAATGGAAAACCAAACATCATAGGTTCTCACTCATAAGTGGGAGTTAAGCTATGAGGATGAGAAGGCATAAGAAGTGATACATTGGACTTTGAGGACTCTGGGGAAAAGGTGGGAGGGGGGTGAGGGATAAAAGACTACACATTGGATACAGTGTACACTGCTCAGCTGATGGGTGCACCAAAGTCTCAGAAATCACCACTAAAGAATTTACGTATGGAACCAAACACTACTTGCTCCCTAAAAAACCTATTGAAATAGGCTGGGCGCGGTGGCTCACACCTGTAATCCCAGCACTTTTGGAGGTCGAGGGCAGATCACTTGAGGTCCGGAGTTCAAGACCAGCCTGACCAACATGGAGAAACCCCATCTCTACTAAAAATACAAAATTAGCTGAGCGTGGTGGTGCATGCCTGTAATCCCAGCTACTCCGGAGGCTGAGGCAGGAGAATTGCTTGAACCCGGGAGGCAGAGGTTGCAGTGAGCCGAGATCGTGCCATTGCACTCCAGCCTGGGCAACAAGAGCAAAATTCCGTCTCAAAAAACAAACAAACAAACAAACAAACAAAAAAACCTATTGACCTATTGAAATAAAAAATAAAAAAAAGGAAAGTCACAAAAAATAATAAATTGCTCAAAATCGTACAGAAGTAGAGCAAGTAGCTGCTCACACAATTTCCTTTACCCTTGTCTGTCTCTATAGATTATCATGGAGTGTGTGTATGTCTGCACATACACATGTGTGTACCTATGTGTTTTCAAAAGAGAAGGAGTGGAGAACTGGGGGAGATACCAAAGATATTGCCACCTGGCACTAAAGATCAATAGAAAGTGGGGTAACTATGGGAAATTTACTTCTGACCCAGCTACATGCTATAGAGAGAGTTAGGAAATAAAGCCAAATGCATCAGAGGTTTCCCCTAGGATGACCAGTTAATTTATCATCCAAACTAGGTCAGTCTTGAAAAGTGAAAGAGGACATTATTAATAATTACCCTGGGACAAAAGGTGTAAACTGGGACTGTCCTAGGCAAACTGGGACCTAGAGGACTCTAATAACCAAAGTGCATTGCAGTAACTCCACCTCAAGTTCAAGAAAGCTGAGCAAATATATTAAGTATGGATTGTTGGGTATGAAGATGATAAAGTAGTTGGTCAGAGTGGGATTCACTGAGTCCTTGACATTTGAGCAAATGCTTGAAGGAGGTGAAAGGTGGCCACACAGGTGTCTGGGAGAAGATCAGGGGAAACCAGTGCCCAAGCTGAGGCAGGAGCATGCCAGGTGTGTTCAGGGAACAGCAGTCAGTGCAGCTGGAGCAGAGTGAGTGGGGTGCATGTTATGCAGAGCCTTGTAAGTCATTAAGAGGGACTTTGGCATTTATTCTGAGTACAACCAGGAGCTACTGCAGGCTTTTGAGTAGAGAAAAGACATCATCTGACTTGCATTTCTATCGATATGTTCTACTGAAATGAACTTCAGAGGGACAAAGTTGGAGGCAAGGAGGTCAATTAGGATGCTATTGCAGTCATCCAGGCTAAGGAATAATGGTACCTCAGATCTGGGAGTCTACAGTGGGGGTGGTGAGAGGTTGTCAGATTCTGGATATATTTTGAAACAGTCTTGAGATTTTCTAATGGGTTGATTGGCTGTGAGTTGGCAGAGAGAAGTCAAGGATGATTCCTGGGCCTTTTCTCTCAGCCACTAAGATAGAGAAAGCTGCAGGCAGAACAGGTTTTGAGGGGAGTTCAGACATTCAGATGGAGATGCCAAGCAGGCCCTTAGGTGAAGGAGTCTGGAGTCTGAAAGCATTTGGGATGGGGATATAGACTTGAGAGCCATCAGCTTATAAATAGGACTTGGTCAAGAATGGGTGGCCTCCATCCTAGATGGATATAAATAAGAAATAAATATCAATTTTTCTTCTTATAACATTCCTAGGTTTTCATTTTTATGACTTTAAGAAAAATATGAATGACAAAAATAAAACATAAAATCAAATATATCTGTATTGCCCTTTGGGGGACACCATCTCTTGCTCACTTTACACAGTAAGTGCCATTTCCTTCACCTCCATGGAAAACATTTCGTAAATTACTAAGTTGAATAACTTAAAATATAGGACGGGAACATACATTTTAAAGGAATGCCTTTGTAAATGAGAAATTGTTTTTATAAAGTGATTGATGACTTTTCTTTCCCATTCTCTCTATTCTATTTTTTATTTTAAATTTTAAATGTGAGTACTAGAACTTCATTGACTGGGTGACTTGCAGTAGTCCAGCAATAAGCCCGGGCACACCTTGTACCCTAGGTGGCGCCTCAGGCTTGGGCTCCCTCGGTCACCTTCTCATCAGCATCTCAAAGAAGCATCTCAGCGAAATTGGCCTAACTCCTTCCCTTTCACTTCCTGGGACTTGAGGAAGAGAGAGAAGGAGCCAGGAGTAAAGAAACCTACGGTAGCAGGTGGGACGCAAATGCCCCACCTCCTGGCCACTGCCCCAGTACTGTTGGCCAAAGTCACTGCCTTTTGTTTCTCGTCAGTGAAAATGTGCAGTCACAAAGCCCCGAGAGCTGGGGAGTTCGTGTAACACAGCCCCTGAGCCAGTAACAGACCACAGGCCCTCCCTGAGGTGCTGAGCACCAGGGCAAGTGAGGACATGGAGGGACACAGCGGGGAGCATGGTCTGGAGCAGCAGAGAAGATGGGGTGACAATCATGGCACTCCCCACGCTTCTCTCCTGGAGCCCCTGGAGCCAGGGTGGCTCCGCTTCCTCACCCTGTCCCCTGTACTTGAGAGTCCACAGCTGCCCCCAGCTGCTCTCATGCAACAGAGCAGGGCTGCAGGAGCTGTCTGTCTATCCCTCCTCAATTTCTATGACATCAGCTGATACAGCTGTCACCAGAGAGGTCTGGGGGGGATGGGGAGCAGCAAAAAGACAAGCATGGGGAGATGTGTGTCCTGTGCCCTTGTCTTCCTTCCCCACTGAACTGTCCAGCTACCAGGACAGGAGCCATGCTGCAGACTCCACTCACACAGTCTAGTGCCTCTGGTATGAGTGCCTCAGCAAAGAAAAAAGCATCTGATAGATGCAAAACCTTCCAGGAGCACAGCCACCATGGAACGCAAGTCCCCACCTGTCTGTGCTGCCGTGTCTACTCTCCGCAAAATCCACCAGTTCCAATAAGTGAGAGCAAAGGAAGTCATGAGATAAGCTCCCCCAGAGCCAAGCCCTGGACCAGTCTCAGCACAGCCGGGATGTAGACACATTTCAGAAGCTTGGACCTTCTGGAATGTTGTAGAAACAAGGGGCATTGGCAGAAGTAAAATGCAGAATTGGATCTTAAACATGAAGTTCCTTGGGAGCCTTTTGAGTAATACAAGATCAAATTAGAAACCCCACAATGAAGTAACATGCTGATACCAAGAGCAAGCTATTCTAGCTACACATACACACACACACACGTATTCCTCAGACTACATTTCTAGATTGCAAAGAAAAGCTACATCCCCATGAGCTGAGGCCCACAGTGCAGACGAGATGGAACTCATTCCATGTTGGCCTGTAGGTTTATACCTGGTGTGACCATGAGCCTAGTGCTGGGACCCTACTCAGACCATCAACCAGGGCTCTAGGCCTGCGTCTTCCAGGGAGAACTAGCAGCACCCCCAGCCTTGCTGTCTCCCAATTCTATGCATCAGGTCATTACCCAGGCTGCTTTCTGGTCCCCACATGTAGCTCAGAGCCCTGAGATCACACGGATCTGCCCAGCCCTGGGAGGAGGCAGTCTGCCCACTGGAGACATTCCATTCCATTCCATACACTTCAATATGTTCATTATAGACGTGAGCTCCAAGAGGGTCTGGAACCCCCAGACTGTTGTTCTTACTGCACATGGTAAGTGGAGAAAACAAAATATCCACTGAAAAGACAATGGCTGAGACAAGACCATGTTATGAAGGATACATTTGTGTTTAGTCCCTTTGAACATTCTAATAGGCAGTTTTAGAACAAATAGGAGGAAGTCCTCTTTACATGGGTGCAAAGTAACTTCAGCAACTTGTTTTCACCAAGCAATAGTACAAGGTGAAAACAGAAATATTCTTAAGACCAAAAACATTTAAACATTTCTCAGTGTAATGAGGGGGGAAAAAAAAGCACTTTCAGCTGTAGTACATGACTTTATACCTATGTTTAAAAATGCACATACAGTTAACAACACTGTATTATATACTTGAAATTTTTGTTAAGAGGGTAGATTTCATGTTAGCTTTCTTACCACATTAAGAGGCATAGGGTGTGGCACCCAAGCACAGTGGCTCATGCCTGTAATCCCAGCACTTTGGGAGGTCAAGGTGGGAGGATCCCTTGAGGCCAGGGGTTCAAGACCAGCCTGGGAAACATATGGAGGCCCCCTCTCTTATTAAAAAAAAAAAAAAAAAAAGCAGATGGGGTGGGGTGGCACAAGCTGGGTGCAGGGGCATATGCCATTATTCCCAGCTACCTAGAAGGCTGAGGCCAAAGGATCGCTCTCAGTAACATAGTGAGACCCCCATCTCTAAAAATAAATAAATTTTAAGTTGGCTGGGAATATGGCTCATGTCTGTAATCCCAGCACTTTAGGAGGCCGAGGCGGGCAGATCTCCTGAGGTTGGGAGTTTGAGACCAGCCTGACCAACATGGAGAAACCCCGTCTCTACTACAAATATAAAAAATTAGCCAGGTGTGGTGGCACATGCCTGTAATCCTAGCTACTCGGGAGGCTGAGGCAGCAGAATTGGTTGAACCCAGGAGGCAGAGGTTGTGGTGATCTGAGATCATGCCATTGCACTCCAGCCTGGGCAACAAGAACAAAAACTGTCTCAAAAAAAAAAAAAAAATTTAAAAGAGCGTAGCCATGAGGAAACTTTTGGAGATGATGGATATATTTATTACCTTGATTGAGGTGATAGTTTAACGGGTGTTTACATATGTCCAAACTCATCAAATTATTAATGCACATATTAAATATGTACTTTTTTGCATAACAATTACACCTCAATAAAGCTGTTACAAGAATTTAAAGTGTTCCCCAATTGCCCAACAGAAGTCACTGTAACCCTCTCTGGAAGAGCCTGACTTCAATTAAGCAAGACACATCCTGAGTTCAAAGACATTAAAAGAAAGAGCATCAGAGAATGGATGACCTGGGGTGGCTCTAATTTTATAAAGCATTAGAAAGCAATAAAATATACATAAAATGTGAGTTGCTTGAGTGTCCCTGAATATGTCTGACCCTCAGAAGTCCCTCAGGTCCTCCAGGACTATCTGTGTCCTTATCACACACAGCAGACAGCAGTGTAGTAGTGTGTAGTGTAGACAGCAGACAGCAGTCCCATCTGCTCCCTGTCTACACTGGAGTCAATGCAAGAAAGGGAATTCCTCTGTGTATTTCATTTCCGACAAGAGGCCAGCAGGGGTGAAAAAAAGCTGAGCGGGTGGGAGAAAGGAAGGGCATTGCTTCCATAGACATGGACTGAGGGCCACTGAACAGAGAGGGAAGGATGCAGAAACCAGCTGCCAGGGCCCTGGCTCAGGGGACATGTAGTGTGGCCTGTGGTACAGGCAGGTCACCATCGAGTCCATAGACGCAGCCCCCAAAACTTCCAAAAGGTGCTCCTTTGCCTCCTGCACAGGTCTGGGTCATGAAGGTTCCTTCCCTGAAGGGATCAAATCCTATCTGGAAACCCATGGAAAAAGCCCTGACATAATTAAAAGTGCAAGACTGTCGAGAACCAGACACTCTACGCTCTGTGAGTCAGAGAAGGGAGAAGTCAGGTCACCTGAGGAAGACTTTTGTTTGGTTGTTTGTGTCTTTTGCCTTTTTGTTTGTGAAGAGGTTTGCATAGAGGAGGTGGGCTCTGAAGGGCCTCAGAGGATTGAGAGCCCCTCCTGAAGCCCAAGGTTGTAAAATGTGTACCTCCTGGTGGGGATGCTGGGCCCAGGACTGTGGCTGTGGGCTCCTCCTGCACACATGCTGCAGGTGACGGGCTCATTCTGAGCCTCTCCCCACTCTTTCGGGATGTCTTCAGGTGGATGCCCCCAGGCTGCCCCATCTGCAGTGTGTAGACAGTGCAGGTCTCAGCAGCTGCCCCCTCCCCACTCCAGGCCCTGGTCCATGATGTGTCCCCTGCCCCCTAACTGGCTAAGTACCTGCCCTGGGAAGAAGCAGGAGATGAGGCAGAACCCTCCCAAACACACAGACCCAGTGATGGAAGGTCCAGTGCCCACGGGGCACCCAGGCCCCACCAGGAGTTGGCTTTGCTCAGTCCAGGGCTCCTTCAAGTCCTGGGCATCCTGCCAGGCCTCATTCCCCACATGCTTAGTGAACATCTTCCACTAACAATACAAATGGGGAGAAGAGCACCATAGGAACATTCCCGTGAGTTTAGCTACTTCTCAAAGGAAGGAAAAAATAAACATGCATGCCGACAAAGCAGCTATGTTGGCAAGGAGGGGGTGTCAGACTCCTTTGCTGTTCACGTGGAATCCCATTGCTTGAAGCCTGGTGGGCCTAACTCCCACTTTACAGCTGAGGCTCCTGAGACCCAGAGAGGGAAATGGTCTGTCCAAGACCATGGCTTCCATCAACAGCTGAGCTGGTGGAAGGCAGGTGCCCTGAATAACCAGCTGGAGGCAGGTGGTCTCCTTGCACTCCAAAAGGCTGGATGCTATGCCAGAGGCTGAGCCCCACACAGGTGTCTCTTTCATTGTGTAAATGTCCAAAACTCACCTGCTGACCTCCCAGGATGCTTTTACAGCTAATCAAAATAAGAAACCTACTGAGATCACACTTCCCAAGGCCCTTTTCCCAGAGCATTCTAACTCTGTACGCCCCTCTCCCAACCACCCTGACTCCCAGATGTTAAGAACGTTAACAGAGTCAGTGTCCACACTCGCCTGATCTTTTGCTCTTCCCAGAAAAATCAGCCCAATTCGTGTCAGGCCTAGGAAAACGTAGGCTTACGTGGACTTCTCTTTTCTTTGTAGTTGCTAACTCAGGGCGTATCACCTTCGCAGCTTGGGGTATTCTGAACAAACCTCTCAACAGCAGCCTCCACTCACTACAGTGTCCCCCAGACAGAAGAGGATGTTTGCCATTATTACAAGGACATCCTCTTGGGGGACTGAGGGAGAGTTAGGGAGGGATGCAGAAAATTATGAGGACAGAACAAGGAAAGGAAAGAAAGGGCATATGTTTCCTTGCTGGAGAGGGGGAGGAAGCAGAGATGAGGAGGAAAGGGGCGCACAGAAGGGGTGAAGAGAGGAGGAGGAGAGGAGGAGAGGAGGAGAGGGGGAAGAGGGGGAAGTTAGGGAAGAGGACCAGAGGGGAGGGAGCCAGGAAGGTAGAAAATGGCTTGCAAAAACGGGGCTCCCAGGCAGGACCCCTAGCCTTCAGCTTCCCTCGGAGGTGGGGCGGGCAATGGCAACCCGTGTCCTCACTTGGCCATCTCTGCGGTTCCCGAAAGCAGCAGACGCCTGGACTCAGAGCCCCAGGGGTGGCCTGCAGAGACCTCACCCATCCAGTGTGGGGTGAGGCTGAGGGATGAAGGCCACTCCCTGTCTTGTGTCTCCTGCCTTTCTCACGGTATTCAGGGCTCTGGGGTCAGGCCCCTCAGACGGGGTGAGTGCAGGCCCTGAAGGCGCAGGCAGGGAGCAGTGCAGTCTTGGGCCACCACTCATCCGGGAAACCTGAGCTGGAGGTCAGCCCGGGAGGCCCGGTGGGGCGGCGCACTGGGTGGCAGCCAGGGTCTAGCCCCTCTCCCAGAGCCCACCCGAGGCTGCTGGGCCTTTGACTGGGGCTTCTGTCTGCCACCCTCGGGGTTCTTTGATGCTACATTGAACAGGGCACTGGGGTCACCAAAGAACTGGAAAAACTGGGAGTTGGCTGAGGCGAGCGCTCCCTGATGTCTGGAGCATGCGGCCTCGGCCACAGTCTGCACTACCACTTCGTCTTACCCATGAGGGGCTCGCTCCATCTTCCACCCCCGGGCCAAGCTTCCGCCTGATACACTGGCACTGCCAGAACTCCGGTGTGGTCCTCCTAACCCAAACCTGGCTTGAAGGGTGGCTCAGGGAGGGCTTTGATGCCACCCCGCCGGCAGTGGTCCCTTCCGGGTCTCCAGGTACCTGGCCCCGCCGGGCTCATCCATTCAGCTCTGTCCTCCTGGGCCTCTGCATGGCTGCCTCTGTGCACCATTCATCAGCAGTTATCCGCCCAGCGCCCTGCGAGTCCAGGCCCCTACGCGGCAGCAATCCTGCCCAGCCCCTCTGTCCTGCCCTGTGTCTGGTGTGCACATTGAGGG
This sequence comes from Homo sapiens, assembly GCF_000001405.40. Taxonomy (NCBI): domain Eukaryota; kingdom Metazoa; phylum Chordata; class Mammalia; order Primates; family Hominidae; genus Homo; species Homo sapiens. The sequence continues at coordinate 49,762,172 of NC_000018.10, read as the reverse complement.
CCTGTTGGAGGCCCAACAGCCTCCATTCAAAGATTCTAACCATAGAATTCTGGGCACTGAGTGGAGAATGTTCTGGTCAACACAGCCTCTGCGCCCCTCCAGATCCTCCTGCCTTCAGATGGGGGCTGCCCTGGCTGCCAGATTCCACAAGACCAGCCCACCCGTTTCTCTCCTGGCATCCTTCTCCGTGGGCCACTGGGCCACAGGACAGCGAAGGGCCCCGAGGAGTGAGTGTGTGTGCGGAGTGAGTGTGTGTGCATGTGTGTCTGTGCATGTGTGTGCCTGTGCGTGTGTGCGTGTGCGTGTGTGTGCGCATGTGGATGTGTGGGGGGGATGTGTGGGGGGATGTGGGGTGTGTGGGGGGTATGTGGGGAGGGTGTGAGTGTGTGGGGGTATGTGTGTGGGGGGTGGGGGTGTGAGTGTGTGCATGGGGATGTGTGGAGGTGTGTGTGTGGGGATGTGGGGTGTGTGGGGGGGAGTGGGGGATGTGAGTGTGGGTGTGTGGGGGGTATGTGGGGAGGGTGTGTATGTGGGTGCGTGTGTGGGGGGTGGGGGGTGTGAGTGTGTGGGGTGTGTATGGGAGTGTGTGTGGGATGTGTTTGGGGGTGCATGTGGGGGGATGGGGTGTGTGAGGTGTGTGGAAGGTGTGAGTGCATGTGTATGTGGGGTACGTGTCTGTGAATGTGCATGTGTGAGAGTGTGGGGGTGGGGGCTGTGGGTGTGAGTGTGCATGTAGGGGGGTGCATGCATGTGTGGGGTGCGTGTGTGTGGGGTGTGTTTGGGGGGTATGGGGTGTGGGGGGGGGTATGGGGTGTGTGGGGTGTGTGGAGGGAAATGTGTGTGGGGGGTATGGGGTGTGTGGGGGTGTGTGTGTGTGTGTGTGTGAGTGTGTGGGGTCTGTGTAGGGGTATGAGTGTAGGTGTGTGTGAGTGTGTGGGGAGCCTGTCTGGCAAGTTTGCCGTTTGCTGAAGACCGGCAATGGCCGGGGCTTAGGCTCTGCCATTTCATGGAGGGGGACTGCGCCCTCATCCCCACCTGCCCCTGCCCCTAGGCAGCACCTCAGAACGACGCAGACGCCCTGAATGAGACCAGCTGGAGGTCTGGCGAGGGCAGCAGGCACAGTTTGGGATGAGCTGGGCAAGCCCTGGCCCTGCGCATTTCCCGACCACATGGTCCCCTCGTTTTTTTTTTTTTTTCCCAAGACAGAGTCTTTCTCCGTCACCCAGGCTGGAGTGCAGTGGCGCTCTCAGCTCACTATAACCTCCACCTCCTGGGTTCAAGCAATTCTCCTGCCTCAGCCTCCCGAGCAGCTGGGATTACAGGCACCCGCCACCACACCCAGCTAATTTTTGTATTTTTAGTGGAGACGGGGTTTTACCATGTTGGCCAGGCTGGTCTCGAACTGGCTGGTCTTGAACTCCTGACCTCGTGATCCGCTCTTCTCGGCCTCCCAAAGTGCTGGGATTACAGGCGTGAGCCACTGCGCCTGCGACCCTGGTGCCCTCTTTTTTTTTTTTTTTTTTTTTTTTGAGAAGGAGTCTCGCTCTGTTGCCCAGGCTGGAGTCCAGTGTCTCAATCTCGGCTCACCGCAACCTTCGCCTCCCGGGTTCAAGCAATTCTCTGCCTCAGCCTCCCGAGTAGCTGGGATTACAGGCGCCTACTACCACGCCCAGCTAATTTTTGTATTTTTAGTAGAGACAGGGTTGCACCATCTTGGCCAGGCTGCTCTTGAATTCCTGACCTCAGGTGATCCACCTGCCTCGGTCTCCCAAAGTGTTGGGATTATAGGCATGAGCCACCATGCCCAGCCCGGTGCCCTAATTTCTAAGGTGAGCCACTGCGGAGTTCTGAGGCCTCTTCCGCCGCCCCCGCAGAGGGACTCCCATATCCCAGGGAGGCACCTGAGGAGGAAGTGGCTTTAACTTACAGGAAAACTGTAGATATTCACTGAGAGCTTCCTCTGGCAGGCCTTCATCCAAGCTCCCCAGGTGCTAATTATCAGCACCTCCTGTTCAGATAAGGAACCCGAAACCCGCAGGGCGGGAGAATAGCCCAGCCTCAGGGAGCTCCTGCATGGTGGAGGTAGGCTTTGAACAGGCAGCCAGACCGACCCCAACACGTCCCCTGCCCCCTGACCTTGCACAGGAACCCCACCTCACCCTTCACTCTCTGCCTCCATCTGGACAGACTATCCTCGGAGCCCTTTAAGCCTTCCTTTAACCAGCCCCCCACCCCCTACACACACACACACACACACACACACACACACACACACACACACACACACACTCTTCCTGCAGCCAGAGTGGCCCCACGCAGTTGATGGGCCCCGCCCCCAGCCCCCGGTACTGTGTCCCTGGCCAGACTGTAAGCTCCTTACAACAGGTTAGGGGGAGGGGGGACGCTCACATGCTCCGAGAAGGCCTGGATTTCCCAGCACAAGGCTGATCCTGAATAAGCTGGATGTTGGGCGTGACCCCCACTCTCTCAACACATCCCTCCCAGTCCCCCCAGCAGCTCTTAGGGGTGAAATAAGGGCTTGGGGGTTCGTGGTGAAGTCAGTTTGGGACATACTCAGGGTTCTATAGGTTTCTTCACTGCAGGGCTTCTCAGAGCTTTCAAAAGGCTAAACACTCACTGGTCAGCTGAAAGAGGAAGATGCAGTGCACAGGTGCGGCAGCTCCCCAAAGGGAGGTGACCAGGGAACAGACCCTTTATCACTGAGTATCTCAAGGGAGGCCACTTTGAGAAACCCTGACCAGAGCACCGGTACCAACATCATTAGTCCCGCCCAACAGAGGGTCTCTAAATCACTGTAAGTTTGTGAATAGTATTGGAAGGACGTGCCCCAAGGATGAATAAACCCTCCTGAGATGTCATAGCCTCTTATCCCCAATGCCTACCACCTTCTCCCCTGGAGTTGATCAGCTTGAACTTGTTGACAGCTTGTAGGCACTTTGCATTGTGGAAACCCACCCCCATCAGCCAGCAGGAGAAAGAGTCAGGGCAGCTTCTGGACCATCAGGAAGCTAAATCATCCCTCGGGAAACTCCAAGTTGATGTTAATGGCACTGGGGGTGGGGGAGGAGGAGAGGCTGTGAAAACACCGGCCTCACGCTGAATGCTACCTGAACAATGAGAAAACACCCCACATGGCGCAGTTCGCAGCACGCCTTCACATCCATTTCTTTATTTGGTCCTCACAATAGCTCTGTGTGGTGATTAAAAACAAATACCACTGGCCGGGCGCGGTGGCTCACGCCTGTAATCCCAGCACTTTGGGAGGCCGAGGCGGGTGGATCACAAGGTCAAGAGATCGAGACCATCCTGGTTAACATGGTAAAACCCCGTCTCTACTAAAAATACAAAAAACTTAGCCGGGCTTGGTGGAGGATGCCTGTAGTCCCAGCTACTCGGGAGGCTGAGGCAGGAGAATGGCATGAACCTGGGAGGCAGAGCTTGCAGTGAGCCGAGATCGTGCCACTGCCCTCCAGCCTGGGCTACAGAGCGAGACTCCATCTCAAAAAACAAACAAACAAAACAAAAACAAAAAGCAAATAGCACTAACGAAAATATGGCTGGGTGTGATTGTGTGTCTGGCTTTGCTCAATGGAGTAAATTTGCCAGGCGGACACAGGACCCTGGCTGGATTCCTCTTACTCTTTTTGCCCCAGCCCATCACCCTGCAATTCCTGTTGGCAGCATCCCCACAACACATCCCAGGCCGACTCCTTCACTCCCTGACACTGACGCCCTAGTCCAGGCCACCTGGGCACTGCCACAGCCTCCCAGTGGTCTTCTGACTTCCACTCCTGCCACCCTGGAGCCTGTTCTTAACACAACGGCCACCTCAAGTCAACCCCCTGCTTAAAATTCTACAGTGGCTTTCCATTGCATTTGGAGAAACATTCCCAGTCCTTCTGGCTTCATCTGCTCTGCCTGCTCCAGCCCCTCCCACCTCCCCGCCCATCCCGAGGTGCCCCACCCACATCCCCGCCCACTTGAGAAAGCCCCACCCATCCCTGCCGGCCCCGCCCCACCTGCTGCCCTCAGCTGCTCAGCAAACCCCAGCTCTTACCCCCGGCCCCTGCCAGGCTTCTGCCCTGCCTGGCATCCTCCCCAACTCTGTCTCCTCATTCATGTCTCTGCCCAAATGTCATCTTCACAGAGAGACTCGCCCTTGACTCACTGGCCCGCCACCAACCGCTCTATGGCATCACGGTCTCTATGGCCTTTATTCTGAATGCCGTCTTTCCTCTCAGTTTGCTTCCACTTGGTTTTGCTCTGAGGGCAGAGGCAAGCGTCTTTATCACCACTCTACCTCCACACTGAGAAAAGCACCCGGCCCGCAGTGGATGCTGGACAGTGGGACGGTGAATGGTCAGTGACCTCTTGACCTCACCCCCTCATCTGCAATGGGGCCCAAGAGGGTCTCCAAGTCTGCCCTGGCTCTCACGTTTATCTTCCCTTCCCTCCGTCCTGCTCATCCAGAGCCACACATTGGCTGTCGCACACTGGCTCGGTTTGGTCGCCAAATTCTTGATCTCATCCTTTCCGCAATTCAGGACAGAAGGGAGACAAGATGGAGGAGAAAATGATCCCAGGAGATGCCGAAGAGGCGAAGGGCTCAGAAAGGAAGACATTGTTTCTAGGAGTGGGTGGGGTCTTTCCGGCCTGTGCCCTCACACAGACTGCAGTGCATTCAAAGTCAGAGGGGACAGAGGGTCAGAGCTGCTCTGTGACAAGAGACCAGGTGGGCAGCAGGGGCTCTGGGAGGTGGCAAGGTCAGGATCCAGAAGAGGGCCCAGCTCTTGCCACGAAGGACAGGAGGCCCAGAGACCTCAGCCTGGCCCATCCGCCAGACCAAGGCCCAGTTTAGGACAAAGCTCCCTCCACCCAGAACACCCAAGCTGACTTTGTTCCTCTTTTAGGCAGTTTTTGATAATTCTTTGAGCCAGGGTGACCCTATCGGTTATTGCTCAAGCTGGATACTTTTGAGAGTCAAAGGGGAACTATTAATAATTAAGCCAGGACAACAGGCATAAGGTAGGCCCGTCTCAGGCAAGTCGGGGTGTAGGGTCACACTATTTTAATCCCATTTCACTAGATTAAACATCATAAAATATAATGCAGGCAAGGAGGCCCAAGATGCTCCTAGAGAATTAATCCATCCTTGCAAATTCAAGAAAAAACTCGTAGTAGGGGGAGAGGCAGGAAGATGTGAATTCTAAATCAAGCCACCCATGACTCCTGGTAAAGTGGACAGGGCCTGGCAAGGGTGACTCTAGACACAGTCACAGTGGCCTTGGGTACCTTCCCTCTCCACCACATTGGTGAGGATTGGGCAGACCATAAAGACCGGGAGGGCTCTGAGGAGGTGGTGAGCGTGCACAGATGCACACCTGCCACTGCCTTGTTCCCCGTGTCTCACCCCCAGCTGCAGTTACCTAGTATTTGTCAGGAAGGTACATTCCAGGCCATGAAACCTTCTGAGTGTTCTGAGCTCCTGCAGACCCAGGAGCTAAATGCAGTTGATGGGAGCCATTCATTCCCCATGAAGTCAGTGGACTGTCTTGGAAAATGCTCCCTAAACGCTATCTTGTGGCCTAGAGGGCACTGGGCAGAGAAGGTGAATTAATGCCATTATTTAGCTGATACTTTCTCCTTGCAAAGGCTCTCTGGTTTCTCTCAACGCAGCCCCAGGACTCACTCGTGGGCTGTCTCCCTTGCTTTTCCACCAGTTTGTTTGGTTTTATTCCACTGTGTTTCCTTAGTTCGCCTGTCTGCACTTGGCTGCCCCATGATCTGCCCTGACAGAAGCGTTGGAATTTTCTGAGTCCAGCCACAGAGGTGCCTGTCCAGCATGGAGCAGCCAGCAAGCCCGGCTGGACTCCAGAGTGGAGCCTTTGCGAGGGGCCAGTCATGGTTCTCTCTGAAAAATTCATTCACTGGGTCCCCTGGTCACCCTGCATTAGAGAGTCTCCTTCCAGTTCTGTAGGCCCAAGAGCCCCCAGTGATGAGTAGACAGGAATAAGAATCAGGGGTCAGTGACTGAGTGGTTGTGGAGACTGCAGGCATTCCCCTGTGCTCAGTGACAGTGGTGGGTTCTGCCGCTATTCACCAACAGCACATCCTGATCAGGGCCCTGCTGTGTGCTGGGCCCTGTGCTAGGCACTGGGAGCAGCAGTGGACAAATGGAGAGAGGTCCCTGTCCTCACTGAGCTTACATTCAAATGGAGGAAACTGACAGTTCATAAATGGATATGTACTTAGGGTCAGTAGGTTCAGTAAAGAAAAGTACCAGGTGAGGACGTGGGAAGTAACTGAGGTTGGGGTGTGGAGTGTGTGCTATTTCAGGGAAGGATCAGGAAAGCCTCTTTGAGCAAAGACTGGAGTGAAATGAGGGTGCAGGACACAGAAACTCCCTGGGGAAGGACAGTCTCAGGCAGGAGGAACAGCAAATGGACATTCTCAAAACAGGGGGAGGCTCTGAGGCTTGAGAGGATAGAAGGACGCTGGAGTCAGCGAGGTGGTGACCAATGGCCAGAGTATCTGCCTTGTAGGCCAAGGTCAAAGGCTTCAATCTCCCAGTGAAACTAACGTAGGATCAACCCCCAGCACAATGCCTGGCACATAATAATCAGTAGGAGTAGCAAGGATGACAACGATGATAACGATGATGACAACCAGCATATCTGCTTAGTAAATATTTTCCTCTCAGTTACATGGTTTGCTGGGAGCTGGCAGGGGTTGGCAGGTGTGATAAACTAACCAGCACAGCTCTCAGGGCCCTTTCTCATCTATTATCTCACTGGATCTTTAGAGCAGCCTTGGAGGGTAAATGATTGGATATTATTATGATGCCACCTCTCAGTAGTTGCTTAACCTCCACTGGCCTTAGTTTCATCATCCGTAAAATGGGAGAATACCGACCCCCAAAGAAGTAATTTGAGGATTGAAGGAGACACACTGGGAAAGGAGGACACAACACCAACCAAATCGAAATGGAAATTAGCTCCATTTACGTTACAGATGATGAAACTGGAGCTTGAGCTCAGGTGCCCACGGGTTGCCTTCCATTCTTGCAGCACAGAAAACAAAGGCTGCTGAGTCAAACATGTTTGTGACTAGATGTATCTACCCAGAAGAATGTTCATTTGCCCAGAACACTCTTCCAATCCAAATGTCTGAGTCAGTGATTACATCCAGACAAGCTTGATGTGAGGATGTGATTTCTATCTTCCTCTGAGATAATTAACTGAAAGGTAGCAAAGTGAGTTTACTGATAGTTGTAAGTCGCTCATTTTCTAAGTATTAGAAAGCTAGAGAAAACCTTCATGGGCTTTTGCCTAAAAATGAGTTTAGTTCTCCACTGTGGATATGCAGAGCCCTTCCCTTCCCCATCTCCCTTCTGAAGATATTCTCAGGGGAGGGGCTGAAACTTATGGGAAATAGCAATAATACATATGAACATGTGTACTTGGGAAATGTGGGCCTTCACAGAAATGAGAGCATAAGATTAAGGACTTCATAGAAAAATATATATTGAATAACCACAAAAAGTTAAACATCAATTTTAAAGGGTATCTTGTGATAGAAATCGAAACAGTGATTGCCTCTGGGGCAGGCGGACATTGACTGGAAAAGAATATAAGGGAACCTCTCCCAGGAAATGCACATGTCTACAGTTTGTGAGGGGTGGTGGTTATTCCACAGGTATATACAATTGTCAAAAAGAGAGTTTTGATACATATGTCAGAACTATATGCATATGTACACCTAAGTGTGTGTTATTGTATGTGATTATACCTCAATAAAAAAGACTGCTGGAGAAAAGAATACTTCTTACAAAAGCAACAAAAATATAAAGAACGAATAAATAAATCTAACTGAAGATGTATAAAACATCAATGGAAAAAAGTACGAAACTTAATATTGAAGAAGTTAAATAGATATGCCAAGCTTGTGAATACAATGATTCAATGTTACAAAGATGTCAGTTCTGCCTAAATTAATTTTTGAAGTTACTGTACATTTCATATCACTGACAGTTTTAAATCCAATTAAACTTAATGTCAAGTATGTTGAGAAATGCTAACACATACACACTGCTAATAAAAGTGGAAAGAAATATCAAAAGTGCACATATTCTACAATCCAGCACCATCGCTCTTAGACACTTATCCTATCCCTCAGGTCTTCAAAAGGAAATATGTACAAGGATAGTCACTGCAGCATGATTTATAACAAAAGCAAAGACAAAAGACCTGGGAAACAGCCTAGATGCCTGTCAACCAGATGGATACATTGTGGTATTTTCACATAATGGAATACTATACAGCAGTGAACATGAATAAACTACAACTACATGTATCAACACATTGTGTGTGTGTGTGTGTGTGTGTGTGTAAATAAAATTTAGAAACACCTACACATGTAGCAAAAAAATAAAGAGATGCATGGGAATGATAAATAACAAATTAATTAGAGTGGTTACCCATGTTGGGAAGATAGGAAGTAAGGGAGGTTCAGTGCTTCTGCTTCTGGAAGGACTCTGGCCAAGGTTGTTGATGAGAGGAAGAATATGCCAGAGTTTTAATTGTATTTGTAACACTTTACTTTATAAGCTGGGTGATGGGTTCATGGGGGTGTATTACATTCTTTCTTATACTTTTTCTACATCTTAAGTATTTTATAATCATTCAAAAATCTTCACTGAGCCTAGATATTGACACCTGATATCAACCAACAGTTATCGTCCATCTAACTCAGGGATGCTGGGATTACAAGAAAGACAGGGCCCTTGCCATGACTCAGTTGTTAAGTTAGGCAAGATGCAACCCCCGGCTTATTGACTCTGAAACTGGAATATCAGACATCAGCATCAGCATGGGCAGGGATAAGCCAAACCTCTACCTCATTGCCACATAATCAAGTCTCTTGCCAGGGATCACTTAGGTAGCATGGAAAGTTTCCAGGGTTAACCTCAGAGGCAGTTTAAATATGCCCCTGCCCATGAGGGGGGACCCTCTTCCTTTTCTTGTGGGAAAACATGCAGAAGACCTTCCTGGGCTGTAAAACAACAACTTTGGCCAGAGTCCTTCCAGAGGCAGAAGCACCAGCTTCAACCAAAGCCATCTCCAGCCTGGAGACCTCCGGCCTGCAGGTAAGTGGAACTGGACAAGTGTTTGCTCAGCTCACACCAGGGAAGGCACATGCTTACTTTCTAGTTAGACAGAGTGCAGAAACATGAGGTTAACATGAAAATGGGCAAGTTAAATAGCAGATACCACTGCTATTTAAGGCACGACCTTTGCTGGGAATGCCAGATTGATGAGCCAAAAAGCAGTGCAGGCATTATAGTTTCCTGGACTTGGAGAAGTGAGCAGTCCCCTCTGGCTGCGCTATCCATTCTGTTCTTAGGCATGGCTGGGAGCCTGTCTCTGATTGGGGTATGTCTTAGAAGTGATTGTGTTCCTCCCTGAACACCCAACTCCATTGAATGGTTCCTGAAAAGGCCAGGGTTTCAGACCAAGTTGGCATCGCCTCTTCTAAGGCAAGTGATGACCAGAAACAGTCCAAGGCAGAGCTCTCAGTCAAGCTCAGCTTTGGGGCTTTGGTTCCCAGGTATCTGGAGATCAAGCATCCAATAAGGTACCCAAGATTCTGGTTACCACTTTCCCCAGTTCTTCCAGGGACCCTTGAATGGCCCTGGGCAAGTCACTTAACCTCCCCGTTTCTCCAGCTGTATCTCTACATCACAGTTATCAGGGGAAGAATGCAACAGGGGATGGAAAAGCACCTTCTGAAGTGTAAAGCAGTCTCCCACTGTGGGAGAGCATTGCCGGGAATCAAAGCCTTGAACTTAAGAATGTAGCTTTCCAAAGAGGATTGGGGCATCCGCTAATGGGTAGGAGAATTCTTTGGAGGCAGGGTGGACAGGAGGGCTCTGCGGGCCTCTGGGAACCATGCCCTAGGGATCCATCTATGGAAAGGCTAGCCCTGGAGAAAGTGCTGCTGGATGCATGACTGCTCAAAGTTGACACTCCAAATTGCCATCACCTGTGGAGACTTGTTTAGCAGGGCTGGGCAGAGCCAGATAATATTCACTTCTTTCCTATTGTCCAGAACAAAACCTGTCATCAACCTGTTCTCTCCACTGTCACTTATTGCTTGTTATTTGCTGTCACACACAAGCACACACATGTGCACACACATACACACACACATACAAAGCTACCACTTCCTGAGAACCTGCTACACCCAGGCTTTGGTTACATTTCATTGCTAAACCCTCACAACAACCCTTGCTACTCTCCGTCCCATCTTACACCAGAAAATTGCCACTCAGGAAGATTAAGCACCTCGTCCAAGGTGACATAGGCGGAAAGTGCTGGAAGAGGGATGTACTCCCAAATATGCATCAGCCACAGAATCGCCCTGCATTTCACCATCATGTGGTCTCTCCTTTAAAGTGATGATGACCATGAGCCAGTTTTCCCGGAGTGAGGATGGGGTGCTGGAGCCACCCACCCTATCCTGGCTGTCCCCACAGGGAGATTTGGGGTGGCAGCAGTGGGGAGGAGGTTGATGGCTCTGTCTGCAGCCCTGGAACACAGTGGGGCTGCTGAGCCCTACCGGGGTCACTGGCAGGGGACCCTCCCCTGCCTGGCTCACTGGCCATCCAAAGGGGAAGCCCAAATGCTTCCTGATCTGTGCCCAGGGCGAGCAGCTCAGAGACGGCTTCCAAACTCACAACCCCATTTCATTTGCACAGAAACTCCCTGAGGAGGCAAGACAGGGACATGATCTCTCTGGGCAGCTGAGGAGTTCAGGGTTCAAAGAGATGAGACATGGGAGAGCTGGGGCTCCAGCCTAGGACTTCTGACTCTTAGTAAAGTCAGTCGAGCTCTCTCCACTTGCCAAATGCCTCTTAGTAGAAAGCAAAGATAGACAAATTATCTGCCTCCTGCACTGATGTTCACCCAAAGTAAACCACCCAAGTTATGCCCTGAATACTGCCTCCAAGTTATTTTCTAAATTATTCTTAAATTCATAAAAATATATGAACATGTTCCTTGTAAAAACAATAAAATAAGTGTCGGGCACAGTGGCTCACACCTGTAATCCCAGCACTTTGGAAGGTTGAAGCAGGAGGATCGCTTGAGGCCAGGTTCAAGATCAACCTGGGTAACACAGCAAAACCCTGTCTCTACAAAATATGTATATTTTTAAAATTAGCCAGGTGTGGTAGCATGAACTTGTAGTCCCAGCTACTCAGGAGACTAAGGCAGGAGGATTGTTTAAGCCCAGGAGTTTGAAGTTACAGTGAGCTATGATGATGCCACTGTAACCCAGTCTGGGCAGCAGAGCAAGACTCTGTCTAAATAAATAAATATTCTGAAGCTAAAACTTTCTTTAACTGCCCTGAGCTCAATGTCCTTCCCACATATAACCAACGCTGCCAGTATGGTACATTTCCTTCCAGACTTGTTTCATTTATATTTGTACTCAGATATTAATAGAAAATACAAAGTATTGTTTTGTAGCTTTTTTTTTTTTTTTTGAGACAGAGTTTCACTCTTGTCACCCAGGCTGGGGTGCAGTGGTACCATCTCGGCTCACTGCAACCTCCACCTCCCGGGTTCAAGAGATTCTCCTGCCTCAGCCTCCCAAGTAGCTGGGATTACAGGCACCTGCCACTACACCTGGCTAACTTTTGTATTTTTAGTGGAGAGGGGATTTCACCATGTTGGCCAGGCTGGTCTCGAACTCCTGACCTCAGGTGATCCGCCCGCTTCAGTCTCCCAAAGTGCTGGGATTAGAGGCATGAGCCACTGCGCCTGGCCTCCACCCAATTTTTTACAAAGGTGCAAAAGCCTGTCAATGGAGGAAAGATAACCTTTCACCCAATGGATGTCCAATGGAGCAATTGGACACCTGTCCGAAAAAAATGAACCCCAACCTCAATCGCACATCTTATACAAAAATTGACTCAAAATGGGTCACAAACTTGAACATAAAGCATAAAACTATACAACTTTTAGAAAAAAATAGGAAATCTTCAGGGTATAGAGCTAGGCAAAATGTTCTTAGACTCAATACAAAAAGCATAATCCACAAAGAAAACATTGATAAATTGGGCTTCATCAACATTTAGAACTTTAGACTGGGAGAAAATATTTGCAAGCTGCATATCTGACAAAGCACTAGTTACTAGACTATATAAAGAACTCACAGCAGTAAAATAAGACCAATCAATCGAACAAGGAAATGGGCAAAACCCACAAAGAGACATTTCACTGGAGAGGTGTACAGATGGCAAACAAGCACAAGATGTCCAACATCACTAGCTACTGGGGAAACGTGAGTGAAAACTACAGTGATATGTCACTACATGCCTATCAGAATGGCTGACATAAAAACAGTGGCAACACCAAATGATGATGAGGATGTGGAGAAACAGATCGCTCATATGTTGCCGGTGGGTACGTCAAATGTTACAGCCACTCTGGAAAACGGTTTGGCAGTTAGAAACACTAAACATGCAACGATAATACTACCTAGTGATCGCACTTTGGGGCATTTATCTCAGAGAAATGAATACTCAAGTTCACACAAAAAACCATAAATGAATGTTTATCATAGCTTGACTTAAAATAGACCCAAACTGGAAGGTATTCGTCCCTGGGTATGTGATTGAACATGCTGCGGTTCATCCATGCCACGGAACAGCAATAAAAAAGAAAAAAACTATTGATAAGCAACCTGGGTGAATTGCCACGGAATTAGGCTGAGTGAAAAAAAGCTAATCCCGATAAATTACGTTACATGATTTCATTTAAATAACCTTCTAGACATGATAAAGTTATGGAAATGAATAACAGATTAGCCATTGAGAGGGATTAAGGAGTGCCGGGGTGCGAGGGAAGTGGGCGTGCCTGGTAAAGGGCCGCGTGATCTTTGCGGTGATGGAAGTGCTTTGTATCTCAGCTGTGTCAGTGTTGATATTCTGGTTGTGAGATTGTACTACAGTTTTGTATGATGTTACCTTTGGGGAAACTCAGGTAAAGGGTACAGGGGTCTCTCTGTATTATTTCTTCCAACTGCATATGAATCTATAATTATCTCAAAATGAAAAGTTTAATTAAAAGGAGAGTTTGTCCATCTGACAGGTAAAGCATAGCATCTCTTGGTTTCAATATTTAATGAGGTTGAGCACTTGGGGCATTGTCACTCGGGAGTGTTTGATTATGTGGTAATCAAATTATGAGACTTCAGGCCTGGTGCATTGGCTCACACCTGTAAAGAACTCTGGGAGGCCGAGGCAAGTGGATCACCTGAGGTCAGGAGTTTGAGACCAGCCTGGCCAACATGGTGAAATCCCCTCTCTACTAAAAATACAAAAGTTAGCAAAGTATTTGCTGTAATCCCAGCTACTGGGGATGCTAAGGCAGGAGAATCACCTGAACCCGGGAGGTGGAGGTTGCAGTGAGCTGAGACTGCACCACTGCACTCCGGCCTGGGCAACAGAACAAGACTCCGTCTCAAAAAAAAAAAAAAAAAAAAGACTTCAAACTTTTCCTTTCCACTCTGTGTGTCTGTGTGTGTGTGTTTGTGTAGAAGGCCTTCTTTTCCCCAAGGTCATCAATATATTTTATATTTTCTTCTAATGTATTTATAGCATTCCTTAATCTATCCCCCATTTATCTTTGTAAGTGGTATGAGGTAAGGTTGCAACTTATTTTTTCCTCCTAATAGATAACCAACTTTCCCAACACTGAATCATATTTCCTTTCCTACTGACTGGAAGTGACATTTCTTATAAAATACTAAATTCCTATGCATATGTGAATTTGTTTTTCGACTTCCTGTTTTGTTCCATTTGTGGAAGAAACAAAAGGAAGAAGAAAATAAACTTAACCCAAGGAATGTAAGTCCCTTTAAACCATCAGGCTCAGAGAGGCACTGGAATGAATCAGCAGCCACATCCATCCCCCTTGAGCTAAATAATTACCTCTTGAAGCCACTTGTTAAGGGGCTCTGGACTGACATTGAGTAGCTATAAGATGCCACACGTTGGACGCCTTAACTCCTACCCTGTAGTTCAACAGTGTATAGCCAATCACAAATCATGTTATTTCTGTCAACCAATGAGAATTCCTATCAAACAACTTCGTCCAGCCCACTCCTGTTCCCTTTAAAAATCTGCTTGCAGCAAAGGCTATGGGAGCACGCCCCAGGGCAACGTGGAAGTGTGTCCCAGGCAGCTGTCCTCACTTTGGCTCAACTAAAGATGCCTCAGCCTCTTCCTTTCAGGTCAACACATTAATCCAATTGTTTATTCCTGTGCTGAGAAAATGATGTATTTCTAATATATTTTTTTCTAATAGTTTCTAACATATCTTTGTAGCTCACTGTTCTTTCTTTAAATGGACTTGGCTATTACTGTATATTTATCCTTTCACAAGATTCAGAATAAACTTATCAAGATACAAAGTTTCAAAACAAGTGTATCAGAAAAATAAACACTATTTCTCCTCTCACACGGTCAACACTCAACACTTCACCCCAAAATGTGTGGGGATATCTCTCCATCAGCAACCAATGCCCTGGCAAACACCAAGTAACTGTACTATAGTTTAACTTAATTCTGACACTGTCTGCCTGGAGATACCATCAGATCCCACACGTTAGGACTTAGTCCCACAAGACTGCCCCCCAATGGGATTGTCAGTTCAGATGCCAGTCACAAGTAGTAGGTTGTCACCTATACTTCTAACCAATCAGTTATAAATCAGGGTTCCCACTACCCCTTCCTTGCATTAGATTAATTTACTAGGATGGCTCACTGAACTCAAGGAAATACTTAATGTTTACCAGTTTATTAAATGGGATATTACAAAGGATACAGATGAACAGCCAGATGGAAGAGATGCATGGGGCAAGGAATGTGGGAAGGGTGGGGAGCTTCCCTGCCCTCTGTGGACTTGCTGCCCTCCAGACACATCCATGTGTTTGGCAACCAGGATGCCCTCCAGACCCTGTCCTTCTGGATTTCTATAGAGGCTTCCTTACTAGGCGTAACTGATCAAATAATTGGCCATTTGCGATTAACTCAACCTCCAGTCTCCTCTCCCCTCCTGTATTAGTCCATTTTCACACTGCTATAAAAAACTGCCTGAATAAAGAAAAGAGGTTTAATTGACTCACAGTTCTGCATGGCTGGGGAGGCCTCAGGTAACTTACAATCATGGCAGAAGGGGAAGCAGGCACCTTCTTCACAAGGCGGCGAGAGAAAACAGAATGAATGTGGGTGGGAGGAAATGTCAGACACTTACAAAACCATCAGATCTCGTGAGAACTCATTATCATGAGAACAGCAAGAGGGAAACTGCCCCAATGATCCAATCACCTCCCACCAAGTCCCATCCCCAACGTGGAAATTATGGGGACTACAGTTTAAGAAGAGATTTGGGTGGGGACAAAATTATGGGGATTACAATTTGAGATGAGATGTGGTTTGGGTGAGTCAAGCCACCGCACCTCCCCACAGGTGGAGGAGGTAGGGCTGAAAATTTCAACCCTCTAATCATCAGCTAACCAGCTCCCATCTGGCAGCTAGCTGGGGGCTTGCTGAAAGTCACCTTATTAACATAAACTCAGGTGTGGTGGAAGGGGCTTTTAGGAATTTTAAAAGACACTCCTTTCACCTGTATCACTCTGGTGCTATTTCAGGAACCAGGGACAAAGACCAAATGTAATAACAATAGATGCTCCTTTTACCTTTACCACTTAGGAACTGACAAGCATTTTAGGAGCTTTGGCCAGGAGTGAAGACCAGAATATATATTTCTTCTTATATCACAATATCACACCCTGTCTTCAAATACAGTCACATTCTGTGGTAATGGAGGTTACGACTTCAACATACGGAATTGGAGAGGACACAGTTGAATCCATAACACGGCAAAATCCTTCTCAAACTTCAAGGCCTTCCCCACCCTGCCTGCATGTTCCAGCCTATCTCACCTTTCCAAATGGCCATTTCCTGGGACAAAACAAATGACCCCTGTCCTGCTCAGCCACAGGTTGACTCCTATCCTCCTTGCAGTATCAATCACAGCACCTCTAATGATCTGTTCATGGGCCGGTCTTCCCTACTGCACTGTGAGCAACTTCATCTTAGAAGCTACTCCCCTTCAGCTCCTGGTGTTCTGTGTATTAGGGAGTCTCCCCTCTTTGGGTCTCTGATCATCCATCCAAATGAGAAAAGCGAGGCTTACACTTGTCAACGCTCTCGGTGCTTTGCCTCCTGCAGCAGGTGCCGGGCATGAGCGCCAGAACAGTGTTTGCTCTCAGCATGGTCACCGGACCTTTGCCCGAAGGTGGACCATGCAAGTGTGAGTGTCTGCAGAGATGCAGAATCACACACAGCTGGACTGAGACTGATGGAAAGGGAATGTGCTCTGGGTCAGGAAGCACCCATGAGATGGGCCTTACCCCAGGAGAGGAGGTGCAATCATTTTTAGAATAGGCTAGAATGTTCCCATCAGACCTGTGCTGACATGAAATCGGCCTCTTCACTGTGTCACTTTCACAGGTGAGGCAGGTTCAAGTTCACCGCCTGCACAGCTGACCTTTCCTTGAGGACCATGGACTTCTGGTGATGACGTCTTTTCCATGGGCCCTGGGAAACAGAGTGGCACTAGTATGCTGGTGTATGGAGAAACTGCCCAAGAAGTGGGTGACAATGGAACTGGGCCCAACCTGCCCTGTGGCACTGCCTCTGATCTTGGCCCAGCCCCCTACAGCTGGCCACCCTTTGGTCCTGCCTTCCCTCCACACAGCAGCTGGGGCATCTGGTAGAACTTGAAGCATATGCTGCAGACACCAGATCCCTACCTTCAGGAAACCTCATATCTGAGTCACTTAAGCTGGGTGTGTGGTGCAGTTCCCATAAGCAGCTGGCAAAATGGGAGGGTCAGACAGTGAAGGCCGTGGAAGAACAGTCCCTTCCTCTGTCCTGGGCTAACTGCACTCCCTGATGTGGACAGCTCCTGTTAGTCCTGACCACCCTTCCTTCTCTTGGAGGAAGACTTTCCTTCATTCAGGTACTTACACCCCATCCCCAGCCACCCATGTGGCTCCAGTGGGGACCACCCATCATGGTTTCCCATCCCCCTGACCATGGGAGTGAGCACTTGACCCAAGATGGGCCAATCGAGGTTCTTCCCTGAAGGTGTTCACGTTAACATCAGAAGAGACTCAGCTCCATAATAATGTTGAAGATGATGTTAAAAGCAGCTGTAACACTTAGCAATTATGAACAGTGAGCACCCACTAAGTGTCAGCACTGTTGCATCATCCTCTTTAATTTCTATAGCAGTCATGAAGTAGATTCTGTGATTACCTCATTTTACAGATAAGGAATCTAAGGTCAGAAAGGTAAAGGAATTTGCCCGAGTAAATGGCAGAGCCAGAATTCAAACCCAGGCAGTCTATCTCCAGAAACATCACTCTCAGTACCTCACACACTGCCTCTTTCCCGGGGGAACTGCCAACCCAAGGCGTGCAGAGGCTGGCAGCCATGCTCCCTGCTGTGTGGGAAAGCCGCATCCAAGCCAATCTGCAGAGAAGCAGATATGAGCGATGGAAATCAGAACTTGGCAACATTTGAGTCCTTAGTTCTGCATCCTTTTTCTCCTTTCCCATCTCTTGGTTTGGTTACATGAGGCAATAAATAATCTTTTTTTTTTTTTTTTTTGAGACAGAGTCTCACCCTGTCGCCCAGGCTGGAGTGCAATGGTGTGATCTCGGCTCACTGCAACCTCCGCCTCCTGGGTTCCAGCGATTCTCCTGCCTCAGCCTCCCAAGTAGCTGGGATTAGAGGCACGTGCCACCACGCCTGGCTAATTTTTTGTATCTTTAGTAGAGACAGGGTTTTACCATGATCTCTTTTTAAAATTATTATTATTACTACTATAATTTGAGACAGGGTATCGCTCTGTTACCGAGGCTAGAGTACAATGGCATGAACATGGCTCACTGCAGCCTCGAACTCCTGGGCTTAAGTGAGTCTCCCACCTCAGCATCCCAAGTGGCTAGGACCACAGGTGCCTACCACCACACCTGGCTAATTAAAAAAAAATTTTTTTTATAAAGACAGGGGTATCACCATATTGCCCAGGCTGGTCTTGAACTCCTGGGCTCAAGCAATTCTGCTTTGGCCTCCCAAAGTGCTCGGAGGTGTGAGCCACCGTGCCCAGTCAGTGAATGATCTCTTTTTCCTAAGACGGTTCAGATAGAAGCTCTGTTACTTGCATCCTGCCTTGTGACCCTATCTCCTACCTGCCCACCTTTCCATCATTGTTGTGGTTTTCCTTCTCTTTATCTTCCACCTCTCCCCACCCTGACCCCTTTCACAGGTCCACTAAATTGCTAAAGCCTCACTCTGCCTAATAGAAACACCCCTTTCTCCTGTGAAGTCTGCACAGCTGCACCTTCCCCTCTCCTGTCATCCCACTCCGGGAAGAGCTGCCTCACTGGTGTCATCATCTGCTCCTTCCCTTGCCCTTCACTGCCAGGCTCTGATGCTTATCTCCCTTGGAGGCCAATCTCTGAAGACCCAACCCAGTGGTCTTTTCTTAGCCTTCATCCTCTTCAATCTCTTTCCCTCTTTTGTATTCCTAAATGTACAGGCCTCCCAAGGTTTTGGACTTGGCCCCACGCATGTTGGTCCTGACTTGTCCTTCTTTCGCAATCCCGTCTGTCTCCTTGTTTAGATGTCCCTACTATGGCCCTCAGATCTGTCTGTTGGTCCCTGACCCATCTCCAGCCCTGAATTCGCAGTGGCCCTGAACGCAGCCTCACCTGCATGCTTCATCAGCACCTCAAACTCAAACTGCCCAGAAAACATCTGGATATCATCAGGAAAAAGACACTGGACCCATCCCTTAGACCCTACACCAGAATACATTCCAAAAGGATGAGAGATCTGTGTTTGAATAGTGTAAAAGAAAAATTGGAGACACAATTACATTTTAAAGAGTTTATTTGAGGAAAAAGCAATTCATGAATTGGGGTATGCCAGACCAAAAAAATGTTCAATGTTCTAATGACATAGCGTCAGAGGCAAATATTTTTAGGTTGAATACGGAAAAAAGATAAAGAAATTATTTGATTGGTGACAGTTGCAAAATTATCTTATTTGATTCATCCCATTCGAAAGTCCCTAGTTATATAATTAGAAACTTTTTGTCTGCCAATAATTGGCTGAGGTTTTCTTTCTAACATAAGCATTTACCAGAAATGGCTAAAGTTAAGTTTTGCTAAAGTTTGCAAATTAAGCAAAGTTAAGATGACTTATGAGGCCTGACTGCTTTTGTCTAGTCAGAGATTCTTCAGGCTGGTCTCTCGTCATTTTAATTTACTTTAACAACAGTGAACTCATAGGAATTAGAATAAAGACTGAAACTGCAAGACTGAAAGCACATACCACTTATTAGGAAAAATCTCTAACAGTAAACCTTCAGACACATTCTGGTTAAACCATTAAACTAAAATTTTTTTTTCACATTCAGGACAAAAATAATTCACTTACAAGGAGAAAAATCAGGTGGGTTTCAGATGTCTTTCCAGCAGCAATCAGTGCCAGAGCAAAGGAGAAATGTCCAGAAGAAAAACAGAATATGACCCAAGTGGATTCTACCCAGCCAAGCTGGAGCTTAGGTATAAAGGCAAGAGCTCACATTTTCAGACATGAAGGGACTCAGAAAATACAACATCTGTTAGCCCTTGTGAAAAATCTACTTGATGGTGAGATCTTGTTAACTAAAGGTTGCATCAAAAGAGAGTCCTGCCATTCTGAAGCTGTAGAAGTGGGATTGGTAGGGAGCATGGAATCCAGGTGGATGCAGGAATGCTATTAACACCCAGGAGAGAGATGGTTTCAGATGCAGAATGAAATGTTGCAAACTCTGAAAAGTTGAAATAATTTAAGCATCGAAACCAGAAAGAAGAAGAGGGCAGGATAGACGTGTATCTAAATGTTAATCTCTTATCTTTCCCAGCGTGTATCAATCTCATCTCTACGGAAACTCACTTTTTTTTTTTTTTTTTTTTAGACATAGCACTCTGTCGCCCAGGCTGGAGTGCAGTGGTGTGATCTCAGCTCACCGCAACCTCCGCTTCCTGGGTTCAAGTGATTCTCCTGCCTCAGCCTCCCTAGTAGCTGGGATTACAGGCATGTGCCACGACACCCAGCTAATTCTTTTTGTGTTTTTAGTAGAGATGGGGTTTTGCCATGTCGGCCAGGCTGATCTCGAACTCCTGACCTCAGGTGATCTGCCCACCTTGGCCTCCCAAAGTGCTGGGATTACAGGCGTAAGCCATTGTGCCTGGCCGAAAACTCACATTTTAAAAAACCCACAATGCAAAAAAATAACAGATGCTGGTGAAGTTGTGGAGAAAAGGGAACGCTTATACACTCCTAGTGGGAATGTAAATTAGTTCAGCCATTGTGGAAAGTAGTGTGGCAATTCCTCAAAGAACTTAAAACAGAATTACCATTCAACTCAGCAACCCCATTATTGGATATACACCCAAATGAATATAAATCATTCTACCATAAAGACATATGCATGTGAATGTTCATCACAACAGCACTCACAATAGCAAAGATATGGAATCAACCTAAATGCCCAGTGGTAGACTGGATGAAGAAAATGTGATACACTTACACCATGGAATACTATGCAGCTATAAAAAAGAATGAAATCATGCCCTTTGCAGCAACATGGATGGAGCTGGACGCCATCACCCTAAGCAAATTTACACAGGAACAGAAAACCAAATGCCACATTTCTCACTTATAAGTAGAAGCTAAACGCTGAGTACATATGACACAAAGAAAGGAATGACAGACACCAGGGCCTACTTGAGGGTGAAGCGTGGCAGGAGGGTAAGGAATGAGAAACTACCTATCGGGTACCATGCTTATTACCTAGGTGATGAAATAATCTGTATACAAAACCCCAATGACACACAATTTACCTATATAACAAACCTGTACATGTACCCCTCAACCTAAAATAAAAGTTAATAAATAAAAAAATAAAGAACCCACAGTGAGTCCAACTTCGTACATTCCCTCAAATTTAGTACCACCTTCTAGGAATTTATTTCCTTTATAGGAAAGAACAATGATCTGAATTACAGTTTGACCGAAGCTTTTGTTCCTGTTAAATTCTTTTAAAATTAAGTGTGGTACTTATTTTCAAAAATACATCACATATAGTTAATACCATCATGATACAATTGTTTTCATCTGTTTCAGCGTCTACTCTGTCTCTCTCTCTCTCTGCCTCCATCTCTGTCTTTCTCTAGATCCTTCTTTCTTTCTATGCATAGAGAGACGTCTGGAAAGATGTCAGTCAAATGTTATAACCAATTATTTTTAGGTTGTATAATTTTTGGTAATTCGTTGCTTTCTTCTTCACACTTTTCTGTATTTCTTAATTTCTTTATAATTAGTATGTGTATTATATTAAATTATATTACACATACGTAAATATATAAATATTTTATATATGTATTATATAAATATAATATATAAAATATAATATATTTTACACATAAAATATATCATATTAGTTATATTAAAATAATCACACACTTAAAGAAAATAAAGCGATGGACAAAGAGATACCAAACAGATATGCTTAGAAGGAAAGCAGGAATAGACAGATCTACTAACATCAGGCGAAGTAGAATTTAAAGTCAGAAGCATTCATTGGAGTTATGAGAGACATTATGGTATGGTAAAATGTACATATTGGAAAAAATATAACAGCTATAAATTTTGATATTCCAAATAGCATAGTTATACATAAAACAAAAACTACTGCAATATAAGAAGAACTTAAAGTATACGCACGCACACACATACCCCCACACATATACTGTAGTAAAATACTTTAGATATGCCTACTTTTGAATTTTATTTATTTATTTATTTTCTGAGACAGGGTCTTGCTCTGTCACCCAGGCTGGAGTGCAGCGGCTCAATCACAGCTCACTGCAGTCTCGCCCTCCTGGGCTTAATTACTTCTGAATTTCGGAGATCTAGTAAAACAAAAATAAACGACATAGAGAATCTCAATATTACAATTAACGAGCTTGATTTCGTACATACGTAGAATTCAGTGTCTTACCAATGAAAAATAAACATCATTTTATTTTGTCCTCAGAATCTTTGTAAAAATTGATCTCATATTTGGCTCTAAAGAAAATCTATAAAATATAAAAGTGGAGATACACAAGCTAAATGTCCTGAGCCTCAGCCTATACAATTAAAATTTATCACAAAAGCATACTTAAAAAGTCTTCACTACTTAGAATTAAGAAACAATCTCCTAAGTAACTTCTACATGAGAGGAATTCAAAATTAAAATTGTCTAGAAAAGAATAAAAAAGAGATATACTTGAATGCATAAATAATTGAAAGAAAAGAGGGAAAGAGGGAGAGAGAGAGAGAACTAACCTAAATATTTTTTAGTTGTTTGAAAAAGCCATCAGTTGATGCCAATTAATAGAACCCCACCATGAGTCAGCAGGTGTAGGCTCTGGTCTCACTTCTGGCATCATCTTGGCAAGTCGTTCTTCCTCTGGACCTCAGACTCCTAGCTCCAAAATGACAGACTCAGCAAGATGATCTAGGGTTTCTCCTGGCTCCAGTTCATTCGAACAGCATCTTTTACATATTTCAATTAGTCACCCATGTTTACATATCAGAAGATTTGACATAAAAAATTCCACCTCTATTTTCTTTTAAAAACCAGAGTTTGAGGTGGCACTCCTGGGTCTGCCTGGATCAAGGTCGCTCCTTCAGGTCACCGGAGTTCCTACCACCAACTTCACTCTGGTCTGCCTGGACTGTGGGGTTTTCAGCCCCTAAGCAGAAGAAAGGAACTTAGAGTATCAGTTGTCACCCTCTCCAGAGAAAACTCAAGGCTTTTTTTTCTTTTTGGGTTTCCCCTTATAGTGAATATGGAGTCCAAGAGAACAAAACCTCAAACTGATTCTCTAAATTCTCATTTTTGTTCTTCATAAAAATTTCCATCCAGGCAGTTTAAATAAGCCCAGTTGTTTCCAAGAAAACAGAAGGGAAAGCTGAGGAAACCCCACCCCCCACCCCCAGTTCCCAGGGCTCCAGTGCTTGCTCTGTGCCCCAGACCACTGCCCATCTGGATCCTGGTTGTGTTAGGGGGGCGGGCGCGGGAGGGCACCATCTGGTAGAGAACTTACTGCGGTTTGGCTGAGTTGTATAGGTGAAGCTTTCATTCTCAAATAAATTTTAAAAGATTCTTGCTCAATATAAGGATATGGGATATAGAGACAAATGTTCCAGAAAAAAAAAAAAAAAAGATTAAAAATCCACATAGGCAACAATCCTTCATCTTCTTAGGGCAGTCTAGTCCAGGAAGCTTCTCCTGCTTTTGAAGGTTTTTCTTTGATCTTAAAATAAATGAGGCCAGGTGCAGTGGCTCATGCCTGTAATCTCAGCATTTTGGGAAGTCAAGGTGGGAGGATCACTTGAGGCCAGGAGCTTGAGACCAGCCTGGGCAATATAGAGAGATGCCATCTCTACAAAAAAATAAAAAAACAAAATTAGCGGCCAGGCACAGTGGCTCACTCCTGTAATCCCAGCACTTTGGGAGACCAAGGTGGGTGGATCACTTGAGGTCAGGAGTTCAAGACCAGCCTGGCCAACATGGTGAAACCCCCTCTTCACCAAAAATACAAAAATTAGCCAGGTGTGGTGGTGCATGCCTGTAGTCCCAGCTACTTGGGAGGCTGAGGCAGGAGAGTCACTTGAACCCAGGAGACAGAGGCTGCAATGAGCCAAAATTGCACCACAGCACTCCAGCCTGGGCAACAGCCTAGATGTTATTTTTTAAGATGTCTTTAAAATATATACAAATTTTAAAATAAAATGAATGTTTTTTTCTCTTCTCTCAATAGACCCAAGTTTTCTTTGCTTCTTGTGAATGGCCTCACTACCCAATCTTTTTTTCCCATAGTGAACGTGCCCAGAGAATGCAGGTCAGCTGGACACCAGAAGTGGAAGTGGAAAGGCTGTGGGCTATTGTCACTGAACTAGAGATGGATGGGAACAGGCCGGTCTCTCAAACTTGGGAGGTGAGAACCAGACACCCCCAAATCCCACGAGCCAGAAAGAGCTACTGAGACCATCCTCATGAACACTTCTCTTTGTATGTTTTAGAGATTTAACCATACATAGTATGCAACTTTATATGCATATGGTGTGAGTTTTAGATAACTAGAATCTTGTTGTTTAGGATGTTTTCTGTTCAGCAATATGTGGTGGATACATCTCAATCTGAAGAAATAAAAGATCTGCATCAGTGGGGCCGGTGGTGCTAACGCATGTCTGTAATCCCAGCACTTTGGGATGCTGAGGTGGGAGGATCACCTGAGGTCAGGAGTTCGAGACCAGCCTGGCCAACATGGTGAAACCCCGTCTCTACTAAAAATACAAAAATTAGCCTGGTGCAGTGGTGCGCACCTATAGTCCCAGGTACTCATGAGGCTGAGGCAGGAGAATTGCTTGAACCTGGGAAGCAGAGGTTGCAGTGAGCCAAGATCGTGCCATTGCACTCCAGCCTGGGCAACAGAGTGAGACTCTGTCTCAAAAAACAAAAAGCAAACAAACAAACAAAAAACACCAAGATCTGCATCAGCGGCGGTACTGAACACAGGTACAATTTCACGGCTTCCTAATGTGTTGTATCCATTTACAGTCCTAACAGCAGGATGTGAAATCGCTCATATTTTCTAAACCTTTCCTACACTTGGTTTTATCACTCTGTTTATTCTTTGCCAATCTAAAACTGTTCCAATACAATGTAAAATTTAAATTTAAATAAAATGTGCATTTCGCTGATTAATGTAAGTTGGAATATCATTATCTTTTCATAGTTCTTGGGCAATTATATTTCTTCTCTCAGATTTACACAGTCATGTCCTCCCCATTTTTCAATGTGACCATTTAGTTCTTACTGAAAAGTAAGTGCACATTTTATAACAGGAATATTAACCCTTTGTCTTTTTTTTTTCTTTTTGTAGAATTTTGCAAAATCTTTGTGGCTGGTCTCTCCACTCTGATTTTAATGATAGTCTTGTTTTGTTTGTTTTTAAAAAAAACACTATGCTGCAGTTTTAAATTTCTTTGTAGACAAATCTTCCGTCTGTGACTTGATAGAAAAGAAGACAGATGAGTGTGAACAGATGGAGGGGATCCGGGGTGGATTGGGCAGGAGGGTCTCATGGCCCTGTGCAGAGTGGAGCTCACCTGTGAATTCTGACAGGTAATCCCAGCCACAGTCCAATAACTGCTGGCAACGGTGAACAAAGGAAAGCTTCTGTGCCTCAGGTGAAACGGGAGTCTAGAAAAAGTTAATGAAAGGAATAACCGAGTAAGTAGCAAACACGCATCTGCTAAATAGATGTCTGAAGCCACAGACTTTAATATTTGGAGCAAAAGACAAAATATTAAAAACTCAGGTAAATGGACTCTTTTTATTTTTTTACTAGAAAAAGTTTGGAAATACCCCTGTGAAAAGGACCCCACAAAGCCTCTTTGCTACTCTCACCCATCAATTCCTCTTCTGGAAGTTTCGCAGGAAGGCATATATTTTGAATCTCAAATGAGAACAGGAAAGAATGATAAATAACCAAAATACCAGGAAACCAGCTTCTCTAATCTGAGGGGCAAAATAGTCTCCAAGAATAATGTCCAAGCCCCCCAGGGAAGACAATTTCTCTCCAAGTAGCTGGAACATGGAATGAACCCTCTGTACAAGGCAACTTCGTATTTCTAAAGACTCAAAGACCAACAGGAGGTGACAAAACTCATGGCAGAATGGCCTGTATTTGGAGCTGTTTCATTTATTGAGGGTTTTCGATGTGAAAGAGTTTGCTAGGTTAGGGCAGCTGTGTTTGAGGACAATGTGCTAGAAGGAAAGCAGATGAACTATAGGAGAAAGGCTGAACTTCATCAGTCCCAAACCCCGTATAACAGCTGACCTACAAGCCACAGCATTGCATTGAGAGCCGGCCCTTTCCTGGGTATACTAGTTTTCTATTGCTGTGTAACAATGACCACAAACTTAGTGTTTAAAACAACACACACATTGATTATCTCCTAGCTTCCATGGATCAGAACTCTGAGTACAGCTTAATTCTGCTCAGGATCTCATGGGGCTGCAATTCAATTGCCCTGTTGGTCGGTGCTGTGGTGGTTTCACCTGAAGTTGTGGTCCCTTCGAAGCTCCTGTGGTTGTTGGTAGAATTCAGTTCTTGCAGCTGTATGACTGAAGCCCTCAGCTCCTAAAGGGCACACAGTTTCTGGCTGTGTGGCCCTCTCCATAGGCAGTTTACAGCGGTGCAATTTACTGCTTCAAGACCAGTAGGAGATTCTGTCTAGCACATGCTAGCAAGATGGAACTACCTATATGTATTACGTATGTATATCTTGTTCTCTTTCCCTCTCTGTATCTTGTGACATAATCGTGGGGGTGGCATCCCATCTACTTTGCCATATTCTAATGGTTAGAAGCAAGTGACAGGTCTTACACTCCAAAGGAAGGGATTATCCAGGGCATGAACATGGGCGCCCCCCAATAGTGTCCATCCATCACACCAGGCTTGTGATCCCCTAACGCAGAGTTTCCCAAGGGGTGTACCTGAAACACTAATCCCATAACAATTATTTTTTTTAAAATGGTATCTGAGTCATACAAGTTTGGAATTGGTGCATGTTCTCTTCACCTCTTGGAGATTCAAAATACACATTAGCATATTAAAGGTACTGAGACTTTCTGGGTATCAATTATGATTGCGCTCAGCAGCAAAAAAAAAAAAAAAAAGCCAGAAAACTTAATGATAATACCTTCAAATGTTGAGTTTTTTAAAAAAGACAAGAAGCTCTGAGAGAGAAAGTTGCTGGCCTGGATTCAATGGGTCAGTCATGTTCGGACAGATGTCACTGTGATTTTCTTGGCTTTCCCTCATAGTTACCACGAGGGCTGCCTCTGTTCTGGCCATCATGTTTGTATTTATAGCACACGGGAGGAGGAAGGAAAAATCCCAAGTTGGTCCTCTCAGTTTCATTCATCATGAAAGCATAAGGTTTCTAAAAACTTTCAACTTCTGCTTCTATCTCATGGTTAGAACAGGATCATGTGGCTATCTGCATGGAAGACTCATGTTCCTATCTGCGAGGAAGACTATGGGAGTAAATATTTAACAATTCTTGCATTGATGGTGAGAAATGGCAAGGGAGATTGGGGTTGAGAGAGCCTTTAGGGGTAGCCAATTATCAGTGTCTGCTTCATGAAATCTTAAAGAAATATGTTTAAATTTTCCACATGATGCTCTAATATGTAACCTCAGAGACACACCTTCAACAATGTTGCTGTAGCCAGAATGTCTTGGAGTGACAGAACCAAGAAAACTAAACTCCTAACTCTTTGGCCTGGACAGCTGACACTGAAGTCTTCTCTGGTTCCTCTCATTCTTGAGAATAGCTCTGGGCTCAACCATGGGGTGAAGGGTAAGCCTCTTGGATGCTTCAATTCATCAGATGTCAGCTGTGCACGACCACAAGCTCAAAAGGATAACCTTCTGCCCTCTCGACTTTGAAACCCCAAGACCCAGAAAACTGCTAGCCCAGCATCCCTTCTTTTCGTGCCACAGCCAAGAAAGCCTCCTCGCCAAAAACCACACCTTGTCACTGGGAAGGGCTCAAGAAAAGCTACTGGGAAGGAAACTGACCCCAGAGTTCACCCGTCTGGTTTCTAATAATAAGCTCTTTCAAACTCTCCCTTTCCTTTATTTCCATTTCCCAGTTTCTCTCTCACTTCTTCTTCTGACCCAAAATGGGTGTCATGAAGTGCCTCCAGTCCCTTTCCTGGTTTTACATCTTCAACAAGATTGATTGACATCCCTTTATCTCCTCTAGCTATGCTTGGCATTTTGGCTGGTGACTGCAAAGTGGAGTCTGTGGAGTACTCTTGGCATATTTCAAATGGTTGCAGATTTTCAGGTATTGTGATGGGGCAACATGGTCTTGTAGAAAGAGAACTTGTTGGGATGTTCAACTCCATCTTAACCAGTGGTGAGACTGTGGGCAAGTCGACAAGAAAAACCTTTGCGTTACAAAGGGGATGCGGGGAGGGGAACCTGGTTCTCCACCCCATGCAGGGTTCCAACAGGAAGTTACCAGTCTAAGAGAGCATTTCTGGAGGCAGCAGATTGCACTTGGAAAAACCTGCCATTGTAAGAAAGGTCGGTGCTCTTAGGGTCAACATTTTGCAGCCTGAGCTCAAGGGCCCACCATCCTCATCCTCAGAAAGAAAAGGCTTCCAAAGGTCAGAGCACCTGCCCATAGTTACATTGATAAGAGCCCAGGTTTTTGGTTATTATTAATTTCTTCTTTGATCACCATTCTCCATCCATGGGAAGGGTTAATGTATTCCTTCTCCACACTAACTCACTGACTCATTCAACATCTATTTATTGAATGCCTGCTGAATAACTCTATAAGCTATAAGTTAGCCCCAAGGAACTTACAATTCAGAGAGGAGACATCTG
Organism: Homo sapiens; assembly: GCF_000001405.40. NCBI lineage: Eukaryota > Metazoa > Chordata > Mammalia > Primates > Hominidae > Homo > Homo sapiens. The sequence goes on along the minus strand of NC_000018.10, from coordinate 49,733,495 downwards.
TGCCGCCAATAACAACACAATCAAATAATGACTGTGATGTTGGGGTAGCAGGTAGCTTATGAGTGGTTTGGGTGGTTGAGCAGGGGTTGTCCACTTGGGCTAGGCCCTTCCAGAAGGGCCTTGATAGCATCTCTAGGGACAAATGATGTCATTCTAAACAGAACCCTCAATGGGCAAAGTGCTGAGCACTGTTGACTGATGGGAGGGGAATGGACTATTCGGTCTGACAGAGTGTCCCTGGGCTTGGCCCTGCAGAGCCTCCTATTTTCTCAATTTTACACTTTCTTGTCATTAGGTCCCCTCTTCCCCCTTTCCTCCACAGACTGTATGAAGGATTGTGAGAACATAAGAGGAGGAATACATAGGTCTCCCAGGAAGGAGCAAAAGGTTCCAGAAGAAGTAGCCCTCTATGTGAAGTGTGAGAACAAGAAGTCACGGTGACGGTGACAAGGAGGAGGCCTGGCAGGGTGTGGTGGCTCATGCCTGTGATGCCAGCACTTTGGGAGGCTGAGGTGGGTGGATCGCTTGAGCTCAGGTGTTTGAGACCAGCCTGAGCAACATGGTGAAACCCCATCTCTACAAAAACATACAAAAAATTAGCTGGGCATGGTGGTGTGCACCTGTAGTCCCAGATACTTGGGAGGCTGAGGTGGGAGGAGGATCACCTGAGCCTGGGAGGTCGAGGCTGTGGTGAGCCATCATAACACTACTGCACTCCAACCTAGGCAACAGAGCAAGATCCTGTTTAAAAAAAAAAAAGGAAAAAGAAAAAATGGAGGCCTTCCTGGGAGAGAGAGCAGCATTGCAGAGACATGGAGGAGGAGAGGGTTAATGTGTTCCAAGAATAGCAAACAGTTTAGTAATGCCCAGGCATCAGGGGCTGCAGGGCTGGGTGGGCAGGAATGCAGGAGGGAGGCTGAGCAGCTCAGCCAGGGTCATATCAAGGGTCTAATGAAGTCTCCCCATATCTGGTCCTATCTCAGTTTTCTGAGCCCGACAAAGTAGACGTAATACTTTCTTATTCTCCATATAGAAATCCTTAGGTATATAAACACAAATGCCAAAGCCCAAAAATATGCATTTTAGAATACTCAGCTCTTCTCCAAGTTAAAAAACCCAGGGTGGCCTATATGGCCAAATGGCCCTGAGCTCATCCCCTGAGGAACTGATTCAAGCTTCTCTACAGGAGCCACTGTGCACAGGCAAGAACTAGCCTGTGGCGAAGGAAGCCAAACAGCCAGTCACCTAAGCAAGGTCAACAAAGGCTGGGGGAAAGCAGTCATTGCTCAGTAGTGTCTTGCCTCCAGCCTCACTCTCATCATTCAGAAGCCTGCTCCAGTGTCCCCTCCCCTTCATAGCTCCCTCACCTCCCCAGACTGAATTCCTTCTTCCTAGGTATGTTTCTGGGCCTTGCATGGACTTGCATAAGTACACATATCACTGTGTCTTATGGTTCACTTAATAACATGTTCTGAGTCTGTAAATTCCTTGAAAGCAGGAACTATGTCCTAATAATCTTTCTCTCGCACAACATAACACAGGGCTTGGTATACAGTAGAAATTCAATAAATATTTATTCAACTAGGCTGAACTTTGGGATCTGGCAAGAGATGCATTAGATGACCATGACGATCAAAAGAACCATGGCTGAAGAATAGGAGTGGAAAATAACTACCGGGGGATGGCCGATTTGGCACCCCAGTGCCAAAGCTACAAAGAGAGAAAATCTGACTCAAATTCGTTATATGAAAAGAATTTCTCATGACTAAAAAGTCCCGGGAGAACTTCAGGTGAAGCTTGATCTGTGAGCTCAAACAATATTACCAGGATTCAGTCTGTGTCTCCTGTGTTTATTCTCTGGGCTGTCTTTATTCTCTGTCTCTATGTGGGGCAAGAGTTGCATGGCAGGTCCAGGCCCTCACTGTCCAGGTTTGTGCATAGCTAGAAAGACCATGTGCCTTACTCTCAGTAAGTACAGGAAAAGTGGCATTGATTATCACCAGCTCTGCTGAAATACTTTCCACCCGGAACCAATCACAGCAGCCAGGGGAATGGGATATTCTGATTTTACAGCTGTAAGATAAAGATGATGGCCAGTCTGCAAGTACTGTGCTCATGGCAAATCATGTGACTCACTCTCTGGTACAAATGGGCCCCCTGCAAGTTTAAGCAGGGGACTGTGGTTCAAGAGTCATTATCAGGCACCCCAGCTCTGCCCGTAATTAGCATGTGAACAGGGCAAGTCACTTCACACAGCTTCCCAGACTTCGATCTCCTTATCTCTGTGGGACCCTCTCCAGTGATCTCTCTTGGAAAGATTACTTGCCAAGCTCCACCCTTCCAGCAACAGCACCCTGAAGGCCTGTCTGCCCTAGTTCCTACCTTTGCCCCAGCAGCTCCTCTGGCCATTCCCACCTCCAGCCGCAGGTGTCTGACCACAGATGTCACCTGAGCCTGGAGCCTGGGCATTTGCATTTGGGTTTCTGTCCCTCTGGATTCCAGGAGTCACTGCCCATCCCAAAGGCCTCGGGCCCTGAGGAGCACAGCCTCACGCAGGAGAATTTCCAGGTGAAGGAGGCTTTATTTACACAGCACCTACACTGAGCCACTGGAAAATTGTCTGAGATTTTTTTGACTAAGGAGCAGACAGAGGGAGTGCAATAAGTTTGAGAATGTCAGGTTTGATCCAGGAAGACACCAGACCATGGGAGGCAGCAACATGCAACAAGCTATATTCGGTGGCACTTGGACAGTGTGGAAGGAGACGGTGTGTCCCTCCCGGCAAGGGGCCTTCTGCAGCTGGCAGGCAAGACCACCACCCAGAAGGGGAGTAGGGCTAGGGTTGGGGAGCTCCTGGGGAAGAAAGGGGAGTTGTCCGGGTGATGTCCCTCCACAAGGTGGGGAGTCCCTGGGTCCAAGAGCTCTGAAGGGCAGCAGCGATGTGGAGTCCTTCACAGCCACAGGGTTTGTCTTATCCATGGTCAGCAGATGTTGGAATATGCAAAATAGGTAGGCTCTAAATGGCCAGAAATACAGATGCTCCCCAACTTACGATGGGGCTGCCTCCTGACAAGCCCATCATAAGCTGAAAATGTCTAACCCCATGGAAGGTCAGAGAGCGTACCGAATGCACAGTGCTTTTACACCATTGTAGAGCTGAAACATTTTTAACTGAACCATTGTAAGTCAGGGACCATCTGTATGTTTATTTGGATGATATTCCAAGCAATTGGATATGTAAGAATTTGAGTTTAGCACTGGCTGGCTTTGGGCTAATGGTCCTAGCCTGCTGTGAATAAATGAACAAGACAGGAACATGTTAGGCCAAGCCACTGAGGCCACACTTGGCCCGTTCACATAACAGTGAGATGCAGCTGAGCGAGTATGTCTCCCAGATGTGGGTCCCCCACCAGCCAGGCATGTGTAGAACCCCCATCAGATAAATTGAAATTATCCCCAGAAAACTCAACCCTCCAGGGCCTGAGGAAGTTCCCACTGTGATTTTCTTTCAAGGAATTAAGTAAACAATAATCCTTTAAGTATGAGTGGAACTTTATCTTTTTCAAAGCCCTTTCATATTTGCTTCTTGCAACACCCTCTGACAGAATCAAAATAGGAATGCCCCACGCCCCCACCCTTCACAGATGGGGACATAGGCTCAGACATGTGAAAAGGACACTTGGGAACAGGAACAGGCACAGCCAAGACTGAAAGCTGGACTCCTAAACTTCTGACTGCTCTATTTTGCCAAACCACTAGGGAAGCAGCTGGAAATTGTGCTCATTGAGGGCGAGAGAGGACAGATCAAGACTATTTTCTGCCCTGCGTTCCTGAATTGCACAGACTGACAAAGATTTCATGATCTTGGGCCATGATCATGAGCCATTTGCTCCCTTTTTTTTCTTGAGATGGAGTTTCACTCTGTCATCCAGGCTGGAGGGCCGTGGCACGATCTCAGCTCACTGCAATCTCTGCCTCCCAGATTCAAGCCATTCTCCTGCCTCAGCCTCCCAAGTAGCTGGGATTACAGACACGCACCACCATGCCTGGCTAAGTTTTGTATTTTTAGTAGAGACGGGGCTTCGCCATGTTGGCCAGGATGGTCTTGAACTCCCGACCTCAGGTGATCTGCCCACCCTGGCCTCCCAAAGTGCTAGGAGCTAGGATTATGGGAATGAGCCACTGTACCTGGCTTTTTTTTTTTTTTTTTTTTTTTTTTTAATGAAATGGGGCAGTTCTTACGGAGTTTAAAGAGAAAGTGAGCTGGGTGTGTTGGTTCATGCCTATAATCCCAGCACTTTGGGAGGCCAAGGCAGGTGGATCACAAGCTCAGGAGATAGAGACCATCCTGGCTAACACGGTGAAACCTCATCTAAAAATTAGCCAGGTGTGGTGGCACACACCTGTAGTCCCAGCTACTCTGGAGGCTAAGGCAGGAGAATTGCTTCAACCCAGGAGGCAGAGGTTGCAGTGAGCCGAGATCAAGCCACTGCACTCCAGCCTGGGTGACAAAGCAAGACTCCATCTCAAAAAAAAAAGAAGAAAAAGAAAAAAAGAGAGAAAGTAGTATCAATGTCTTTGCTTTGCCTCACCCACTGTCTCAGCTAGATGTGTCCCTGAGTAATTTAGGCGTCTCACAGATAGGGGAATGGAGGCCCATGAGAGGAAGTCTCATCCAAGGCCCAGAGCAACTGCAGTGCCTTTTCCCCATCGGGCTTGCTCCAGCCTTTGGGCCCTAGGGGGCGCCAGAAAGCCTCACCTTTCCCAGAATCTATGCTGAGAGGAGAATGTTGCCACCAAAGGCCCAGTGGAGGCCATTTGGCCTCCCCCTCTTCATGACATTGTTCACCCAAGTCTCTGCAGCACCCCAATCCTGGGACCCTCAATATCAGAACTCAGTGCTCTAGGGGCCCAAGAGCGGCCTGGCTTCCCTGCCCCACAGGAGTTTAAGGCCCATGGGCTTCTTTTCCCAGGAATTCCTTCATTGCTCCAAAGCCCTTCACCTTTACCAGGAAATAACTCTCCAGGGTGGCCCCAGACACTGCCACTGGGATGCCCCAAACTCTCTTCTGGAAGCCACTCCTCGCACTACCGAGGCCCAAGGGTATTCACCCTGGCCCCGACTTGCTGCTGTCATGTGGCCAGCCATTTCCAGAAATGTTCTGGTTTGAGGACCGAAAGGCCCACGTCCCGGGAAACCCCTCAGTCCTGTGTAAACTGGGACATTGGTCACTGTATTGTCATCTCCCTCATGGTAGGTCGGCTCCAGCCCAGGGCTCAGCCCAGTTCTTGGATCCCAAGCACGGATTTTGATTATTACTCCAAACCATGGGCCAAGTAAGAGGTTCTTTCTGCTGATCTGTAAGGGTCGGCAGGGGCCTGCCCTGTGCCCAGTTCCGCCCCTGTCCAGCCGAGGAAACAGACTTAGTTATTATCTTAGCAAACAAGGAGAAACTGTGTGAGTGAAATAGGATGGTACCATTGCCAGAGTAAATAATAGTAACTGTGTTAAATCTCCAACAAGCACCAGGTTCAACACTGGGAGCTTTGCGTCGACTCTTGCATCTAACCCTCACTGCAAACTACGAGGTAGGTCTCTTCCATGCTGGTTCTACGGATGGCGACTTGGCAGCTCAGTGATCATCAGCTTGCCTGAGGTCACCCCGACTCTAAGGGCACAGTCACAAGCTCTTTCAACCATGTTACCCTGGCGCAGGAGACAGGGCATCTGGCTTCTCATCCCAACTTTTTCATTAGCTAATTACATGACTTTGAGGGAGTCCCTTGGGACCCCGGAGCCTCCACTGCATTGGATAAATGAGAGCTCTAAGCAAGGTGCTCTCCAAAGTCCTTTTGTGGGTAGCTTAGTGATAGAACATGGGCCCTGGGCTGAGATGGGGTTGAGTCGAATGTCAGTGCTGCCACTTACAACACAAGTGGACAGGGACAAGTTACTTAACCGGCCTTCACCTATAAAATCAGGAAACTACCTCCAGTCATTTGTGGTAAGGAGTAAATGAAATGAGGCACCAAGGCTGGTGTTTATGAAAACTTTTTTTTTTTAAATGCCAGCTCTTATTGTTCCAGCTCCTACATTTTAGGACATTGTGTCTCCCTACCCGACCCCCTTTCACCAAGTCCTTATAACAGATCTATATTGCCCAGAATGCATTGCACGCAGAGCTAGAGAAAACTTCTCGGCTGGGCTTGGTGGCTCACACCTGTAATCCCAGCACTTTGGGAGGCCCAGGCAGGAGGATCACTTGAAGTCAGGAGTTTGAGACCAGCCTGCTGGCCAACATGGTGAAACCCTGTCTCTACTAAAAAATACAAAAAAATAGCCGGGCATGGTAGTACTTGCTTATAATCCTAGCTACTCGGGAGGCTGAGGCAGGAGAATTGCTTGAACCTCGGAGGCAGAGGTTGCAGTGAGCTGAGATTGCGCCACTGCACTCCAGCCTGGGCAAAAAGAGTGAGACTCCATCTCAAAAAAAAAAAAAAGCGATAATTTCTTGATTCTTTTTCTCAAATATGCTTCCAGAAAATGGAAAAGACGTGTCCATGGGAAACAGAGAGAGGTGGCCCACAGAGATGGAGGGGAGCAAAAGAGTTGGCTGAGGCCTGACCCAGAAGATAGGAGCCCATGCTCACTGTGGCCAGTCAGTTTCCAGACAGTTACCATGGGAGAGTTGGTAAATCTTCCCTTCTAGGATTTCAGAGCACTGACCTGCCTGCCAGGCCCAAGTCTTAAGATCCAAACCAGGAATGAGCTGTTACTATGGAAAGTGTGATTTTTCTGCAGGATTAAGAAGCCTTCACACTTTTTCAGTCACATCAGAATTGCCACCCCTGGGAGGGATGCGTCGGATAATTTGAACCAGGTGCAGACTTCGTGGCCTGTCTTTACGGGGCAGACACTCATACACAGATTTTGTTGGCTGTGCCATGGACTGTCTTTCTTATTTTCCTAACCTAGTCAGGACTTTCTTCCAAACTTCACAGACAGTTTCGAGAAGCCACACACACTGCCTGCCAGGAGCTGAGCAGAAGCTGGGAGGCCCCGGTGGTAGAAATGCGTTCCAGCGTCACCGAGCCAGGCAATCGCTGCGGCCTTTGGGTCTGCTCCCCTCCAATAGGAGCAGGACTAGCTTTCTTCCAAGGGATCAGGAGATCCTCCCAGCCAATGCAAGGCTGGACCCCTGTGACTCACCCTCTGTGTGTGGCTTCTCAAGCAGATTTCCCAGGACAACATGAAAGGCTGATAGATTATTACTATCTGGTTTCATGTTCCTCCTTTTGTTAAAATTCCTAATATAAGGAAGTGGAGGTGGGGGACTGAAGGAAGTCTCACTTTACAGCCCGACCCCCACTCCCTGGCAGCTCAGCTATTGCTGGCCCTCCAGGGTGGCAAGAGACAGAAGTGTATTTCCCAGGACCAAGTCAAAGAGCTCTTCCCTCTTCATCTCTCTTCCCTTATCAAGGGTGTTAATCTTACTGGAATTCACTTCAGTACAGCAAATGGGGCCAGATGGTAGAGGGGAGGAAATGACCCCAAGGTGTCTTGCCTATAAACCTTCCAGGGCCC